>NC_000008.11:6105701-6407986 GCF_000001405.40 Homo sapiens | reverse complement strand
AACCATAGGTAATATATTAACGGGCCGGCCTGTGTTCCAATAAAACTTTATTTATGGAGAAGGAAATGTGAATGTGATATAATTTTTCATTTGACCTTTTTTTAAAATCACTTAAAAATGTAAAAGACATTCTTAGCTCGTAGACCCTTACAAAAACAGGCAGCAGGCTAGATATGGCCTGGGGGGCATAGTGAGTGGACCCCTGTTCTAGTGGATATCCTCTTCTCAAAACCTGATGTTTAAAAGCATTTTCCAGGTGTGCCGTTGGTCAATGATTGGGGGTAACGCTAAAAGAAAACCAGGTTAATTTAACAAAATACTAACATTAGAAAAATAGCCACATCTGATTACAGACTTTGTATAAAGCCTCTAGTCTTTACTTTTGGCTATGAGGTTTTATGACTCCAGGCCCCACAATACAGGCCCCTTTTTTCTCACGGTCAAACTCTACAAGACACGTGTCCGCTATTCCCCTCTCCTGGGCTCTTCCAGGTGCACAGAGGGTGGGACTGCGTGCGGTATCATATACTGGTTAGGACAGCAGCTCCGGTCTAAGGCCCTGTCAGCACTGACTAGCCACACACAGGGAGAGTCACCTAAACGTCCGATGCCTTAGTTTCTGCCTGTAAAATGATATAAGAGAGTTGATAGAGCGGTTAAAAAAATCAGACAATACCATACTAGCCTAAGCACAGCGCCTGGCACACAAAGACTCCGCAGTAAAAGGCGGCTCCTATTATTGGAACAATTAGCATAGAAACTCAACTGCCGCTCCTCCAGGTGGGCCTCAGAGGGGGTCGAACAGGACCAGACCCAGGAGGGCCCCACACCAACTTCCGGAGGGCAGGACTCTGCCTGCCAGTGAGCCCCAGATCCAGGGACTAAGGCAGCAGGGGTGAAAGCAGGTAGGGGGAAAGGCGGGATTTGGGGGACAGGCAGCATGGGGGAGGGAGCAGGCAGCGGGGGATTGAGGGGAACTAGCAGCACGGGGGTTGGGGCACAAGCAGTACGGGGGAGGAAGCAGGCAGTCGGGGGTTTGGGGGGACAGGGAGCACGGGAGACGAAGCAGGCAGCCGGGGGTTTTGGGGGGACAGGCAGCGGGGGAGAGAGCAGGAGCAGGGGGTTTTGGTGGGACAGGCAGCGGGGGAGGAAGGAGGCGGCAGGGGGTCTGGGGGAGACAGGCAGCGAGGGAGGGGCGAGCGGGGCTCCTCCCACGGGATCCCCCGAGTGCGCCCGCGACGAGGGGTGCCGGTCCTCAAACTCCCGCTGCTGGAGCAGGCAGCAGGAAGTACCTCACCTTTCAGGATGGGGGCCGCCATGACAGACGGCGGGATCCGGCCAGCTGGCCTACGCGGTGCTTGCGAGCCTGGCGGCGCGCGCGGGCACTGGGCATGCGCGGGGTGAGCGCGCCGCCGTCACCGCGCTCCGCTGAATCCGCGTTTCCGGGATTTCTCTGTAGGTGAGGCGGGAGGCTGGAGGGAGCTGAGCCCCCGGGGAGGGGGCCCGATTCCGCCTCGCCGCGCCTCTGGCTGCTGGGCCGTGGGTTTTTCTCTTCTCCTGGGAGTAAGGAGGACGACGGCCCCTAACCCCTGAATTAGCCTTCTATTTCCATTAGTGACTTAGAAGCTACCCGGCGCCTCATCTGGGCTCACCTGAGCTGAGGATCAGGAAGGGGAGGGGGCACAGTCATTCCCTCGCGGACGCGGCGGGACCCCAGCGGACGGCTTTGTGCGGACTTTCGGCACCGTTATGCCCCCCTAGCCCGACACCACCTGGGGCTGGCGCGCCACGTTACTGTTCAGGGCCAGACGCACCGCCCTGCCTGCTCCGGGGAGCCGGACCTCCGATCCCGGGGATGGGGGACCCCGAGACCTCAGACCCAACGGAGGGGACTCTGATACCTCAGACCCCACGCGGGGACCCCGAGGCTTCAGACCCCCACAGGGTGACCCCGAGATCTCAGACCCCCGCAGGAGTACCTCCAGACCTCAAATCCCCAGTAAGGGAATGAAAGAGACTTCGGATCCCTGAGGCAGCAAATCCCTGTAGGGGCATCCCAGGACTC
Source organism: Homo sapiens (assembly GCF_000001405.40). Taxonomy (NCBI): domain Eukaryota; kingdom Metazoa; phylum Chordata; class Mammalia; order Primates; family Hominidae; genus Homo; species Homo sapiens. The sequence continues at coordinate 6,405,921 of NC_000008.11, read as the reverse complement.
AGGTCACCGCGGGGTGAACCCAGACCTCACATTCAGGCAATCCCCAGGACGCCGATCGGCTGGCACTACCCACTGTCCCGGCCACCCCCCCTGGAGCTCAAAGGCTTGGCCCTCCAGCTGCTCCACCCTGCCGGCAACCAGGCTCAAACCTGCAGCCCGCGGATCCCCTGCCCCGGAAGCAACCAGATTCGCGGGAGGTTACCTGACTGATCCAAGGTGATACAGCTGGTAACTGATGGAGATGTTGGTAGTGAAATTCATGTACTTTTAGTTCTTTCTATGGAATCTAGAGGTAGAATACATGTAAAAGAATATCGACTACCGTCTACTCAGGTCTCTGTTTTATCTGTTTATTCATTCACTCTCAGCTTTTAATAGGATCCAATGAGCCCTCTGTGGTTCTGAAGAATTGCCTTGAGTATATGCAGCCTCAAAAAACCCACTTCCTAGGCTCAGTCTTTGATCAATATTTATCATTATCACCAGTTATTGTTCTAATAAACTCTACTCTGGAAATATGGTGTTATGGTTTACTTGGGAGTGTGAGTTCAGGGCATCATTGAAGACTCACGTACTTTTACTGAGAAAGTGACATTGATCTCTGTAGATTTTGAATTAAATGATATGATGAAGTATATAAACCAATTACTTTTGGTCAAGGTGGTAAAAAAAGTTTAGTATTTGATAGATTCTTCATCTCCACGATCACAAATATTTTCTCCTAGGATTTCTTCTAGAAATATTACTGCTTTAGGTTGTATATCAGGTCTAGGTTCTACTTTTTTTTTTTTTTTTCTCCAGGCAGTTTCTCACTCCGTTGCCCAGGCTGGAATGCAGTGGTGTAATCACAGCTCACTGCAGCCTCAACCTACTGGACTCAAAGGATAAGATCTGCTTTTAATTAATTTTTGTATACGGTATGGGATAGGGACCAAAGTTCATTTTTTTGCATGTATACATATCCAAATGTTCCAGCATCATTTATTAAAAAGTTATTTTTGTCTCTACTGCATTTCCTTTGTGCTTACATCAAAATCTGTGTTGCATATGTATGTGTTTCATTTTAGGCTTCCTATTGTGTTCCATTGAGCTATTTGTCTTTTTGCTGCCAGCACCATGCTGTTTTGATTATTGTAGCTATATAAATAAGTGATGAAATCAGATAGTTTATGTCCTACAACTTTATTTTTCAAGGTTATTTTGTATCTTCTAGATTCTTCAGATTTCCTTTTAAATCTTAGAGTCGACTTCTCATTTTGCACAAAAAAATACTGCTGGGATTTTGATTGAGATTGTGTTGACTCTACAGATGAATTTGGGGAGAATTGACATTTTAACCATATTGAATCTTCTGACCCATTAACATTTAGGTCTTTTAAAATTTCTCTGGCCAGACGCAGTGGCTCACGCCTGCCACTTTGGGAGGCCAAGGCGGGCCGATCACAAGGTCAGGAGATTGAGACCATCCTGGCTAACACAGTGAAACCCCATCTCTACTAAAAATACAAAAAATTAGCCGGGCGTGGTGGCATGCGCCTGTAGCCCCAGCTACTTGGAAGGCTGAGGCAGGAGAATGGCATGAACCCGGGAGACAGAGCTTGCAGTGAGCAGAGATCTTGCCACTGCACTCCACCTGGGGCAACAGAGCGAGACTCCATCTCAAAAAAAAAAAATATAACTGTTGTTAGATTTTAACCTAAGTATTTGTTTTTTTATTTTGTTTTTCTTTTTTTCTTCTTTTTTTTTTTTTTTTTTTTTTGAGACAGGATCTCACTCTGTCTCCCAGGCTGAAGTGCAATGGTGTGATCATGGCTCATCTTGAAGCCTCGACCCTCCTGGGATCAAGCTATCCTCCCACCTCAACCTCCTGAGTAGCTGGGACTACAAGTACACATGACCATGCCCAATTCATTTTTTAAATTCTTTGTAGAGGCGGAGTCCCACTATGTTGCCCAGGCTGGTCTTGAACTCCTGGGCTCAAGCAATCCTCCCACCTCAGCTTCCCAAAGTGTAGGGATTACAGGCATGAGCCACTGTGCAAGGTCTTGTGTTTTTTGATAATATCGTAAATGGTGATTTTTTCATTTGTTTCTGATTGTTGCTAATATATGGAAATATAGTTGATATCTGCAATTGATCTCATGTCCTGAAAACTTGCTAAATCTGCTTAATAATTTTTTGTACATTCAAAATGATGTTCTACAGGTAGTCGTATTGTCTATGTTGGAAGGAAAGCTTTTCCTCATTCAATGTCGGTCCTGTGTTTGAAGACCTGCAAATTAACTGATAACAACAGGTTAACAGGAGAAAAGACAAGGTTTAGAGTAACTCACTAAATAGAAATAAAGGTTTATAGATCCACTTAACAAAATGTGTTGGGAGATTTTGGAGTTTCAGTAGGAAGTTGTGGAAGGTTCTTTTGGGCTTTTGGATGCTTATGAGAATGGGCAATCTGTCTCTACAGTAGTGGAATTTACAGGAAACTTCCTCAGAGGGAGGCCAATGGCAGCTGTATTTTCTGGGGGCTCTGCTTTAGTGAAATAAGGGAAGTTCAAATAAAATTTCTTGATGCGTCTTTCTTAGATCAAATATTTTCACAGTAAAATAATCTTTATACCAACTTTTAGGGCCTGAATGGTCCACACATTTCTCCATCTGAAACTTCCCTAGAAATTTCATTAACAAAAAAAAGAAGCTAAGTTGATTGCTGTGGGGAGATGATTTGAGTTAGAAATTGTAAGATGAGAGATCTGTAAAAGGGGGAAAAACATAGATTAGAACAAGGAAACAAAAACAATGATTAATGTTCAGAGCAGACGATAAACCCAGTCTAGAGGGTAAGCCAGTTATGAAATTTTCTAGATGTTGGGCTCCAGCTATCTTTAGTGAGGATGGTAGTGGTAGGTAGTGTTGCCATCATGGTTATTTCCTAGAGCACAGTCTGGAAGATGCAGGTGTTCTGGGGAAATATTTGAAAGACCCACGTGTTGTGATAAGTCTTTTGAAGTTTCTGTCTAGCCATCCAGCTTCAGCTTGCAAGGCTTTGAGAAGGAATCAGTTTTAGTTCTCAGTGACGTCAAGTCAGTAGAGTGGGAGGAAAATTGGAAATACTGATTACTGACAAAATATGTAAGATGGCAGGATCCAGGTTTTGTTTTGTTTTTTGTTTTGTTTGTTTGTTTTTGAGACTGAGTATCACTCTTGTTGCCCAGGCTGGAATGCAGTGGTGCAATCTCGGCTCACTGCAACCTCCACCTCCCAGATTCAAGCGATTCTCCTGCCTCAGCCTCCCAAGTAGCTGGGATTGTGGGCTAATTTTGTATTTGTAGTAGAGATGGGGTTTCTCCATGTTGGTCATGGCTGGTCTCGAACTCCCGACCTCAGGTGATTCCCCGGCCTCGGCCTCCCAGAGTGCTGGGATTACGGGCGTGAGCCACCGTGCCTGACCGGCAGGATCCAGCTTTTAAAGAGGTAAAAAAATTGCTCAAAGACAATGAACAAGACTAGAGTCTGATAACTCACACAACTGGGTTATAGTTTGCCATTGAAACATAAAATTTCTCTGTATAATTACTACCACTGAGATCAAAGATAAACAAAGTAAGATTACTCTTGTTTACAAAATAAGTCTTGTCTCATTAAATTTGGCCTGATCATTTACATAAGTCCAGCAAGAATGATAATTGACCACAGGAGCCTTTTTAGGTTTGCTTGGCTGGAACTTTTATAAGGAATCTCAGATTAGAGTTTTAAGACTACACCTACACAGCCAGGCGTGGTGGGTCACGCCTGTAATCCCAGCACTTTGGGAGGCTGAGGCGGGTGGATCACAAGGTCAGGAGTTCAAGACCATCCTGCCTAACCCGGTGAAACCCCGTCTTTACTAAAAATACAAAAAAATTAGCCGGGCGTAGTGGCGGGTGCCTGTAGTCCCAGCTACTCGGGAGGCTGAGGCAGGAGAATGGCATGAACCTGGGCGGCAGAGTTTGCAGTGAACCGAGATTGCACCACTGCATTCCAGCCTGGGGGACAGAGTGAGACTCCATCTCAAAAAAAAAAAAAAAAAAAAAAAAAAAAGACTACACCTATACTATCTGTAGTTTCAGATAGAGAAATGTGGGGATCCATTCAGACCCTAAAACTGTTGCTCTTCTTGAGGTTTCCAAAACATCTTAAGGCCCTGGGCCTGCGAGTAAGTAACCCATCTTACTCACCTGTAAGCCTGGAACCCTGTAAGTCAGGTAAGGCACCAGGTCAATTATTTCAGCAGAGCTTTGTAAGCATTGGCTCCATCAAGTCAACCTTAGTTTCTTAAAAATGTCTGGTCACGTCTAATTCTGTGCACATCAGTCTCAAATATGACCTTCTAGTCAAAGTCTTGGTAACATAATCAATTTTTCCAAATAATGTCCTTTTTTAAGGAGAACAGATTCTTCTTGAATTTATGCAAACAACTATATTGCCATGAGAATAGGAATATTCAATAAGAATTGACAAATTTTAGAGGAAGCAGGGAGAAAAAGATAAATTTTTCATTTCTACTTATGAAAGTTTATTAAATTGTTATCATTTGTGGATAGCTTAAGAGAAAAGAGAAATCAAAGGATGTATCACAACAGTTTGGGGTTTTCAATTATTTCTCCAGAACACTTGCATCTTCCAGGCTCTGCTCCAGAAAATAACCATGACTCCAACATACCACTACCATCCTCACTAAAGATGGAACCCCACATCTAGAAAACCTCATGACTGGCTTGCCCTCTGGACTTAAAAAAACTGGGTTTATATTCTGCTCTGAACATTAATCATTGTTTTTATTTTGTTTCCTTGTTCTAATCTATGTTTCTTCCCTTATATTCAGGACATAGAACATTCAAGAACCAGCAATGTTTCAAACAAAGGCCATTTAAAAAATCATAACCATTGTTTATCAGTCACCTCAGTTCCATATGATTAATTCTGGCCTTGCTTGATCTTGGATTAGCAGTGTCATGAACCCATCAGCTTTTCAACTAGAGTTCTGGAAATCCTTCCTCAGGGCAGTGGTATGAGATTAAAGTTATTTAAGCAATGTCATCAGAAGCCTGTACCCCACAGTACTGTTACAGGCCTTTCCATGGATCTTAGAGAAACAGTCCTTTTTGTTGAAGATGAAGTATTCTGGCTAATAACTGATCGCTAGAGCTTTCAGGAAAGTACCAGAGTAAAATAATAACTGCGAATGACAAAAAGGCAAAAATGGCCATGGTAAAGATCGGATGAAGGTTTATTTTAATTCTGTTAACAAGGAAAATCAGTTTTTTTGTGGCATACATTTAAAATCATAACTGTAATCATGACTGATAATATTATACCAGGACATATTATGGTTATCAAGGGCATTGACAAATTTCTAGGAACTTTATTCAGTTTCTGAAATAATAACATTTATCCATGCAAATACCACCTAAGGAAGGTTAAGTATCTTTTCTTGACAGTGAGTGCCTCCCGTGCAATTTAACATATTGAATAAACCTAATTAGTTTAACATCTCTCTTTTTACAAAATGAGAGAACAAATATTTTGAGATCTTCTAGGGACCCTTTGGAAAATCTCAAAGTCAGTTCAAAGTTAAAAAAATTTCATTTAGAATTTCATTTGGGGAAGTTGTCAAAAATGCCAAAAGCGTTGAACACTTGATTAAATAGGATCACAGGTCACTGTGAAACAACACTTAATTATCCATTTAATTAAACTGACAATAAAAATAGCCATAGGAGATTCTATGATTGTAAGAAAAAAATAGCTTTTTTTTTAAGGTGAGAAGATTTAGTTGTCTTAAATAATCAAAGACATGATAAAGCACCAGAAATTATTCTAATAAAACACAGTCACTGATTTCTAGGTGGTATTAATGAAAAAAAAATGTTCTTAAAGTTGTTGAAACAGTAAATACTTTTTTTTTTTTTAATTTAAGACAGGAGATTTATTATTACTCAAATCAGTCTCCCCAAGGAGCATCCAGGGATCAGAGTTTTGAAGGATAACTTGCTGGGCCGGGGGCAGCCAGTGAGTCAGGAGTGCTGATTGGTCAGGTTGGAAATGAAATCACAGGGAGTCAAAGCAGTCTTCTTGCGCTGAGTCAGTTACTGGGTGGTGGCCACAAGATCAGATGAGCCCGATTATCCATCTGGGTGGGGCCAGCTGATCCATCAAGTGCAGGGTCTGCAATGTATCTCAAGCGCTGATCTTAGGAGCAGTTTTGGGAGGGTCAGAATCTTCTAGCCTCCAACTGCATGACTCCTAAACCATAGTTTCTAATCTTGTGGCTAATTTATGAGTCCTACAAAGGCAGTCTAGTCCCTAGGCAAGAAGGAGGTTTGTTTTTGGAAAGGACTGTTATTCTCTTGGTTGTAAACTATAAACACTAAGCTAAGTTCCTCCCAAAGTTAGTTCAGCCTATGCCTGGGAAAGAACAAGGACAGCTTGGAGGTTAGAAGCAAGATGGAGTTGGTTAGGTCAGATCTCCTTCACTGTCCCAGTTACAATTTTGCAGTGGCTGTTTCAATCCCTCCCTTTGGTTTTTTTGTTTGTTTGTTTTTGGTGCGATTTTGGCTTACCGCAACCTCCACCTCCCGGGTTCAAGCAATTCTCCTGCCTCAGCCTCCCGAGTACCTGGGACTACAGGCATGCACCACCACGCCTGGCTAATTTGTTGTATTTTTAGTAGAGATGGGGTTTCACCATGTTGGCCAGGCTGGTCTCGAACTCCTGACCTCAAGTGATCCACCTGCCTTGGCCTCCCAAAATGTTGAGATTATAACCATAAGCCACCGCTCCCAGACTCCTTTTGGATTTTATAACACCTTAATCTTAAGGTGTTGGCTAATGAAAATTGAAAAAGGGCGAAGGCTGCTCTAACTTCTTCCTGCCGATCTGAGGCATAGTAGGGGTAGGCGTTAACCCCAAAGTGAGAGAAATGGAACTGCTTTGCAACTGTGTGAGCGTACTCATGCAGGCCTGGCTGGGGTTCCAAGGCTCGCATGGCAAAGGCATTAGTATTAACATCTATAGTTTTAGTACTGCATTTGAGGGAACAGTGACTATCAGGTAGATAATGAATACTAGGGTGAGGAGTGCAATTCCCAGTTTCAAAAGTAAAGATTTGAAAGCATTAGTTTGGGGACTTTTAGCCCACAGAGAATTTAGGATTTAGTCCAAACTGAAGGAAAAATTCAAGAACAGCTAACAAAAGGTGTACTGTAACTTTTGTTTTTTTTTAGATGGAGTGTCACTCTGTTGCCAGGCTGAAGTGTAGTGGCAAGATCTGGGCTCACTGCAACCTCCACCTCGCGGGTTTAAGCAACTCTCCTGCCTCAGTCTCCCAAGTAGCTGGGACTACAGGTGCATGCACACCACCACGCCCAGCTAATTTTTGTATTTTTAGTAGAGATGGGAGTTCTCCATGTTGGCCAGGATGGTATCAATCTCTTGACCTCGTGATCCAACTGCCGTGGCCTCCCAAAGTGCTGGGATTATGGGCATGGGCCACCACGCCCAGCCTATAAGTCTTTTTTAAGTATAATTTTTCTCTTTCCAATCCTCATTTTTTTCTTTTCTTTTTTTTTTTTTTTGAGACAGAGTCTCACTCTGTTGACCAGGCTGGAGTGCAGTGGCGCAATCTCGGCTCACTGCAAGCTCTGCCTCCCGGGTTCACACCATTCTCCTGCCTCAGCCTCCCGAGTAGCTGGGACTACAGGCGCCCGCCACCACGCCCGGTTAATTTTTTGTATTTTTAGTAGAGATGGGGTTTCACCGTTTTAGCCAGGATGGTCTCGATCTGCTGACATCGTGTTCCACCTGCCTCGGCCTCCCAAAGTGCTGGGATTACAGGCGTGAGCTACCGCACCCGGCCCCCCAATCATCATTTTTATTAAAAACAAATAATGATAGGACTGATTGGTTTGCAAAATAAACTTTTATTGTACTTGGCCTGGTTATTTGCATAAAGCACAGCAAAAATAATTATTTTTCATATAGGATTTTTAAATTGGCTTTGATGGAGCTCTGTTCTATAAGGAATCTCAGATAAGACTTTTTAAAAGCTGAGCCCTGCCATGGGTTTATACCGTCAAATACCTATGAGTTAGGTAAATTATTCTTCTCTTGAGGTGCCAAGATAACTTGGGGCTCCTCGGCCTGTTAGAAAGTGCCATTCTTTACTTATCACAGGTCAGAAACCTTATACAGGGACTGTGTAAAGAAAATATGAGGCCAGATTTCCCAAGAGGCTTTTATTGGCTCTGTAAATCAACTTTGATTCCTTAAAGAAAGCATGCCATTCCAGTCAAAGCCTTGGTAAAATAACCAGTTTCTACAATCGTGTCCTGTTACAAAAGAAAACAGATTCTTATCATGCTTATGCAAATGTCTATACTACCATAAATTGAGAATACTCACAAATAGTTCCCAAATTCTGGAGAAGTCAGGTAGAAAGAAATATGCTCCAAATTTTGTTCACAGGAGTATATTTTACCAATTGTTAAAGGCTGTAAATAGCTCAAAAGATAAGTTTTCTTAGTTCTGGATAAGAAAAAGGATCAGCAACATTTTAAGCAAAAAAGTAAAAAAAAAAAAAAAAAGGTTACTTCAGTCTTTTATTAGTTCAGTCCATTCAGTTAACTTTTGTTCTGCTTCATATCCATGAACATTTCAGCTCTCCATGAGAGTCCTGAAAGTTTTTCCCCTTTACACTTGTGTCATCATCATCTCCAAAGTTATCAGAAACTTGCATTCAAGAGTACCTGTCAAAGTTTTATAGCTGATTATAAAACCACCTTCCAAAGTGGATCAAAATGAGACAATTGCCTTGGATGACAAAAATATTTTAGGGCAGCCACAGTTAAAAACACAATTGGGCTGCGTGCAGTGGCTAACGCCTGAAATCCCAGCACTTTGGGAGACTGAGGCAGGCGGGTCACGAGGTCAGGAGATCAAGACCATCCTGGCTAACCCAGTGAAAACCCATCTGTACTAAAAATACAAAAAAATTAGTCGGGCATGGTGGCAGGTGCCTGTAGTCCCAGCTACTTGGGAGGCTGAGGCAGGAAAATGGTGTGAACTCAGGAGGTGGAGCTTGCAGTGAGCCGAGATCACGCCACTGCACTCCAGCCTGGGTGACAGAGCAAGATTCTATCTCAAAAAAAAAAAAAAGAAAAAAAAAATTGACAAGGAAATTTGTTACCTCTGTGACACACAATAATTTAACATAACAATTATAATTATTACTGATAACATATACTGAGGCATATCAAAATTATAGGACTCTTATAATCTTATACAATTTTGTAATACATACTAATAACACATTTATATAAATGTAACCCAAAGAAAATTAAACACTATATTTGACAATGTTTACCGCATGATTTTAGTACTTTAAATAAGCTGAATATGTCTTTTTGGACTTTAGGCAACTTAATTTTTTTTTTAACTTAGAATTTGATCTTGAGAGGTCTGTCAAATATCAAAGGTTTAAAAACACTGGATATCAGAAAATAGAGTCCCAGGTCACTATAAGTTATTCAATAGCCAAAATGATAACTCTAAAATTTTAAAGAAAAACCGTTACTCTGATAAGAGACTTAACTTTCCAAACAACCAGACCCAATGAAGATAGCATGAGTCCCACTGAAGGAAGACTTTATTAAAGACTGTTGAGATAGGGAAGAGAGATTGGGCTCAACTCTGAATTCAGCAAAGACAACTGGGGATTTCTGGCCATTGAACAGAGTGAGAGGTCATTGGATGGAAAATTACAAAAAAGAGACAGCAAGGGTAGGCAGATTCTTACTAGACCAACTGCTGTAGTCTGCATGTTGGTGTCCCCCACAAATTCAGATGTTGAAACCTAACCACCAGTGCAATAGTATTAAGAGGTAGGGTCTCAGTAGTAGTAAGAGGTGGGAAGTGATTAAGTAATGAGGGCTCTGTCCTAATGAATGTGATTTTTGCCCTTAACAAGAAGTTGAGAGAAGTAGTCCTTGTCCCTTCTGCCATGTGAGGACACAGACTTGACCCTTTTCCCTTATAAGGTCACATAGAAGGCACCATCTGTGAAGAACAGGCCTTCACCAGACACTGAATCTGCTGGTGCTTTGCTGTTGGACTTCCTAGCCTCTACAGTTGTGAGAAATAATGTCTGTTGTTTATAAATTTCTCAAACTAACATGTTTTGTTTTAGCAGCTTGTATGGACTTAGATGGAAATTGATAGCAAGAAGTGGGGTGCTGCTGTAAAACAATACCTAAAAATGTAGAAGTGGCTTTGGAATTGTATAATTAGCAGAAGCAGGAAGAACACTGAGGTGCACATTAGAAAAAGCTTGTATTGCTATTGTTGGGTCATAGAAGGCGATTCTCATAAGGCCGAGCGCAGTGGCTCACACCTGTTATCCCAGCACTTTGGGAGGCCGAGGCGGGCAGATCACAAGGTCAGGAGATCGAAACCATCCTGGCTAACACGGTGAAACCCCATCTCTACTAAAAATACAAAAAAATTAGCCAGGCGTGGTGGCAGGTGCCTGTAGTCCCAGCTACTCGGGAGACTGAGACAGGAGAATGACATGAATCCAGGAGGTGGAGCTTGCAGTGAGCCGAGATCGCGCCACAGCACTCCAGCCTAGGTGACAGAGCGAGACTCCGTCTCAAAAAATAAAAAGGCGATTCTCATAAGGGCTCAGAAGAAGAGAACTGTAGAAAAAGCCTCAATCTTCTAAGACATTACTTAAGTGGTTATACTCAGAATGTTGGTAGAAATATGGTCAATAAAGGCAATTCTGATGAGGTATCAGAAATGAGGGGCATGTTATTAGAAACAGGAGGAAAGGCCATCCTTGTTATAAAGTGGCAAAGACCTCAGCTGAATTGTGTTGGGTCCTAATGTTTTGTGAAAGGAGGAACTTAACAAGTAATGAAAGAGGGTATTTGACAGAAGAAATCTTTAAGCAAAGTGCAGCATGGCTTCTCCTGATTGCCTATAGTAAACTGCCAGGAGGGAAACAGATTAAAGACAGAATGTATAATCAATTATTTATATCAATTATGAAGAAAAGCCTCAGTCACTTCACAATGGGGAAACATAGCAGACAGCACCTTTCAAAGGAACCAAACATCACCAGTAAAGGGACAAAGAGTCACCAGCTGCCTCATGATATGAAGCACTGAGAAGCACACATCACTTCTACTTCCAGGGGGTTCCTGCCAAGAATGCAGAACCCAAATGGAATTCCGAGAAATCATCACACAAATCCAAACAGAAGGGCTTTCTACAAAATAACTGGCCTGTATCCTTCAAAAACGTCAAGGTCATGAAAGACAAAGAAATATGAGAAACTGTGGCAGCTTAAGGGAAACTAAAGAGACGTAGCAACTAAGTGCAATGTGTGATTCTGGACTCAATCATGAAACAGAACAAAAAATTAAAAGTATTTTCTTTTTGTTTTTAAATGGAGTCTTGCTCTATCGACGGGCTGGAGTGCAGTGGTGTGATCTCGGCTCACTGCAAGCTCTGTCTCCTGGGTTCACGCCATTCTCCTGCCTCAGCCTCCCGAGTAGCTGGGACTACAGGCGCCTGCCACCACGCCCAGCTAATTTTTTTGTATTTTTTAGTAGAGATGGGGTTTCACCCTGTTAGCCGGGATGGTCTCAATCTCCTGACCTCGTGATCCACCCGCCTCGGCCTCCCAAGTGCTGGGATTACAGGCATGAGCCACTGCGCCCGGCCAAAAGTATTTTCTAGGAGGAATAGTAATGAGACAATTAGCAAAATGTGGAAAATGTCTGTATGTTCAATAGTAGTGTTTTATAAACGTCAGTTCTCTGATTTTGATCATTATAGTGTGGTTACTTACCAGAATGCCTCATTTTAGGATAATACACACTGAGGTATTTAGGGGTAGGTGACATCATGCTTATAACTTCCTCCCAAATATTTTAAGGAAAAATATATGCACACGGACATACATTCATATATGCAATATGATAATGAAGAAGCAATGGTGACATTTGGATCTGGGTGAATGGCTTATGGGAATTCATTTTTGTACTGTTTTGTACATTTTGTACTATTCTTGTGCTTTTGCTATAAGTCTGAAATTCTTTTAAAATAAGAAGGAAATACAATTATGGCAGGAAAATAGCTGACTGGGCCACATTATTAGCCCTAATGGTCCTCACCTCTCAGAGTGGAAGGCAAATACTGGTGACTGTTGAGTCACAGCCTCACGTGTCCAGCACCGTTGTAACCAACTAGACTATGTTTGCTTATGCACATGGCAACAGAAAATAAGGAGTCCAAGAATATGCAACCCAGAAATCAAACTTAACCATTGAATATAGCTGGCTTAGTCGGATCAGGGCTACTATAACAAAATCTAAAATGGGTGGCTTGGCCAGGCATGGTGGCTCATACTTGTAATCCCAGCACTTTGGGAGACCAAGGCAGGCAGATCACCAGGTCAAGACATTGAGACCATTCTGGCCAAAATGGTGAAACCCCATCTCTACTAAAAATAGAAAAATGAGCTGGGCGTGGTGGCGCATGCCTGTAGTCCCGGCTACTTGGGAGTCTGAAGCAGAAGAATCGCCTGAACCTGGGAGGTGGAGGTTGCAGTGAGCTGAGATCGCGCCACCTTCACTGCAGTCTGGTGACAAAGCGAGACTCTGTCTCAAAAAAAAAAAAAAAAAAAAAGTGTGGCTTATAGACAACAGAAATATATTGCTCACAGTCTGGAGGCTGGACGTCCAAGATCAATGTGCTGGCTGATTTGGTGTCTGGTAAAGGTCGCTCTTGACTTCAGAGATGCATCTCCTTGATGTATCTTCATGTGGTGGAAGGAGCTTTGTAGCTCCCTGGGGCCTCCTTTATAAGGGCACTAATCCCACTCATGAGGGTTCATAACCTAATCACCTTCCTAAAGTCCCACCTCCTAGTGCCATCAGTTTGAGAGTTAGGATTTCAATGTATGAGTTTGGGGGCAGGCACAAACATTGAAATCATAGCAACATCTCACCCTATCAATAGAAAGGCAGTTTGCTATCCCATTTAAAAATCATCTCTGTTAATGGTAGGAAGAATTTAGTATAGAAATTCTGATGTCTAGGAAAATACTGTTATCAAATACTATATTAAAAGAAAGGTATTCCATATATAAACTTTGGAAAGCTATTTACTCTGTCCAGAATATAGCCTCAAGTGTAAAGATTCTTTGATTTAGTGCTGTTTTAAGGCAGTTTTAGAGCGGTTGCAAAAAGCTTTGTTAAAAAAATGAAATCTTTAAGACTTGACTAAGCAATAGCATATTGAAAAAGACCTGTCCCTGACACAAGAAAATACTAAATTTAAAGGGTGCTATCATCAAATCCAATCTATTTGTTTCACAGATTCAAGAAATCAGGCTAGCAACTCAGAAAGAGAGCCACTTAAATTAGTTTCCGTTCTAGAACTCGGGCCTCTTGCCATCAGGCCTGATCTGTTCATTTCTCATTTGCTATTCCTTCCATAGATATTTATCGAGCATCTTCTATGCACCAGGAGCCGTCTTAGGCTCCAGATGGTAATGAACCTCTTATCACTTGACTCACTCCCTCTTCATAGGACCAGGACTACCCATCACGAAAGCCTAGGGGCTAAAACTCTCATTATTAAGAACAAAGTGAATTAAAATTAATGAGCTCAAGGAGACCTGATGTTTGCACTAATATGGTCTACTATTTTTTTGTCATAGCATTTCTATTCAAGATTTTTAATCAGATAAATCCATCTAAAAAAAGGATCTCGTAAAGCCTAAAAGAGGGCATCCCTGTTTCTTCATTTTTATTCTTCGCAGAAGGACAAAAGATGAAAGCTATTATTTCTCTACCAACCCTCACCTGCAATAAAAGGGATCTGTACTGGAAAGCCCCTTTAAACACACCCAGGGCAAAGGAAAAGTTGAAAGTATTGACTTTTGTGAAGCCCACACTTCGGCTCAGCAGGCGGAGGCCTTTTCAGAGATTTCTTCCTAACAGCCTGACAACACTTGGACAGGAATCAGGACGCGAACCTCTCTGAAAAGTCCCAGCAAACAAGTCAGATGAAAGGGCCGCACTTCAGAAAGAAAATGCTGGCGCCCTGGAGTCTGAAGTTACCTGCGAATCTTCCCTTCTCCCAGCACAGGGTAAACATTTAGGGCAGCTGTGGATCTGGGTTTCCTAGGAGTTCATGAATTTCAAAGATGAAGCACAGATCATTCAGGTACATTTTCCTTTATGGTATTTCTATAAAACCAAAAAAATTTAAAAGTTGGTGTAGAAAATTGACTATCATTCATTAACAGGAAGCTTTTTCGATTGAAAATACAGTTCTATTGATATTAGAAGCTAAGGTGACTTTTTTCTTGAATAATAATTGCCAAATACCCTTGTCTTTAATGGAAAAAAATTTTTAAAATGCTTTTTACGTTCTACAATGAGATTATTTGACAGGATAGAATAATTAGTATGCTTGCACTCACAAACATGAAATATTTCTAAACATCATGAGTATTTGAACTAAGTGAATGACTGGAAGAGGATGGGAAAGCAGAGGGAATGAAAAACCAAAGAGCCCCAATTATTTGCAAGAAAAATAATGATTTATCTTAGTTTTATGCCTTGGCAATGTTTTTGAGTAATAAAAATGCAACTTTGTGGCTGACTGAAGAATCCAAGATAGTAGAGTTCTTAGGGAATGAACTCAAATATGGCACAGGCAGCAAAACAATGAGAACAGACCTCAGCTGTGTGTGGAGCTGAACCCTGCAGGCCCCCGCTGGGCCCCATGTTAATCCTTCAGTCGCTGGATGCCTGGGAAGCCAGGTGGAAACCAGAAGAAAGGTAGAGATGGGTGGGGCGGCAAATCCTAAGATGGTTCAAGACAGCAGCATCTTCAAGTGACCCAGGAATATTCCAGTATTTTAGCAATAAGCATAGATCTGCCAGTGTGTCCCAGTTTGAATATGGGCCCTGAACAGTGAATTTTTAACACATCTGAGATCATACCACCTATAATTTGGTGCCGTACTTTTTTTTTTTCCAGTTTAACAGTATACTATGAGCATTTTCCCACAATGGTCACTCTCTGTGTTTATTGCTTTGCTTCCAGAAAGAATTGGAGGCAATTTAGCTTTAAATGAGACTAAGAGTGTTGAAGAACAATTGCTTTCGTCCACAGAAAATTCTTCTGAGCAACCTGGTTGATGATGGTGTATTCTCTGTCTCCTGAGGAAGGGACCCTGTCTATTTGGTTCACTGCTGTGTTTGCATATCCTTCCATACACCATGCTGGTGTGTCCAGAATTGGTTCCTTCCAGTGGGTTCTTGGTCTTACTGACTTCAAGAATGAAGCCACGGAACCTCACAATTAGTGTTACAGTTCTTAAAGATGGTGTGTTCGGAGTTTGTTTCTTCAGATGTTCAGATGTGTCTGGAGTTTCTTCCTTCTGGTAGGTTGGTGGTCTTGCTGACTTTAGGAGTGAAGACGCAGACCTTTGCAGTGAGTATTACAGCTCTTAAAGGTGGTGTGTCCAGAGTTCTCCATTCCTCCCAGTGGGTTCTTGGTCTCGCTGACTTCAGGAGTAAAGCTGCAGACCTCTGTGGTGTGTTACAGCTCATAAAGACAGTGCTGATCCAAAGAGTAAAAGAACAAAGCTTCCACAGTGTGGAAGGCAACCCCACTGCATTGCCACTGCTGGCTCCGGTGGCCAGCTTTTATCCCCTTATTTGGCCCCACCCACATCCTGCTGATTGGTCCATTTTACAGAGTGCTAATTGGCCCATTTTACAGAGTGCTGATTGGTCTGTTTTTACAGAGTGTTGATTGGTGTGTTTACACACCTTTAGCTAGACACAGAGCACTGATTGGTGCGTTTACAAACCTTTGGCTAGACACAGAGCGCTGATTGGTGCATTTACAATCCTTTAGCTAGACAGAAAAGTTCCCCAAGTCCCCACCCGTCCCAGAAGCCCAGCAGGCTTCACCTCTTACTGGGGTCATAGGAGGTGGTCAATAAGCACCTGTGGAATAAATGAAGGAAGAGGCACACACATTAAGTGCTGTAAAAAAGATAAGGGGAAAGGGTGCGTTTACATTTTTAAAATTGTAATTACTCAGGTAACTGAAAACAACATTATAAAAAACTAGCATTTAAATTAGAAGCAATTCCCTGGCAATCTGTCTTACATTTTTTAAGATTCCTTGATACTAGAGATATCTGTGATTGAAAAAGCTGCCTGTGGAGTCTCTGACAAGCACCAGCAGTAGAATCACACATTGACTTTGTATTAGTTTGCCAGGAGGTACCATAAGTGGGGGACTCGCGCAATAAGATCTTACTGTTTCTCAGTTCTGGAGGCTAGAAGACCACAATCAAGATGTTGGTGGGTTGCTTCCTTCTAAGGGCTGTGCAGGGAGGATCTGCTCCAGGCCTCTCCTCCAGCTCCTCATGGCTACCAGCAGTCTTTGGTGTTTCTTGGCATGTAGAAGCCTCGCCTTGATCTCTGTCTTCATCTTCACGTGGCATTCTCTCTCTCTCTGTCTATCCGCCTCTCTGTGTGCGTGTGTGTGTTTCCAAATTTCCCCTTCATAGAAGGATACAAGTCATATTGGGTAGGTCCACTCCAGTATCACCTTATCTTAACTAATTACTTCTGCAATAATTCTAGTTCAAAAAAAAAAAATCCACATTCTGAGGTACTGGGAGTTAGGACTTCAACATGTACATTTTTGGGGGGATACAATTCAACCCATAACAGACTCCTGGGATTCTGGATCCACTTGCATAGGATTCCATGCCATCTGCAGCTGACAATATATACCATTCAAAATGCACATCTCGCTGGGCCCGGTGGCTCATGCCTGTAATCCCAGCACTTTGGGAGGCTGAGACAGGCAGATCACCTGAAGTCAGGAGTTCCATACCAGCCTGGCCAACATGGCAAACCCCATCTCTACTAAAAATACAAAATTAGTGAGGCATGGTGGCATATGCCTGTAGTCCCAGCTACTCGGGAGGCTGAGGCAGGAGAATCACTTGAATCCAGGAGGCGGAGGTTGCAGTGAGCCGAGATTACACCACTGCACTCCAGCCTGAGCAACAAGAGCAAAACTCTGTCTCAAAAAAAAAAAAAAAAGAAGCAACAGCCAGGTGCAGTGGCTCACGCCTGTAATCCCAGCACCTTGGGAGGCTGAGGCGGGTGGATCACGAGGTCAGGAGTTTGAAACTAGCATGGCCAACATAGTGAAACCCTGTCTCTACTAAAAATAAAAAAATTAGCTGGGCGTGGCGGTGGATGCCTGTAATCCCAGCTACTCAGGAGGCTAAGGCAGGAGAATAGCTTCAACCCAGGAAGCAGAGGTTGCAGTGAGCTGAGGTCGCGCCACTGCACTCCAGCCTGAGCAACAAGAGTGAAACTCCGTCCCCCCCGCCCCGCAAAAAAAAAGAGAAGCAACTCTGGTGAGCTACTGGGCCCTGCAGAGACTGAATATCTGGTGGACGTTGAGTGTCTAGATGGCCAGAGGCATTCATCATGGACCAAGTGTCAAGCGAAACCTCAAACAATCTGTTGTAAGACAGAAATGGTGTATCTAGAATCAGCTTGAGGAGGCACAGAGAGTGAACTGCATGAACAGGTGCTGTCACCTCTGGGGCACCTCCAAAGCTCTACCTATGGCATCTTGGGGGACTTCCCTGTGCCCAGTTGATGGAAGAGGAAAACCTACAGGCTTGGGTCATAAATGGGTCAACTCAGTATGTTGATGTGAGCCCTAAATGGACTTCACCTGCATTCGAGGCCTATTTGGGGGAGGAGTGGTTTGAAAGATGGTGGTAAGGGAAAATCTTCCAAGGGCAGAGTTTTGGCCAGTATACCTGGCCATCCACTTTGGGAAGGGATAAAAGTGGCCTGAGGTAAGCATATATATAAATTCATGGGCAGTGGCAAATAGCTTGACTTGTTGGCTAGGGCTCTGAAAGGAGCAAGGTTGGAAAATCAGAGACAAGAAGTTCTAGGGAAGAATCATGTGGATAGACCTATGGGAGTGGGCTTCAAGTGCGACAAGCTTTGTGTTTCAAGTTATTATTGCTCACTAGAGTGCATTCATTGCAGAAGACTTTTGAAAAACGGAAGTGGTTAAGACAGGCCAGCCAGGAAATATTCGAGAATTTTTTTCTTGCCACTCAAGTGCTTGTGCAACGGGCTCATTAATGGAGTAGGTGTGGAAGAGATGTGTGACTACCTGCCAAGACATATTCTCTCTCTCACTTAGGCTGATCTAGTGAGTGCTGCTGCTGAGTGATGATGACTTGTCAGCAGCCTGGATATGGTGCCACCATCTGAGACCATTCATTTGGTGGAGACTTGGGAAGGGCAGCATTTCATCCTTTTTTTTTTTTTTCTTTTTTTTGAGATAGAGTCTTGCTATGTCACCCAGGCTGGAGTGCAGCGGTGCAATGTCAGCTCACTGCAACCTCTGCCTCCTGGGTTCAAGCGATTCTCCTACCTCAGCCTCCTGAGTAGCTGGGATTACAGGCGCATGCCACCACGCCCGGCTAATTTTTTGTATTTTTAGTAGAGACTGGGTTTCACCATGTTAGCCAGGATGGTCTCGATCTCCATCTCAAAAAAAAAAAAGTGTTCCTATTTCTCCACATCCTCTCCAGCACCTGTTGTTTCCTGACGTTTTAATGATCACCATTCTAACTGGTGTGAGATGGTGTCTCATTGTGGTTTTGATTTGCATTTCTCTGATGGCCAGTGATGATGAGCATTTTTTCATGTGTCTGTTGGCTGCATAAATGTCTTCTTTTGAGAAGTGTCTGTTCATATCTTTCGCCCACTTTTTGATGGGGTTGTTTGATTTTTTCTTGTAAATTTGTTTAAGTTCTTTATAGATTCTTGATATTAGCCCTTTGTCAGATGGGTAGATTGTAAAAATTTTCTCCCATTCTGTAGGTTGCCTGTTCACTCTGATGGTAGTTTCTTTTGCTGTGCAGAATCTCTTTAGTTTAATTAGATCCCATTTGTCAATTTTGGCTTTTGTTGCCATTGCTTTTGGTGTTTTAGTCATGAAGTCCTTGCCCATGCCTATGTCCTGAATGGTATTGTCTAGGTTTTCTTCTAGCATTTTTATGGTTTTCCATGCGTATGTCCTGAATGGTATTGTCTAGGTTTTCTTCTAGCATTTTTATGGTTTTAGGTCTAACATTTAAGTCTTTGATCCATCTTGAATTAATTTTTGTATAAGGTGTAAGGAAAGGATCCAGTTTCAGCTTTCTACATGTGGCTAGCCAGTTTTCCCAGCACCATTTATTAAATAGGAAATCCTTTCCCCATTTCTTGTTTTTGTCAGGTTTGTCGAAGATCAGATGGTTGTAGATGCGCGGTATTATTTCTGAGGGCTCTGTTCTGTTCCATTGGTCTATATCTCTGTTTTGGTACCAGTACCATGCTGTTTTGGTTACTGTAGCCTTGGAGTATAGTTGGAAGTTAGGTAGTGTGATGCCTCCAGCTTTGTTCTTTTGGCTAGGATTGTCTTGGCAATGTGGGCTCTTTGTTCCATATGAACTTTAAAGTAGTTTTTTCCAATTCTGTGAAGAAAGTCATTGGTAGCTTGATAAGAATGGCATTGAACCTATAAATTACCCTGGGCAGTATGGCCATTTTCACGATATTGATTCTTCCTATCCATGAGCATGGAATGTTCTTCCATTTGTTTGTGTCCTGTTTTATTTCATTGAGTAGTGGTTTGTGGTCTCCTTGAAGAGGTCCTTCACATCCTTTGTAAGTTGGATTCCTAGGTATTTTATTCTCTTTGAAGCAATTGTGAATGGGAGTTCACTCATGATTTGGCTCTCTGTTTGTCTGTTATTGGTGCATAGGAAAGCTTGTGATTTTTGCACATTGATTTTGTATCCTGAGACTTTGCTGAATTTACTTATCAGCTTAAGGAGATTTTGGGCTGAGTCAATGGGGTTTTCTAAATATACAATCATGTCATCTGCAGACAGGGACAATTTGACTTCCTCTTTTCCTAATCGAATACCCTTTATTTCTTTGTCCTGCCTGATTGCCCTGGCCAGAACTTCCAACACTATGTTGAATAGGAGTGGTGAGAGAGGGCATCCCTGTCTTGTGCCAGTTTTCAAAGGGAATGCTTCCAGTTTTTGCCCATTCAGTGTGATATTGGCTCTGTGTTTGTCATAAATAGCTCTCATTATTTTGAGATACATCCCATCAATACCTAGTTTATTGAGAGTTTTTAGCATGAAGAGCTGTTGAATTTTGTTGAAGGCCTTTTCTGCATCTATTGAGATAATCATGTGGTTTTTGTCATTGGTTCTGTTTATATGCTGGACTACGTTTATTGATTTGTGTATGTTGAACCAGCCTTGCATCCCAGGGATGAAGCCAACTTGGTCGTGGTGATAAGCTTTTTGATATGCTGCTGGATTCGGTTTGCCAGTATTTTATTGAAGATTTTTGCATCAATGTTCATCAGGGATATTGGTCTAAAATTCTCTTTTTTTGTTGTCTCTGCTGGGCTTTGGTATCAGGATGATGCTGGCCTCATAAAATGAGTTTGGCAGGATTCCCTCTTCTTCTATTCATTGGAATAGTTTCAGAAGGAATGGTACCAACTCCTCCTTTTACCTCTGGTAGAATTCGGCTGTGAATCTGTCTGGTCCTGGACTTTTTTTGGTTGGTAGGTTATTAATTATTGCCTCAATTTCAGAGCCTGTTATTGGTCTATTCAGGGATTCAACTTATTCCTGGTTTAGTCTTGGGAGGGTGTATGTGTCCAGGAATTTATCCATTGCTTCTAGATTTTCTAGTTTATTTGCATAGAGGTGTTTATAGTATACTCTGATGGTAGTTTGTATTTCTGTGGGCTTGGTGGTGATATCCCCTTTATGATTTTTTATTGTGTCTATTTGATTTTTCTCTCTTTTCTTCTTTATTAGTCTTGCTAACCATCTATCAATTTTGTTGATCTTTTCAAAAAACCAGCTCCTGGATTCACTGATTTTTTAGAAGGGTTTTTTGTGTCTCTGTCTCCTTCAGTTCTGCTATTTCTTGCCTTCTGCTAGCTTTTGAATGTGTTTGCTCTTGCGTCTTTAGTTGTTTTAATTGTGATGTTAGGGTGTCAATTTTAGATCTTTCCTGCTTTCTCTTGTAGGCATTTAGTGTTATAAATTTTCCTCTACACACTGCTTTAAATGTGTCCCAGAGATTCTGGTATGTTGTGTCTTTGTTCTCATTGGTTTCAAAGAACATCTTTATTTCTGCCTTCATTTCGTTATGTACCCAGTAGTCATTCAGGAGCAGGCTGTTCAGTTTCCATGTAATTGAGCAGTTTTGAGTGAGTTTCTTAATCCTGAATTCTAGTTGATTGCTCTGTGGTCTGAGAGACAGTTTGTTATAATTTCTGTTCTTTTACATTTGCTGCGGAGTACTTTACTTCCAACTATGTGGTCAATTTTGGAATAGGTGTGGTGTGGTGCTGAGAAGAATGTATATTCTGTTGATATGGGGTGGAGAGTTCTGTAGATGTCTATTAGGTCCGCTTGGTGCAGAGCTGAGTTCAATTCCTGGATATCCTTGTTACCTTTCTGTGTTGTTGATCTGTGTAATGTTGACAGTGGGGTGTTAAAGTCTCCCATTATTAATGTGTGGGAGTCTAAGTCTCTTTGTAGGTCTCTATGGACTTGCTTTATGAATCTCAGTGCTCCTGTATTGGGTGCACGTATATTTAGGATAGTTAGCTCTTCTTGTTGAATTCATCCCTTTACCATTATGTAATGGCCTTCTTTGTCTCTTTTGATCTTTGTTGGTTTAAAGTCTGTTTTATCAGAGACTAGGATTGCAACCCCTGCTTTTTTTTGTTTTCCATTTGCTTGGTAGATCTTCCTCCATCCCTTTATTTTGAGCCTATGTGTGTCTCTGCGTGTGAAATGGGTCTCCTGAATACAGCACACTGAAGTGTCTTGACTCTCTATCCAATTTGCCAGTCTATGTTTTTTAATTGGTGCATTGAGCCCATTTACATTTAAGGTTAATATTGTTATATGTGAATTTCATCCTGTCATTATGATGTTAGCTGGTTATTTTGCTTGTTAGTTGATGCAGTTTCTTCCTAGCATCAATGATCTTTACAATTTGGCATGTTTTTGCAGTGTGGCTGGTACCGGTTATTCCTTTCCATGTTTAGTGCTTCCTTCAGGAGCTCTTTTAGGGCAGGCCTGGTGGTGACAAAATCTCTCAGCATTTGCTTGTCTGTAAAGGATTTTATTTCTCCTTCACTTATGAAGCTTAGTTTGGCTGGATATGAAATTCTGGGTTGAAAATTCTTTTCTTTAAGAATGTTGAATATTGGCCCCCACTCTCTTCTGGCTTGTAGAGTTTCTGACAAGAGATCCGCTGTTAGTCTGATAGGCTTCCCTTTGTGGGTAACCCGACCTTTCTCTCTGGCTACCCTTAACATTTTTTCCTTTATTTCAGCTTCAGTGAATCTGACAATTATGTGTCTTGGAATTGCTCTTCTCGTGGAGTATCTTTGTGGCATTCTCCGTATTTCCTGAATTTGAATGTTGGCCTGCCTTGCTAGATTGGGGAAGTTCTCCTGGATAATATCCTTCAGAGTGTTTTCCAACTTGGTTCCATTCTCCCCATCACTTTCGGGTACACCAATCAGACGTAGATTTGGTCTTTTCATGTAGTCCCATATTTCTTGGAGGCTTTGTTTGTTTCTTTTTACTCTTTTTTCTCTAACTTCTCTTCTCGCTTCATTTCATTCATTTGATCTTCAATCACTGATACCCTTTCTTCCACTTGATCGAATCGGCTACTGAGGCTTGTGCATGCATCACGTAGTTCTTGTGCCATGGTTTTCAGCTTCATGAGGTCATTTAAGGTCTTCTGTACAGTATTTATTCTAGTTAGACATTCGTCTAATCTTTTTTCAAGGTTTATAGCTTCTTTGCGATGTGTTCGAATATCCTCCTTTAGCTCAGAGAAGATTGTTATTACCGATCGTCTGAAGCCGCCTTCTCTCAACTCATTAAAGTCATTCTCCATCCAGCTTTGTTCCATTGCTGGCAAGGAGCTGCGTTCCTTTGGGGGAGAAGAGGTGCTCTGATTTTTAGAATTTTCAGCTTTTATGCTCTGGTTTCTCCCCATCTTTGTGGTTTTATCTACCTTTGGTCTTTGATGATGGTGACGTGCAGATGGGGCTTTGGTGTGGATGTCCTTTCTGTTTGTTGGTTTTCCTTCTAACAGTCAGGACCCTCAGCTGCAGGTCTGTTGGAATTTGTTGGGGTCTGAATGTGGGTGTGAACATCTCTTCAAAATCCAGCTTTCTTTTCTGTTCTTTTCTTTTCTTTTTTTTTTTTTTTGAGGTGGAATCTCACTCTGTCACCAGGCTGGAGTACAGTGCACTCACTGCAACCTCTGCCTGCCAGGTTCAAGTGTTCTCCTGCCTCAGCCTCCCAAGTAGCTGGGACTACAAGCACATACCACCATACCCAGCTAATTTTTGTATTTTAATAGAGATGTAGTTTCACCATGTTGGCCAGGATGGTCTCGATCTCTTGACCTCGTGATCCACCTGCCTCTGCCTCCTAAAGTGGTGGGGTTACAGGTGTGAGCCACCACACCCAGCCCAAAATCCTGCTTTCAATCATTTTGAATATATCCCCAGAAATGGTATATGGTAATTTGTCATTTAATAGTTTAAAAATATTTCTTAAGAGGAGATGTTCTCCACATGTCTCAATAGCCGATAATGAAAGGATCCTCTGGATAAAACAGAACCCTGGATGTTACTATTACATGTGAAAACAAATACCGTTATTGTATTTTGATAGTCTTCTTGGCCTCTTTCCTCTTGGTCTCTTTAATCCTTAACAATTCACTAGTAAAAAGGAGATACAACAAGTCAACCAGGTAAGAATAACATAAATAATGACATCTCAGAGAGCAGCATTGAATCTCACAGCTCTGAAGTACTGAAAATGGCCAAACAAAAAATGGGTAGGAAATGGAAAGATTTAAAAGAAAAACAGTGGAGAGAGAATAAAAACACTGCCTTGAGATTGTGGAGGAAGGTGGTATTTATGATCCCATTGAAAAATTTTAGGTGATTTTTAAAATTTAAAATCTGAATCAAAAAGTACTATCAAAGTGCTTTTGAACAGTGCCCTAGGTAGAGCTCTTCCCTGAAACCATTGCGGGATTGCCTGAGTGATGAAAGGCCATCTTCATTTTCTCTTCTGGGGCAGAAGCACTGAACAGTTCAGCTGTGTTTTTAAATTTGTGGGTTTTTTTCTTTTAATTTCAATTTTATTTGGTGGTGGGTTTCATCTATATTTTCTAGAAGAGAAATTGCCTAGATAACACTCAGGCTAATATAAACTCCCTTTAAATTCTTTTTTTTTTTTTTTTTTTTTTTTTTGAGACGGAGTCTCGCTCTTTTGCCTAGGCTGGAGTGCAGTGGCACAATTTTGGCTCACTGCAACCTCCGCCTCCTGGGTTCAAGTGATTCTCCTGCCCCAGCCTCCCGAGTAGCTGGGACTACAGGTGCCTGCCACCATGCCCAGCTAATTTTTGTATTTTTTGTTAGTAGAGATGGGGCTTTACTGCGTTGGCCAGGCTGGTCTCAAACTCCTGACCTCGTGATCCACCCATCTCAGCCTCCCAAAGTGCTGGGAATATAGGTGTGAGCCACCGTGCCCAGCCAACCCCCTTTAAATTCTAATCAAAGGATCAGGGCAGCAAAAATTTTATTGGTTTGAATAAACTGTAATCAAAAATTGTTTACTGGTTACAAATTTTTTTTTTCTTGAGATGGAGTTTCACTCTTGTTGCCCAGGCTAGAGTGCAATGGCACAATCTCAGCTCACTGCAACCTCCACCTCCCAGGTTCAAGCAATTCTCCTGCCTCAGCCTCCTGAATACCTGGAATTACAGGCATGCACCACCATGGTCAGCTAATTTTGTATTTTTAGTAGAGACGGAGTTTCTCCATGTTGGTCAGGCTGGTCTCGAACTCCCAAGACTTCAGGTGATCCGCCTACCTTGGCCTCCCAAAGTGCTGAGATTACAGGTGTGAGCCACAGCACGTGACCTCTGGTTATAAAATTAATGAGGAAATTATCAGAATGGAGACTATGAAAGTTCAATCTAATCAGGTCCTGATATTAGACACATTGGATTACAGACCACCCTTATGACCTCATTTAACCTTAATTACCTCCTTAAAAGTCCCATTTCCAAGCAGTCACATTGGGGTTAGGTCTTCAACATACAAGATGCGGGAGGAGACACAAATCAGTCCCTAACCCCTGCCTATTAGTATTTTCATTTAGTTCATGACCTTGGAGTATATATTTATATTTTTGTACCACAAGACTAGCATGTGAAATATTCAGTGACTACCATCCTTCAATATACTTTAACGCCAAAACTATCTGGGGAGACAGTAATCCCAGCACTTTGGGAGCCTGAGGTGGGCAGATCATCTGAAGTCAGGGGTTCGAGGCCAGCTTGGCCAACATGGTGAAACCCTGTCTCTACTAAAAGTACAAAAATTAGCCGGGTGTGGTGGTGCAAACCTGTAATCCCAGCTACTCGGGAGGCTGAGGCAGGAGAATCGCTTGAATCTGGGAGGTGGAAGTTGCAGTGAGCCAAGATTGTGCCACTGAACTCCAGCCTGGGTGACAAGGAAGACTCTGTCTCAAAGTAAGCCTGACCAAGAATGATGGTGATTGTCCCCACTCCCAACCCCAATCTATTCTTACTGCTGTAGCCAGAGTGGACTTATACAAACACAAATGAGATCACATCACTCCTCTGTTTAACGTCCCTCAATGACTATGCTATCCTCAAGGAATATGCAGATCCTTACTGCAGCCCGTGAGGCACTGCATGACTTTTTCCTCATGGATTCTCCAACCTCCCGTCTTGGCTCTTCCTCATGTCATTATCTACTCAATGTTCACCTCTCTTGCTCACTGCAGGGTACCCAAGCCTCGTAAGTGCTTGTGAATAACAGAGGTTCACTAAATTTTGTTGCATTATTGAATGATGAGAAAAGAAAAGGCAAAGCCACTTAGAACAGAGCTCTGAAGGGCTCCAAACTTTATGAGTGAGGTGGAGGAGGTATAATAGGCAAGGGATTGTAAGAGGGAGTAGCCAGGAAGGTAGGAAGCAAACCAGAAGGGTGGTGGTGAGGAAGGCAAGAGAAGGTTCTGTTTCACAGAGAGGGAGGAGGTCACAATTTCAGATGTGGAAGGGTCAACGAAGATAAGGATGAAAAATGTTCATCATTTAGCTCTCACATAGAGGGGAACAATACATACTGGGGCGTTTCAGAGAGTGAAGGGTGGAAGGAGGGGGAAGATGAGGAAAAACAACTAATGGGTACTAAAGTTAATACCTGATTGATGAAATCGTCTGTACAACAAACCCCCATGATACAAGCTTACCTATGTGGCAAACCTGCACTTGTACCCCTGAACTTAAAAGTTAAAGAAAAAAAAATTGTTCATCTTAAACTTAGTGACAAGGAGGCCACAGGGGGCTTTATTGAAAGCAGTTTCAAGGGATTGAAAAATGTAGGCAGCAGATTTCAGGGTGAGAACCTTAAGTTTTCGCAGTGTGGTGAGAATGACTCTTCTTCACATGGGGATCAATCTTCAGACCTTAGCCCTACAATTTACTAAGCATGAGCTTCAGCAACATACTTAATCTTTGTATTCTTCATCTGTAACTTGAGAATAATAATGATACCCATCTGCTGCGTTGATGGGAGAATTAGAAATAATGAGTCCCACAGATTTAGCTCAAAGATTCTAAATAAATGGTAACGGTTGTTAAAATTTAGTTAAGCTTTTGCATTTAAATTTACTATTCTGGGCCAGGCACAGTAGCTCATGCCTGTAATTCCAGCACTTTGGGAGGCCGAGACAGGTGGATCATGAAGTCAGGAGTTCGAGACCAGCCTGACCAACATGGTGAAACACCATCTCTACTAAAAATACAAAAATTAGGCCAGGCACGGTGGCTCACGCCTGTAATCCCAGCACTCTGGGAGGCCGAGGCGGGCAGATCACGAGGTCAGGAGATCGAGACCATCCTGACTAACACGGTGAAACCCCGTCTGTATTAAAAATACAAAAAATTAGTCAATTTTTTGTATTTTGTGATGGCAGGCACCTTTAGTCCCAGCTACTCTGGAGGCTGGGACTCTGGAGGTGTGAACCCAGGAGGTGGAGCTTGCAGTGAGCTAAGATCATGCCACTGCACTCCAGCCTGGGCGACAGAGCAAGATTCTGTCTCAAAAATAAATAAATAAATAAAAATAAAATAAAATACAAAAATTAGCCAGGCATGGTGGTGCACTGTAGTTCCAGCTACTTGGGAGGCTGAGGCAGGAGAATCACTTGAACCCAGGAGGTGGAGGTTGCAATGAGCTGAGATCACGCCACTGCACTCCAGCCTGGCAACAGCAAGACTCTGTCTCCAAAACAAACAAACAAAAAAATTTTTATTATTCTGTGAAAATAGACTTAACTAAATCAATAGATGCTGAAGCATTTTTTAAAAAGCATATCAGCTACATTATGATTAAATCAAGTTACTGTCAACTCACTTGCTTTTCAGTTAGGTAAAACTGATAAAAAACAACAATGTGTGTGCATGCACTTCTGTGTGTTTTACAGGAAACATAAAAATTTTAACAGAATGTATATGTATTTCACAAAGAATTTCTAGAATTGTGTCAGTAGATAAATATACAAATGAATCACTAGTGAAATTATAGTGCTGAAACATAATGGACAAAACAAAAATTCTGGTTCTGATTGTAGGCAAAAATGCTTGGACCAGATTAGCACATTGTCATAATTCTTTTCTCTACTTGGAGCTTTTATGGAAGTCATTGGTGGGTAAACTTTTAAATTTCTTCCTCTATGACTTGAAGTAACTTTGATGTGCATCACATAATATTTGATGGAAACATCTATGTTAGGTTACCAAGATGGCAAAATATTTTGTTTAATATCAAAATTCAGCAAGTATAGTCAGCTTATTTTGGAACATTTTTATGTTTTATAGAAGTTTTCCTGGCTGGGCGTGGTGGCCCATGCCTGTAATCCCAGCACTTTGGGAGGCCGAGGTAGGTGGATCACCTGAGGTCAGGAGTTTGTGAGCAGCCTGACTAACATGGTGAAACCCCATGTCTACTAAATACAAAAATATCAGCTGGGCATGGTGGCGCATGCCTGTAATTGGAGCTGCTTGAGAGGCTGAGACAGGAAAATTGCTTGTACCTGGGAGGTGGAGGTTGCAATGAGCCGAAATTGTGCCATTGCACTCTAGCCTGGGCAACAAGAGCAAAACTGTGTCTCAAAAAAAAAAAAAAAAGTTTTCCCTAAAGTTTTACAGAGTGTTAAATGTGAATTGAACTATCAGCAGATGTATTGATAATTTCATCTTCATTTTTGAAGAATAGTTTTACCAGGTATAGAATTTTTGGTTAACAGTTTTTTTTTTCTTTCAGGGTTTTGAGTACATCATCCCACTGCCTTCTGGCCTCCAAGGTTCCACATGAGAAATCAGGTGTTGATCTCATTGACGTTCATTGTATGTGATAAGTCATTTCTTGCTGTTTTCAAGATTCTGCCTTTATTTTGACATTTGACAGTTTGGTTATGACATGTTTAGGCATGTATGTGTTTGAGTTTATATGACTTGGAATTTGTTGAGCTTATTGGATGTGGATATTAATGAGCTTACCAAATTTGGTAAGTTTCCAGCTGTTATTTCTTCAAATATTCTCTCTGTCTTTTCTTTTCTCTCCTTCTGGCACTCCCCAGTGTTTGCGGTTGTTACTGCTTATTGCAGTTGTTTGTTTAGTGACTTTTCTGAACTAAATCCATAAAGCTTGTATTTTTTTTCTTTTGCCACTGAAGTCACAACTATATTGCTTAGTGGTCAGCTGAAGATTAAACAGATATTTTCTTTTATTTTCTTTTCTTTTTTGCGATGGAGTCTCGCTCTGTGGCCCAGGCTGGAATGCAATGGTGTGATCTCAGCTCACCGCAGCCTCCACCTCCCAGGTTCAAGTAATTCTCCTGCCTCAGCCTACTGAGTAGTTGGGATTACAGGCACAGGCCACCACAGCTGGCTAATTTTTGTATTTTTAGTAGAGATGGGGTTTTGCCATGTTGGTCATGCTGGTCTTGAACTTCTGATCTCAGGTGATCCACCCACCTCAGCCTCCCAAAGTGCTGGGATTACAGGCATGAGCCACCGCGCCCAGCCAGGCCAGATTTTTTATTAAATACTCATAGTCTTTGTCAAGGGACTGTGATTGCATGTTGGGGGCATGCTTTCAACACTCAGCCAGGCAGCTTACAATTCTGCCTTAAGCCTTCTTTCCCACATGACAAGGAAAGGATGTGCCACTCACCTTTTTGCTTTGTATCCCAGGTTTGAATACCTTTCCTTAGCACTATCCTCAGTCTGACAACTTTCAGATCATAATCCAGGTGGAAATATAGAGGAAAAAGTAATTATGGTTCAATGTGGCAAGTGAACAGAGCAGTGTGGCACCCTGCTGGCATAAGACATGTCCATGAATATCACTTGCCTGCCAATATACTCTGGAAATAGGGAAATAACAGTGAAGAGATACTCTGAACAAATAGAATTCTAGATGAAACTCATTATACTGTTGCTGCTATATATTGCAGAAACAAGATAGAAAAAGAATAAAAGACTACAAAATAGTGGCTGAGAATCCAAAAGAATCGGGAAGATGAATATCAAAATAAAGCCAGTATTCTTGGCAAGTGGTATAACTTCACATATTATAGTAGCTTAATATCCCATATAGCAGTGGTACCCAGCCTTTTTGGCACCAAGGGACCGGTTTTGTGGAAGACAACGTTTCCATGGACAGGGACTAGGGGGATAGTTTCAGGATGAAACTGTTCCACTTCAGATCATCAGGCATTAGCTAGATTCTCTCCTGCACATGTGCAGTTCACAATAGGGGTGAGAATGTAATGCTGCTGCTGATCTAATGAGAGGCAGAGCTCAGGCAGTAATGCTGGATCACTCGTAGCTCACCTCCTGCTGTGCGGCCCGGTTCCTAACAGGCCACAAACTGGTACCAGTCTGTGCTTGGGGACCCCTGCCGTATAGAATTGGTTATCTGTCACATTTTACAAATTACTCAGAAATGTCACTTGTTAACCTACCAGAAAATAAGATAGACAGAAAATGTCTATCTTAAAGAATTTATGTATTTTCTTCATAAAGCCTACCAAGTTAAGAATTTCCAAAAATTAATTAAGAGACACGTAATAAGGGCCAGACGCGGTAGCTCATGCCTGTAATCCCAGAAGTTTGGAAGGCCGAGGCGGGTGGGTCACCTGAGGTCAGGAGTTCAAGACCAGCCTGGCCAACATGGTGAAACCCTGTCTCTACTAAATATACAAAAAATTAGCTGGGCGTGGTGGCAGGCGCCTGTACTCCCAGCTACTGGAGAGGCTGAGGCAGGAGAATCGCTTGAACCTGGGAGGCGGAGGTCGCAGTGAGCCGGGATCACGCCATTGCACTCCAGCCTGTGCAACAAGAGTGAAACTCCATCTCAAAAAAAAAAAAAAAAAAAAAAGAGAGAGAGACAGGTAATAAGAAGACAATAAGTCTAGTGATAGAGTTTGCATAGTATGTAATTTGTAAAATAATTTAATAAGGACAAGTGAATTATAGACTAGGATTCACACTCTGTGATGATGACATTCTAGAACAGAAACAATACTTTCATCATTAAAACACATCTATCTTTAGGCAAAATGTGTCTGATATTGCCAACATAATCCAAAACTTATACAAGTTGTTTGAAAAGTTATGACTGTTTACAGGCGATACTAGAGATGTACAGCCACTACTTACAGAGAATTTTGAGGTTTTGACATTTTTGCGTTTGTTTATAAGACATGTATCACTAACAGCCACAGAAACTTGACTATGTAATTGTCTTATTAATAAAAATGGAAGCAGGTCTGAGAACCAATTGTTTAATCTGGGAAGTGTTGCCAAGACCCACAGTAGAAGGAAAAAGGGAGCCTGCACTCTTGGTTTTCACAACTAGATGGTGCTGCTCCGCTTTCAAATGGGAAGGACTGCAAAGCCCTTAAAACATCAAGAGTTCTCCTGGAAACAGCCACGTAACTAGCACCTTTTACCTGTGAAGCCCTTGCTGGCCAACTGTTGCTTGCCAGCAGTGTGCATGTTACAGTGTGGGTGATCATTGTGCAAAATCATCTCACGAACACTTATTTCAACTTCTCCAATGTAGTTATTCTGTACGTAGATGCTCCTCCCTGGATATCAATGTTAGGACATGTACAAGAAATAGTAAAATTAACCTAGATGAAACAAGAAAACATCGAATCACACGTTATGGCTTTAAAAATATTACACACATAATCTAGATTCAATTTAAGAGAGTTAGAAAATGCAGATCATCAAAATGACAGTAAAACTACTTATAGCCTTTCAACATAGCTTTGAAAGCAGCAAGACTGGCTAGCCTTGGTGATACTGAAAATCTAGAATACTGAAAGGGACATCAATGCAGTATGTTTTTAACCCTGTTACTCCTTCACATTGCAGCAGTACTGCGGGCTCTGTGACAGTACTTCCCATTGCAGCAGTACTGTGGCCTCTGCGGCAGTACTTAACATAGTGGCAGTACAGTGGCCTCTGTGGCAGGACTTCACATTGTGGCAGTACCGTGGCCTCTGTGGCAGGATTTCACATTGTGGCAGTACCGTGGCCTCTGTGGCAGGACTTCACATTGTGGCAGTACCATGGCCTCTGTGGCAGGACTTCACGTGTGGCAGTACCGTGGCCTCTGTGGCAGTACTTCACGTTGTGGCAGTACTGTGGCCTCTGTGGCAGGACTTCGCATTGTGGCAGTACCGTGGCCTCTGTGGCAGTACTTCACATTGTGGCAGTACCGTGGCCTCTGTGGCAGGACTTCACGTGTGGCAGTACTGTGGCCTCTGTGGCAGTACTTCACGTTGTGGCAGTACCATGGCCTCTGTGGCAGGACTTCACATTGTGGCAGTACCATGGCCTCTGTGGCAGGACTTCATATTGTGGCAGTACCATGGCCTCTGTGGTAGTACTTCACGTTGTGGCAGTACCGTGGCCTCTGTGGCAGGACTTCACATTGTGGCAGTACTGTGGCCTTTGCAGCAGTACTTCATATTGCAGCAGAACTGTGGCTTCTGTGGCAATACTTCATATTGTGGCAGTACTTCATATTGCAGCAGTACCATGGCCTCTGTGGCAATACTTCATATTGTGGCAGTACTTCATATTGCAGCAGAACTGTGGCTTCTGTGAAAATACTTCATATTGTGGCAGTACTTCATATTGCAGCAGTACAGTGGCCTATGCAGCAGTACTTCATATTGTGGCAGTACCGTGGCCTCTGTGGCAGTACTTCATATTGCAGCAGTACTGTGGCCTCTGCGGCAGTACTTCATATTGCAGCAGAACCGTGGCTTCTGTGGCAATACTTCATATTGTGGCAGTACTTCATATTGTGGCAGTACCATGGCCTCTGTGGCAGTACTTCATATTGTGGCAGTACTTCATATTGCGGCAGTACCATGGCCTCTGTGGCAGTACTTCATATTGTGGCAGTACCGTGGCCTCTGTGGCAGTACTTCATATTGCAGCAGTACTGTGGCCTCTGCGGCAGTACTTCATATTGTGGCAGAATTGTGGCTTCTGTGGCAATACTTCATATTGTGGCAGTACTTCATATTGCAGCAGTACCATGGCCTCTGTGGCAGTACTTCATATTGTGGCAGGACTGTGGCTTCTGTGGCAGTACTTCATATTGTGGCAGTACTTCATATTGCGGAAGTACCGTGGCCTCTTTGGCAGTACTTCATATTGTGGCAGTACTGTGTCCTCTGTAGCAGTACTTCACATTGCGGCAGTAGCATGGCCTCTGTGGCAATACTTCACATTGTAGCAGTACTGTGGACTCTGCGGCAGTACTTTTTATTGCGGCAGTACTTTTTATTGCAGCAGTACCGTGGCCTCTGTGGCAATACTTCATATTGTGGCAGTATTTTATATTGCGGCAGTACCGTGGCCTCTGTGGCAATACTTCATATTGTGGCAGTATTTTATATTGTGGCAGTACTGTGGCCTCTGTGGCAATACTTCATATTGTGGTGGTACTTGTTATTGCAGCAGTACCGTGGCCTCTGTGGCAATACTTCTTATTGTGGCGGTACTTTATATTGCAGCAATACTGTGACATCTGTGGCAGTACTTCATATTGCAGCAGTATCGTGGCCTCTGTGGCAGTACTACTCTTCCTAGTTTTTTCCCCTTCCCTCTACCTTCAGTACTGGATTGCATCGTGCTGTGATGCACATGTGTTTCACGTTTTAAATCACTGAATTTGGGATAGATTCTACTATCGCTGCTGTCTTACCACCTCTGAGGGCCAGGTGGCAGTCATGATGTGGCTGTCATTCTCTAAGCATGGTAGAGTATTGGCAACATTTGCTGGAAAAAAATCTGAGACTAAGCACTCCTTGTTTTTTCATTTTTAAAATATTTATTTATTTGAAGACAGGGTCTCTGTTATCTTGGATGACACCCTGTCTTCAAATAAATAAATGCTTAAAAAATGAAAAAACAAGGAGTGCTTGGTCTCAGCTTGGAAGTTGAGCCTGCAGTCACAGCTCACTGCAGCTTCAACCTCCCGGGCTCAAGCAATCCTCCCACCTCAGCCTCCCGAGTTGCTGGGACTATAGGCACACACCACCATGCGTAGCTGATTTTTTTTTTCCGTGTTTTGCTGAGACAGGGGTTTTGCCATGTTGCCCAGGCTGCTCTCAAATTCCTGGGCTCAAGCAATTCATCTACCTTGGCTTCCTAAAGTTCTATGATTGCAGGCGTGAGCTACTGTGCCCGGCCTCTCTGTGTTTTTGTAATTCCTAAAAACAAATGGTTCTGAAAGAAGGTGGGAAAGGTGGCAAGGCAAGTGTATTTACCAACATTCTTGAGGCAGGACCAAAAGTATACCAGCACTTCATGATTGCAAAACAGGTTTAAGAGGCCAGCAATAATAGCCTTTAGGTGGATTGTGGATTCTCTTAAATGCATCATCACCAACACTTTAAATGATGCGAAGAATGACTTTTAATTTTTTTTTAAAAAGTAGGTAGTTAGTTATATTTCTGAGACAAAAAGTGGGTCAAGCACCAGCCATCCCTTCATCTGCATAGGGGGCCAGTTCACCCTACCGTTTAATTAGTCACAGACCAAATTTTCATCCAGATAAGGGGTAACCGACAGGGACCTCAAAAGGAGTACTTAAAAGCGAGAAAACTTTGTAATGGGGCCCTTGAGCCGCTTGCTTGGGCCCACTCCCACCCTGCAGAGTGCTTTCTCACTTTCATAAATCCCTGCTGGCCGGGCGTGGTGTCTTACCCCTGTAATTCCAGCACTTTGGGAAGCTGAGGCCGGCAAATTATGAGGTCAGGAGATGAGACCATCCTGGTCAATATGGTGAAAACCCATCTCTACTAAAAATACAAAAATTAGCTGGGTGTGGTGGCGTGCCTGTAGTCCCAGCTACTCAGGAGGCTGAGGCAGGAGAATCGCTTGAGCCTGGGAGGTGGAGATTGCAGTGAGCCGAGATCATGCCACTGCCCTCCAGCCTGGCGACAGAGTGAGACTCTGTGTCAAAAAAATCAATCAATCAATCAATCCCTGCTCTTGCTGCTTCGTTTTTGTGCTTCGTTCCTTTTTTGCTTTGTTTGTGCTGTTTTGTCCAATTCTTTGTTCTAAACGCCAAGGACCTGGACAACTTACTCTCAAGGCCTTCCCTCCAGGAACAATTAGACATTATAGTAAGTGGACATCATGCAAAGTCAGAATTTATGCTAAAAAGTTGTGAACTTTACTCCATAACATATCCATAGTTTTCTTATGTAAAAATCTTGTTTCTCTTCCCCAGATTCTCACATCCTCTCTAAACACTCTCATCCTCAGTGACCTCTTCTACTTCCACATCCACAGTCTCAGTTAGCATCACTAGCTGAAAATCTCTATGCAGGACTTCTTACTGACATATCAACCTGCTTATGAAACCAACCCAATAGTCACATAGATATTTTTTTTTCTTTTCTTTTCTTTTCTTTTTTTTTTGAGACGGAGTCTCGCTCTGTCGCCAGGCTGGGGTGTGGCCAGGTTGGAGTGTAGCGGGGCAATCTCGGCTTACTGCAACCTCCGGCTCCCCTCCTGGGTTCAAGTTATTCTCCTACCTCAGTCTCCTGAGTAGCTAGGACTACAGGCGCCAGCCACCACGCCCGGCTAATATTTTTGTATTTTTAGTAGAGACGCAGTTTCACCATGTTGGCCAGGATGGTCTTTATCTCTTGACCTCGTGATCCGCCCGCCTTGGCCTGTCAGAGTGCTGGGATTACAGGCGTGAGTCACAGCGCCCGGCCCAAAAATTTTTTGAATGAACATAGAAATTCACTTTTCTCGTCTTAGAGCTTAAACCTTACATTGGTTTTATCTGAGTTCCTTCCTCAGGAAATGACCTTCATGGCTCTCAAGAAAGGATCAAAGAACTGAAACTCACCAGATCACAATATCCTGACAATGAGATGCTGGACCTCTCATTCATCATGATTGCTTCCTTGCCCCTTCCTGGTTTCTGTTTTCTTACATATTGTTATGTTATTTTTTATTTTATTTTATTTTTTATTTTTTTGAGATGGGGTCTTGCTCTGTCACCCAGGCTGGAGTGCAGTGGTGCCATCTCGGCTCACTGCAACCGCCGCTTCTCGGGTTAAAGTGATTCTTCCGCACCTTCGCCTCCCAAGCAGCCGGGATTACAGGCGTGAGCCACCATGCCTGGCCATGGCAGTACATCTTGATAGCTCTACCTTGTAAACACATATTGGCTCTGAACACTCCTCAGTGTCTCCACTGCCACAACACGGACCTCCACCATCACTCCCTTACCTGCAGGCCCCAGCAGTGCCTAGGTGGCCTCCTTAGCATGGTTCGTACCCACAGAGCAGCCAGAAGGGATCTGGCCAAAGTCTAAAACAGATCATGTCTGCGTGGCTTGCATCCTTCAGTGGCTTCTCATTATTCTCAGAATAAAGTTAAAGGCCTCTCCATGGGCTGTGAGGTGGGCCAGCACCCTCTCCAACATCGCCTCTGTGTTTCTCTTGTTTACCATATTTTCTCCCCTCCTTTCTGCATCCTAAATGTACCATGCTCAGTTCTGCCTCAGGACCTTCACACTTTCTATTGTTCTCCTTATCCTTTGGTTCGTACTCACTATTTTGATCTTTTCAGTTAGGTCACATTTTCATAAAGAGGTGATAACCCTTTTTTTTTAAGTCCTTTTCTACCATATTACATTGTTTTATCTTTTTCAGAGAATTTGTTGGTGCTTGAAATTTTTCCCATCTGTTTTTTTTTTCTATAGCTCTCTGTTCATCTATCCATTGTGTGTTTATTTCCTGTCTTTGACCCAAATATATGCTCCTTAAGGGCACAGGGCTCTCCTTTTCCTCAGTCTACCTCTTTAATTTTTTTAATTATTTTTCCTTAGAAACAGGGTCTGGAAAACATGCTCTCCCCCACTGCAGGTACCTGTAATCTCAGCTACTTGGGAGGCTGGAGCTGGAGAATTGCTTGAACCCAGGGGACGGAGGTTGCAGTGAGCCGAGATCACGCCACTGCATTCTAGCCTGGGTGACAGAACGAGACTCCGTCTCAAAAGAAAAAAAAAAGAAAGAAAGAAAACGAAGGAAAAAAGGAAAAGGCTGCTGGGCACTGTGGCTCACACCTGTAATCCCAGCACTTTGGGAGGCTGAGGTAGGCGGATCACGAGGTCAGGAGTTCGAGACCAGCCTGGCAAACATGATGAAACCCTGTCTCTAATAAAAATACAAAAAATTAGCTGGACGTGGTGGCAGGCCTCTGTAATCCCAGCTACTCGGGAGGCTGAGGCAGGAGAATTGCTTGAACCTCGGAGGCAGAGGTTGCAGTGAGTCAACATTGCACCACTGCACTCCAGCCCAGGCGACAGTGTGAGACTCCATCTAAAAAAAAAGAAAAGAAAAGAAAAAGGCAAGCCACAGACTGAGAGAGGATATTCACCATACCTGTATTAGACAAAGGACTTGTATAACTTTTTTTTTTTTTTTTTTTTTGAGACAGGGTCTCTTTCATTCTGTCACCCAAGCTCGAGTGCAGTAGTGTCATCATGGCTCACTGTAGCCTCAAACTCCTAGGCTCAAGTGATCCTCGTGCCTCAGCCTCTGGAGTAGCAGGGACTACAAGTGCACACCATTATGCTTGGCTAAATTTCTATTTTTATTTATATTTTTTATGGAGACAGAGTCTTACTGTGCTGCTCAGGCTGGTCTCAAACTTCTGGGCTCAAGCAATCCTCCTGCCTCAGCCTCCCAAAGTGCCAGGATTACAGGTGTGAGCCACCATGCCCAGTCTAAAGATATTTAAATAACTTAAATTCTTTAATAAAAAGAACACAATAGGGAAAACTGGACAAAAGACTTGAATGGAAGATAAGTACATGGCCAGTGAAAATCCTTCACATCATCAGTCATCAGGGAAAAATGCAAACTAGGACCACAAAGGTATACTGCTTCACGCTTGCCATAGTGGCTGAAATGGGAAACTAAATACAGAATGCTGATGAGGATGTAGAACAATTAGAACTCTTTTTTTTTTTTTTTTTTTTTGAGACGGAGTCTCGCTCTGTTGCCCCGGCTGGAGTGCAGTGGCGTGATCTCGGCTCACTGCAAGCTCCGCCTCCCGGGTTCACGCCATTCTCCTGCCTCAGCCTCCCGAGTAGCTGGGCCTACAGGCACCCGCCACCATGCCCGGCTAATTTTTTGTATTTTTAGTAGAGATGGGGTTTCACTGTGTTAGCCAGGATGGTCTCTATCTCCTGACCTCGTGATCCACCCACCTCGGCCTCCCAAAGTGCTGGGATTACAGGCGTGAGCCACCACGCCCGGCCGCAATTAGAACTCTTACCCACTTCTGGTAGCAGTGTAAAGTGGCACAACTACTTTGGAAAAGAGTTTACTATAAAGTTAAACATTTACATACCATCAAATGAGAAAGTTCACTCCTGGCTATTTATCCCAGATATGTCAAAACCTGTGTTCACACTAAGACTTGTTCATGAATGTTCATTTTATGTTAATTCATAAGAGTCCCAAACTACAAACAACCTAAACACCCATCAACAGGTGAGTGTGGTATAAATAAACCATAGTTATCCATACAATGGAGTACTATTCAGCAACATAAAGAAATGAACTACTGATGGCCAGTCGGGGTGGCTCATGCCTGCAATCCAGCACTTTGGGAGGCTGAGGCGGGTGGATCATGAGGTC
Source organism: Homo sapiens (assembly GCF_000001405.40). Lineage (NCBI taxonomy): Eukaryota > Metazoa > Chordata > Mammalia > Primates > Hominidae > Homo > Homo sapiens. The sequence goes on along the minus strand of NC_000008.11, from coordinate 6,367,364 downwards.
AAGAGATCGAGACCACCCTGGCCAACATGGCGAAATCCCGTCTCTACTAAAAATACAAAAATTAGCTGGGTGTGGTGGTACGTGCCTGTAGTCCCAGCTACTCAGGAGGCTGAGGCAGGAGAATCGCTTGAGCCCAGGAGGCAGAGGTTGTAGTGAGCCGAGGTCGTGCCACTGCACTCCAGTCTGGTGACAGCAAGACTCCATCTCACCAAAAAAGAAAAAAAAAAAAAAAAGAAGAGCTACTGATACTTGCAATAACATGGATGAACCTTGAAAACACTATATTGAGTTTAACAAAGTGGATACAAATATGATCATACATGTGGTTTTGTTTATAGAAAATGAAAGGTAAAATATTTATAACTACAAAAAGCATATCAGTGGCTGACTGGGGCTGGGGAAGGAGGGAAATTCACAGGTTGATAAAAATATTCTGCGTCATGATTGTGTTGATGGTTACACAGGTGTATACATTTGTCAAAACACAAGAAACTGGACACTTAAAATGGATGTTTTTTGTGTATAATTATACCTCAATAGAGATGATTTACAAATAAAAATTAGGGAATATTCATCCAGAATTGTCATGAGGACATCTGTAAGAGTCTGGCTTTTTAAAATATGTGATAAATGCGGCTGAATTTGAAGCTAACTGAGCCAATGCTTTCTCTCCTTTTGGAGAGAGCAGTCACATTAATTGACTTTCACTTTGATGAAAAGTGAAAAAGGAGGTGGCCTTGGGTTCTGGAAGATGAACGTTCACTGGGCAAAGCGCCAACATTGCTCATTATTCGCAGTGAAGGTTCCAGGGAGTCAGCTTGGCTTTTTGAGCCCAGGAAAGAGATACAATATTAATATTGGGGGTCTCACTGAAGTCTCACTACAAAGGTCCCCCTTCTCACTCACTATTTTCCCTTCTGATAGAATCGAATCATAGGTTCTTATGCGGGAAGAAAGCTCGGAAACTATGTAGTTCAACCTGCAGTTGCCTCACCATGGACATTATCTCTGACTTGTTTTCTCATTTGCCCCTCTCTGAGATCTAAAGAACTCTTGCTCCCTTTTTTTTTCAAATCTTCCAGGAGTCTGGCAAGGGCTTATTTATTGATGTTTCCCTTTTCTTTTCTTACTTTTCTTTCTGTGTTTGTGTGTGTGTGAGTGTGTGTGTGAGTGACAGAGTTTTGCTCTTCTTGCCCAGGCTGGAGTGCAGTGGTGCAGTCTCGGCTCACTGCAGTCTCGGCTCACTGCAACCTCCGCCTCCCGGGTTCAAGCAATTCTCCTGTCTCAACCTTCCAAGTAGCTGGGATTACAGGCATGTGCCAGCACGCCCAGCTAATTTTTGTATTTTTAGTAGAGACGGAGTTTCACCATGTTGGCCAGGCTGGTCTCGAATGCCTGAGCTCAGGCGATCCGCCCACCTTGGCCTCCCAAAGTGCTGGGATTACAGGCATGAGCCACCGCACCTGGCCAGTATTTCCCTTTTCTGAATGCATACGTTGCCCCACTGCTTTGACTTTTGTATCTAAATTTCACCTACCTAAAGTCGAATGTTAAAATTCATTATGCAAAGTCAAGGGAAACTATATTGAAGACACTGATGTAAATCAGGCTTGTTTATTGCCATTTACATAAACACATATATTAGGCGATGTGTAAAGTGTCGATCTCTCTGCAGTGGCCTTGATGATATTCCTGGACTAATTTACTTCCCGGAAGTTTCTTTTAGCTTAATGACTTGGAGAATGGCAAACACGTGACGCCTCCGTTCATGGTGGAAAACTGAGCGCAGGTGAGCAGCGGGTGGAGGACCAGAGCCACTCCATCACATTCTTCTCTGCTGTTTACTAGAGGCAGCATTGTGTTGGTCTTGACCAAGTTACTCAACTTTTGTATGTCTCCAAATCTTTCAAATGGATGTAACGTTATTCATCTTGAAGGACTATTTTTTTCTTTTTTGAGAATCAGAGAACATAGAAACAGTTTGGCTCACAACACACTTAACAAATGTTGGTGTCTTCATTTCTCCTGCATTTTTCGGGAGATCACTTGTCTTCCCCAGACAGCTGGACTCTGATATAAGAGTTGCTGGTGCCGGGTGTAGTGGCTCACGCCTGTAATCCCAGCACTTTGGGAGGCCGAGGCAGGCAGATCATGAGGTCAGGAGTTCAAGAGCAGCCTGGCCAACATGGTGAAACCCCGTCTGTACTAAAAATATGAAAATTAGCCGGACATGGTGTTGCGTGCCTCTAATCCCAGCTACTTGGGAGGCTGAAGCAGGAGAATCACTTGAACCTGGGAGGGGGAGATTGCAGTGAGCTGAGATTGTGCCATCGCACTTGGGCAATAGAGTGAGATTCCGTCTCAAAAAAAAAAAAAAAAAAAGAGTCGCACAAAGCAGAAGAGTCTTGGGTGTGCCAACACATGGCTGCTGTATGTATTTGTGAAGTCTCTAGTTTAGCTTGACTGAGCCTTGGCCATGCCACTGGCTACTAAATAATAACCTTTTTCCAGCCTCTATATCAGAAGTTGGCAGGTAAAGAAGACACATTGCAAAGTATCTTTCTGTCTTTACTCAAAGTCGTGGACAGAGGAGAATTCCATTTTTTCCTCTTGGACTCAACAGAGTGGGTCCACTTAGTTTATACCTGTCTATTTTTCACCTTTGTATAACTAGAAAGATTCATGGTGGCTTTATCATTTAACCTTTTTGTTTGTTTGAGATGGAGTTTCCCTCTGTTGCCCAGGTGATTCTCCTTCTTCATCCTCCAGAGTAGTTGGGGCTACAGATGTGTGCCACCACCCTGGCTAATTTTTTTTGTGTTTTTATTGGAGATTTGGTTTTGACATGTTGGCCAGGCTAGTCTCAAACCTCTGACCTCAGGTGATCTGCCCACCTCAGCCTCCCAAAGTGCTGGGATTACAGACGTTAGCCACTGTGCCCAGCCCACCTAACCTTAAATGATTGAGTTTTTAGCCTTTGTAAAGGGAACTGAAATTATTTGTAATTTTTTAAAAATTGTAAATATATATATATAGATCAAGCTATCAAAAATGTAGAGTGATTGAGTTTGTCTAACTAGGATTCCTATTTCTTCAATATTTTGCAAGTAATGTGGTAGGAAGCTCACTTTTATTGCAAGGGAGGAAAACAAGAAGATTGTGTTGGGAAATCATGAGTGGCATCCCCTCCATAGGGCAGAGGGTCTGTATATAAAGACAAGAAGCTCTTTAGGGAATTTTCGGGATGAGTAGGAGTTTCCAGTCAACACAACAGGGACTTTCAGTGAGGAGGATAAACCATGAGACAATGGAACTTTCAGTGTTTGCAAAAGAGTGGTTGGAGTGTAGACTCCGTGGGAGCTCAGCCATGAGTGAGGTTAAGTGCTGACAGGGAGGAGGATGGAGGAAATGGCAGCGTCAGTGGGGTGGAGTCTCAGTGGCCTTGAAGAACTGCTGCTACGAGAATAAATGAGCATGAGGGCTGGAGGTGGGCATCTATTGGGGGAAATTCAGCCAGATATCAGGCGAAATTCACCCCCGATATTTCACGTAGGTTCTTTTCTATTTTCCCTAAGTGTCAGCTGGCCTGAGAAATAAAGGGACAGAGTACAAAAGAGAGAAATTTTAAAGCTGGGTGTCCGGGGGAGACATCACATGTCAGCAGGTTCTGTGATGCCCCCTGAGCTGTAAAACCAGCAAGTTATTATTACTGATTTTCAAAAGGGGAGGGAGTGTACAAATAGGGTGTGGGTCACAGAGATCACATGCTTCACAAGTTAATAAGATATCACAAGGCAAATGGAGGCAGGGCAAGATCACAGGATCACAGGACTGGGGTGAAGTTAAAATTGCTAATTAAGTTTCGGGCACGCATTGTCACAGATAACATCTTATCAGGAGACAGGATTTGAGAGCAGACAACCAGTCTGACCAAAATTTATTAGGCGGGAGTTTCCTCATCCTAATAAGCCTCAGAGTGCTACGGGAGACTGGGGCTTATTTCATCCCTACAGCTTTGACCATAAGAGACGGCTGCCCCCAAAGTGGCCATTTCGGAGGCCTACCCTCAGGGATGCATTCTCTTTCTCGGGGATGTTTCTTGCTGAGAAAAAGAATTCAGCGATATTTCTCCCATTTGCTTTTGAAAGAAGAGAAATATGGCTCTGTTCTGCCCTGCTCACCGGTAGTCAGAGTTTAAGGTTATCGCTCCTGTTCCCTGAACATCGCTGTTATCCTGTTCTTTTTTCAAGGTGCCCAGATTTCATATTGTTCAAACACACATGCTCTACAAACAATTTGTGCAGTTAACACAATCATCACAGGGTCCTGAGGCGACATACATCCTCCTCATGTTACGGAGATGATGGGATTAAGAGATTAAAGTAAAGACAGACATAGGAAATCACAAGGGTATTGACTGGGGAAGTGATAAGTGTCCATGAAATCTTCACAATTTATGTTCAGAGATTGCAGTAAAGACAGGCATAAGAAATTATAAAAGTATTAATTTGGGGAACTAATAAATGTCCATGAAATCTTCACAATCCATGTTCTTCTGCCATGGCTTCAGCCGGTCCCTCCGTTCGGGGTCCCTGACTTCCCACAACAGGTATCCCAGACTGAGATTTCTGAAATTGTCATTAGAAGGTTGATAAGGATCTAGTGACAACAAGCTAGTGCGTGGTTTTGGGAGTGGTCCTGAGTACTCGGGCGGACTGAAACACAGTAACAGTAGCAGGAGAGGAGTGGAGGTTGTGGTTACCAGAGCTGGGCCTGGAAAATTGTGTCATGGTTATGTCTCCCAATGTCAGTCTGGAGTTGTTAAATGCAACCATTGACAAGTCGTATCCCAGAACTGGAGGGAAAGCTGAGTTTGCAGGTCAAGACAAGTGGGCAGATGTGGGGAGAGAAGAGACATGTGGTTTTGAGGTCGCATGTGCTGCAGGTTGGAAGGTCCTCCAGAAATGTCTCTCTAAATAAGGATGAGGGCAGATGAAGAGGGAGGGTGGACAGGAGCGCTTCCCCTCCACTGCTGGGAATCCTAAGTGTCCTAGTCAGGTAACTCGAACTCTAGAGTTCAAACGAAGGCAACTGATTGATTGACTGATTGATTGAGAGGGAGTCTCGTTCTCTCACCCAGGCTGGAGTGCAGTGGCGCGATCTCAGCTTACTGCCAGCTCCGCCTCCCGGGTTCCCACCATTCTCCTGCCTCAGCCTCCCGAGTAGCTGGGACTACAGGTGCCCACCACCATGCCCGGCTAATTTTTTTGTTATTTTTAGTAGAGACGGGGTTTCACCGTGTTAGCCAGGATGGTCTCAACCTCCTGACCTCATGATCCGCCCGCCTTGGCCTCCCAAAGTGCTGGGATTACAGGCATGAGCCACTGTGCCTGGCTGACATATTTATTTTTAAGAAGGTATTATTATTACTCAATCTGTATCCTTATTGTGAGTAAAGGGATAAAACTAATTTTCTCTCTATTATGGACTCTTTTCAATATTTTAACCGAGATCAATCAAAAAGAAAGCACTCTTTTTTCATAAAAAATATCACTTGGGAGGATACAAAAGAACTACTTGAATTACTTTTTTAAAAAAATTGCGCTCAGAGTACTTTACTCATGCTGTAATTTTATTGCTACTTAGTTTACATATAATTAATTCTTTTCTGTCTGTCCATCCCATCTTATTTGACTTTCTTTTTCACCATACAGCGGTCGACTTTTAGCTGTTCTTTCTTCGGATTATAATCATCAAGGTCTTTCTCATTGGAGCACAAAGCAGCATGACTAGGTTGGAGATAAGAATAAAACATGCAAATAGGAATCGTTTCTTCCTAGAAAAGTGTGTATAAATAAAGTTTTCATCTTCGATAAAGTTTTCAACTTTCAGTTTCACCCCAGACAGCCATCTTCTAGTTAACTCTGGGCTCCGTCCTCTGGGGTTCGCAGCCTCCCTGTCTATGAGCCTTTGCTCTTCTGCAGTTACAGTCCTCAGACTTCCTCAGTTTCAAGTATGTTCGTTTCCTCCCCATCCGACATGCAACACAGAGCTGCCTCATTATTTATTCTCTCTGCGTATTCAGCCTTCTTGTTGCCAGACATAGAGTTCTACATTGCTCTCCTTCCAGGTCTCATATGCAGACATTTCCCGTGTGATCGGAGTCCTCTTCCCGTTTCACTTCTTCCACTGCAGCAGCTCTGGCTTTGTGGGGTTCCCTCCATCTCTATCAGTCTGGCTTCCCTTGCCTCTCCATCCAGCCTGGCTTCCACTGTCAGCTGCTTCTACTAAGCGCTAACTCCTGCTTTAGACTGTGTCCTTGCCATACCCTCTATGCCCATCCCTGGCCCTGGGCAGCCTTCACTGGGGCTTGATGGGCTGACAGGGCAATCTGGCTGGAAGAGTATGAAGAGGGGGGACAGTAGCTGTGTCTGAAAGCTGCATTTGTAGCACGAGAACACTGATTTTACTCAGATTGCTTGGTACAGATCAGCAAAAAGAGCAAATATTTCTTCAGACTTGTTTTATTCTTACCACATGAAATTGAGAAGGTTTTAATTGGCCTCTCAAATAATATTATTATTATACTTTTTGACGTGGGATGCCTGACAGAGACGATGGCAGGACCATATTCCCTTCCCTCAACACACAAGACCTTTTACTGTGGTCTGAGGCTGCACTTCATCTTGAACTCTACTGAGAAGGAGTGGGGGAGCCTGTTTGTAGGAATACTAGTAGTCAGGTCCATGTTCTGCTCTGGAAATGATGGATTTGTGTGATCGTTGTGTATGCATGAGTGTGTGTGTATGTCTGTGTGCATGAATACACATGGACACATACTCCTCAAGTGTACTCAGCACCAGCTGCACAGAGACGGTCCTATTTGTGTTCAACAAGATTTTCTCCTGCTCCCAGTAAAGCAGATATTTTGCCTTCATTGATTCTGAGTTGAGCTGCAAGCTTTAGGCAAAAGAATGGGATCTATAACAAGATTGGCCAACCGCATAGGTGAAGGCTGTACTGCATCCGAAGAACCCAGTTCAAGCCGACATGACCCCATGCAGGCTTGCAGTTAGCTGTGTGTGAAGCCACTCCATGGCACCCCACTCCTGGGGCTTAAGGCAGCCATTAATTCTGAATACGATGTGGGAGGGATATGTTTCTAAGGGTATCACATTAGTAGTTATAGCAACCAGTCTTTTTATAAAGATGAAGATTTTGATTGGAGATCACTTGGGTGACAGCACATAGGGTCTCAATACAAGCATCTGTTCTGCTTGCTGTAAGGACATATCCAGGAATAAATACAGTCTTTGTCAGAAATTTGCTTAAACTAGTGGAATTGTGGCTGGGCACAGTGGCTCACACCTGTTATCCCAGCACTTTGGGAGGCTGAGGCAGGCAGATCACGAGGTCAAGAGATTGAGACCGTCCTGGCCAACATGGTGAAACCCCGTCTCTACTAAAAATACAAAAATTAGCTGGGTGTGGTGGCGCGCACCTGTAGTGCCAGCTACTCGGGAGGCTGAGGCAGGAGAATCTCTTGAACCTAGGAGGCGGAGCTTGCAGTGAACCACAATTGCGTTACTGCGCTCCAGCGTGGTGACAGAGCGAGACTCTCTCTAAAACACACAAACAAAAAACTAGGGGAGTTGGGTTGAGGTGTGAAGAACAGAAGGAGTGTTGTGTTTATTTACCTCTTCACCAATTATTAATTAGTTCATTGACTGAGCACTCATTGAGCACTGTGCTATGTGCTAGACCCAAGACTAGGCTCTGTGGATGACAAAGACATAGTCTCTGCTCTTAAGGAGCCCACAGACAAATGGAAGAAAAGAATATTTAACACGGAGGTAGAGAAGGAGGGAAAGAAGGGTGTAATGAAGGAGTTGCTATCTGGGCTGACCTCAGATAGGATGGCAAGAGATGGCCATGCAAGAAGGAGTGGCCTTGGAAGAAGCCCACAGGCACTGAGAGGAAAGTCCTGCAGGAGCTGGGTGCTTTTCCAAGAGCTTGTTCATTTCATCCTCACAAGATTCCCATGAGTGGGTGCCATTTTTCCTCCATGGTGTAATGTAGCAGACAGGCATTGCATGGCTTAGTGATGTGTTTGGAGTTGTACTCTTGGGAACTCAAATCCAGGTGGTCTGGCTGCAGGTCCTGGGCACGTACGGTCATGTTCTACTGCCCCAGAGGAGAAGAGTAGAAATTGGGCCTGAAGCTCGGCTACAGAGAAGGACACAGGCAGAGGTGGCAGCGTGCAGGGAGTGTTTAAGTGGAGAGGAGAGAGAAGGTGCAGAAAATGACAGCAGCGGTAGCAGCCACTGATAATTTGATTAGAACATCTGGAGTTTGAAAAGCACTATCTCTATACCATCTTTTTTGACTCCTCCCTGATAACTGGGTGAGCAAGCGGCATTGGGAATCATAATCTCATTTCATAGATGAGAAAACTGGGGCTCTTCTAAGTGTGGGCCAAACTCACAGAGTTTATATGTCACCTTAGCCTGGATCTGCACAGAATCAAAACCCCTGCTTTCTCCACTAACTCAGGCAGTCTTGGTGCCCAGCGCTCAAGGCACACGCTGCAGCTAAGGCCTGGGGAGCCTTTGCCTTCAGGACAACTGAAGGACTTCCCTCCATATCTGGCCAATCACTGATCTTTTCCCCTCACCACATGCCCAACATGTTCCTTTGATTTGAGTTTGCGAGACACACTCAAACTCAAAGGAGGAGGTCTTGTGAGCAGCAAAGTTTCTGTACAAACTTGCAGGTGATGCTGGCATCTCCTCGGTCCTGCACAGGCCTGGTCAGGACAGTATTGATCAATTCCTTTGCATAAATGCAGGGGAGGCAGCTTGGGTGAGAGCAGCATATGTCTTTTAGATTCCGACTCTCCTAGGTTTGAATTCCAGCCCCAGTGGTGTGGTAAGAAATCCTGTTTTCTGTATGTTTTACCCAGAAAAATGGGGATAACCATACACCCATGTTCTCAGCAGCACTATTCACAGTAATCAAGAGGCGAAAGCAACCCAAGGGTCCGTGGAGGGATGAATGGATAAAGAAAACACAGTGCATACACACAGTGGAATATTATGTAGCCTTAAAAAGGAGGAAACTCTGGCCAGGCGCGGTGGCTCACGCCTACAATCCCAGCACTTTGGGAGGCTGAGGCAGGCAGATCACAAGGTCAGGAGATCGAGACCATCCTGGCTAACATGGTGAAACCCCATCTCTACTAAAAATACAAAAAAAATTAGCCAGGTGTGGTGGTGGCCACCTGTAGTCCCAGCTACTCCAGAGGCTAAGGCGGGAGAATGGCATGAACCTGGGAGGCAGAGCTTGCAGTGAGCCGAGATCGCACCACTGCACTCCAGCCTGGGTGACAGAGCAAGACTCCATCTCAAAAAAAAAAAGAAAAATTAGCTGGTGATGGTGGCATGCACCTGTAGTCCCAGCTGCTCGGGAGGCTGAGGCAGGAGAATCGCTTGAACTCGGGAGGTGCAGATTGCAGTGAGCTGAGATTGTGCTGCTGCACCTCAGCCTGGCAACAGAGTGAGACTCCATCTCAAAAAAAAAAAAAAAAAAAAAAAAAGGTTACAATGCTAAATGTTGTGTCGTATGTTTTACCACAATAAAACATTTTAAAACTTGAAATAATAATGTCTAATATTGGGATAGCTGAGAGGATTAAATCAGATTTTGACTCAAAGGGCCTAGCAGTTGCTCAAAAAATGTTAATTCTCTCACCCTTTCCCGGGGATAAAACTTGGTGATCTGTTTTCTCCTAAAGTTGAGATTTGAACCTTTACTCTACAACCCGCTATGGGATGTGAATATTCTCCTAAAAACCCCTTGCAGCTCTTAGTAGGGGTGGGTGGATATGTGCACTTGATACTATACAGGAGCGTCCTATGAACATGTGTGGTCTCAGCTCCTTCGTGCATGGAAGTGGTACGAGGGTCCAGAGCATGTTTTTCATGGGAGAAGCAGGACTTTTGGAGAAGGGTGGAGTTTGGGCGAGGAGGAGGTTTGTACAAACTCTGAGAATAAACGAGCGTGAACAAAGGCAGGCAGTCCCAGGGTTGCAGTTTATCCTCCCCGCTTAGGACGCTGCCTGACATAGAGCAGACGCTTCACATATACTTGCGGATAAACAAATAAGCAAGTGTAGCTGGGTGAAGGTGAGCATGCAAATGGCATGTAGAAGGGACAGGGAACCCATGGATGGTGTTATCTCCGTAAGAGGCTTGATGTGGGTCAGTTGGTGGGTGGTATTAGGAAAGGCAGCAAACAATAAGAAAAGGCACTGGAGGGGCCGGGCATGGTGTCTTTTGCCTGTAATCCCAGCACTTTGGGAGGCCAAGGCGGGCAGATCACCTGTGGTCGGGAGTTCGAGACCAGCCTGACCAACATGGAGAAACCTCATCTCTACTAAAAATACGAAATTAGCTGGGCGTGGTGGCGCATGCCTGTAACTGCAGCTTCTTGGAAGGCTGAGGCAGGAGAATCGCTTGAACCCGGAAGGCGGAGGTTGCGGCGAGCTGAGATCGAGCCATTGCACTCCAGCCTGGAGAACAAGGGAGAAACTCCGTTGCAAAAAAAATCCATTGGAATTTAATCCACAAGCAGATCAGAAGCCGTTCTAGATGTTTTGTTAAGGTGCTACATTTAGAGGCTGGGAGTGGAGGCGTTCCACTGCTGGGTAGTCTGCTCTCAGACCCATGGGTCTTGTGGAGCTATCTCAAGGGATATGAAGGGCATCTTGAAAATGGCCTGCTTCTCTCTCCCCTTTTTCTGGCTACACCCAGTGGCTCACATTGTGTGTGTGTGTGTGTGTGTGTGTGTGTGTGTGTGTGTGTGTGTGTCTTGGTGGGGGCTGGTTCACCATGAGTATTGGTCTTTCGTTCATGTACTCAGCTAACTGTTGTTCCCCGCTTTGAACTTGTGGATGTTTTTGGATTGTATGGAAAGGCAGGAAAAGAACTTGAGTGCCTCTCCAGCAATAAGTAGATTCTCAAAGTTTGCACATTAACTACCATAATAACAAAGATGCTATAATTCAGGAGCTTATGGAAAATGAGCCAGAATGTGCAATTATCCATAGTTACACAGGAGAACTCAAACCTAAAGACACTGAAGAATAAAAAGTAAATCCAGGTTTTCTGTTTAGCTTCTGATTTTTAAATCTTTTCATTTATGTGAATGTTTTGGTTTATTGTGTATTTTTGAGGATTCAGCATTGACCTCTACTTGAAAAACAGCTTTTTTAGTAATACATCTGAATTTGCTTTAATTTTAGGCCATAACTATTATTTGGCATATATATATATATATATATTTTTTTTTTTTTTTTTTTTCCAGATGGAGTCTTGCTCTGTTGCCAGGCTGGAGTGCAGTGGCAGGATCTCAGCTCCCTACAATCCCTGCCTCCCGGGTTCAAGCGATTCCCCTGCCTCAGCCTGCTGAGTAGCTGGGACTACAGGCACACACCACCATGGCTGGCTAGTTATTGTATTTTTAGTAGAGATGAGGGTTCACCATATTGGCCAGGATGGTCTCCAGCTCCTGACCTCGTGATCTACCCGCCTCAGCCTCCGAAAGTGCTAGGATTACAGGATAAGCCACCAGGCCCAGACATATTTTTAATTGACTATTTAAGTAGACCTTGGTAATAACTGCTTTTCTGTTTTTCACTGCATACTAGCAGGCAAGGGCAATTTTTTAGCCAGCCAATACCGCATTGATTCTTGTAAGTCAGTGGCTATTGCAAAATTAACCCTTGTGGGTTAAAAATAGATTTAAAATGTAAAGATGAACATGTAATATAAAGAAGACAATTTCTAAGGTTATTTTCAAATTGAAGCATCCGTGGTGGGAAACGATTATTTTGGCAGAGATAGTACTTAAAATAACACTTGGATTTGCAAACTGGAGAACATCAGCAGGATAATTCATAAGCATGCTCATTTCCTCCTTGCTGGGTATTAGCCAGGAATACAGTACAGCATATGGCTTGTTATTCTTGTAGCTGGAGACGACAGAATTAAATCCAGAGATGAATGACTGTTTTCTCATCTAAGTCCCAGCCTGTCTGCCTTTCCAGGAACTGGCTAGTTATGATGGGACATGGTTTTGCTGTGAGGCCAAGATGCAGGAGGGGCAGGAAGCACCCATGGGGCTGTCTTCACTGCAGGTGACACACGCTGAACACAGCCTTCAACCCTTGCCATGTGCAGCCCCCGCAAGGCAAGCTGGCTTTGGATTGACAAGTGGTTTCTGGGAGATGCAGTAGAAGTACTTTTCTCTATTCTTCTGCTAAGTCAACTAAAAACCCTGGACGTTATACATAAAGCAAACAGAAGAATCCCCTGGAAGGCAGAAGAAAGCCAAGCGCTGGCCGATGACCTCAGGGCCTGAGGAGCATCACACTCCCAGGCTGGCATAGGCAGAAGCCCAGTGGGAAGGGCAGAATCTCCTGCTGCTTCCTGCAGGAGTAATGAGGGGCCCTCCTGCTGTGGGGTATCAACAGAGACTGAGTGTGGAACCCAGACTCCTGCCTTCACTTACAGTAACAAGGTGACATTTCCCTTCCCTTCACACAGGGTTTTACATTTGCTCCCTGTGATAGCCTTAGATCATGTTAGGGCTATTGAACCAGAGGCCCCTCTGTTCTGTTCCACACAAAACTCACCTCCCTGGATTCTTCAGTTGATTTTGGATCTTGTGATGAGAAGTTGTGAGCTTCTGTGCTAAACTTAAGGACAGAGAAGGACTCTAATTTATCTTTGCATTCATCAAAGATGAATTATTTGAGTCTAAACTACCCATAGCACTTAGTGTAGTGTCTGGGCGTATAGGAACTTGATACATATGGGTTGAACTCTTGATGGAATTGTTGAGAGCATAAGTGTTTCTGGAACATTCTGTTTATCTGACTTTACAGTGATTAACTAGACATACCTTACAGAGACTGACACAGACAATGAGAAATTGGAATTTCTTTGTCACCAGAACTGAAATCTGTTGAGGGCGATGAGAGAGCTGCTGTAGAGAAGTTCTCATAGGCATACTCTTCTCTGGGTAGCATTGGAAACTTTCGAATTCTTACTTTTCTATTGAGAGGATATGGGATTTGGTGTCAGACTTCAATTCAAATTTCATCACTGTGCTCCTGGGCAAATGACATAGCCTCCTTGCACTTTGATTGTCTCACCTATATATGTTATACAATACGGTATACCATTTTACTGTGAGAGTAAGACGCTTCTCAAATTGTTGGGGAAATTTAATTAACAAAGATACGTGAATGAATCTAGCATGGTGGCTAATATCTAAATTACTCTAAGTCTTCATCTCCTAATATTATTATTCTGCAAACTAGATAAGATAGCTATAATTTCCCTTTTTTTTTTTTTTTTTTTTTTTTTTTTGAGAGAAGATCTCACTCTGTTGCCAAGGCTGGAGTGCAGTGGTGCAAGCATGGCTCACCGCAGCCTTGATCTCCTAGGCTCAAGCTATCCTTCCACCTCAGCCTCCCAAGTAGCTGGGACCACAGGTATGTGCCACCAAGCCTGGCTAATTTTTGCATTTTTTTGTAGAGACGGGATCTTGCCATGTTGCCCAGTCTGGCTTCAAACTCCTGAGCTCAAGTGATTCTCCCGCCTCAGCCTACCCAAGTGCTGGGATTACAGGAAAGAGCCACTGTGCCTGACCTAATTTTTCTTAAATAATAAGCAACACTTTCCAGTGACTACATTGATCAATTAGGGTGGGTAATTCCTTCTCCAGATGACTGGGCTTATTTATGACAAACTCTTCATTTTAATTTTATTGGGAAAATAGCATCTAACCTCAAGTTCAAATTTGAGAGAACCTTACTGTGGACCACAAAACCTGCCCACCGATATGCATCTTTGAAATAAATAACTAATGATAATGTGTTCAATAATGACCTGCCTTTAATTAATGCATTAAAATAGTAATAAGCAGAAAATCTTTATTTCGAATGTAATGTATCTTCTTATAAGCAGAAAAGCCCTTATTTTTTCAGCATGTTCATATTACTTTTATAAAGATGTTGGATTTCATGTGAGGGCAGCCAGTTCTTATCCTTGTGTATTTATCTCCATGGCTCATTCCTTATCCAGCTGCTACTGAAAAGTCCTGGAGTTCAGATGGATGATTTTGTAAGGTATAAGTAGCCACCCTTAGGGAAAACAAGGCAACTGATAACTGTAGTGAATATGGTAGCTGAAAGACCACAATCTATTTAGCCAACTTGTGTCCGACAAGGGCAAGTAGACAAGCTTTTCAGTGTTTAGAATAACAGGGGTCAAGGTTACTTACTCAAATCGTCTCCTGGAAAGAACACAGACTTTGGACTTAGAGCTGCCCTCAGATCTTGGTGTTGACACTTGCTGCCTTTAATAAACTACTTATTCTCTTAGAGCCTCAATTTCCTTGTGAAAATCATAAAACAGGCTAAGATTTTTTTATGTTTACTATGCATAAGGAGCTGTACCTTGTAATTATCTTTTTTTTTTTTTTCTGAAACGGAGTCTTCCTCTGTCACCAGGCTGGAGTGCAGTAGCGCGATCTTGGCTCCCTGCAACCTCCGCCTCCTGGGTTCAAGAGATTCTCCTGCCTCAGCCTCCCGAGTAGCTGGCACTACAGATGCACGCCACCACACCCAGCTAATTTTTGTATTTTCAGTAGAGACGGGGTTTCACCATGTTGGCCAGGATGGTCTCAATCTCTTGACCTCGTGATCTGCCTGCCTCAGCCTCCCAAAGTGCTGGGATAACAGGTGTCAGCCACCGTGCCCTGCCCCAATTCCACTAGTTTAAGTAAATTTCTGACAAAGACTATATTTATTCCTGGATGCGTCTTTACAGCAAGCAGAACAGATGCTTGTGCAAGCTCCGCCTCCTGGGTTCATGCCATTTTCCTGCTTCAGCCTCCCGAGTAGCTGGGACTACAGGCTCCCGCCACCATGCCCGGCTAATTTTTTTTTGTATTTTTAGTAGAGGTGGGGTTCACCGTGTTGGCCAGGATGGTCTCGATCTCCTGACCTCGTGATCTGCCCACCTTGGCCTCCCAAAGTGCTGGGATTACAGGCGTGAGCCACCGTGCCCGGCCTGTACTTTGTAATTTTCATGTTATGTCACAGTCAGTTCCCACAAAGTCTATATAAGCTGATAAGTGTATCCCATTTTTCGGATGAGGAAACAAAGACCCAGAGGAACTAAATGACTGTCCCAAGTTCTTGCTATTAATAAATTACAGAATCAGCAATGGAACTCAGGTCTTCCGGCTCTGAAAACCGTACTCTGAAGACTGCATTACACTACTTCATTCCCCAAACTGATAAAAATAAGATCAACTTTGAGGGGATTTAAAATAATATGGTGATATATGTTAAATTTACAAAGCAGTGCCTGGCCTAAAAGGGTATGTTCAATAAAAGTTATTATTATTGATTACTTCAGGAAAATCATGAATTGCACATAATATTGAACAAAATGATGATTGCTGTTTATTAAGCACAATACGTGCCAAGCTTTCTGTTAAGTGAATATATGCACTATGACATTTACTGCTCATAAAAACTCTATTATGCACATTTTTAAAATTATCTTCCTTTTTAAAATAAACAAAAATTGTGGCTCAGAGAGATCAAGTGCCTTGTACAAAGTCATGTTACACAGCAGTGGGAATCAGAACCAGGCCTGTGGATTCCAAAGCCCAGCTTTTCTGTTTGTTAGTTTTTATATTTAACCACTTTGCTGTGTGGCCTTCCTAAAGAGGAAAAGCTTCTGACCCCCAAAATGAACCTGAATTTTGGAACAGGTACGTGTAAATTTGTGTCAGAGGGCCCATTTTAGGTAAACATACTTGATGATGCAGATGAAATATAAAAACACTCTCAGAGATGAGACAGCTGAGCAGGAAAGGAAATACTTTAAACCAGGAAATGGAGAATTAATTCATCTGGAGGAAAAATAACTCCAAATATATATTTGATGAAACACAAAAGCTTGCAAGCAGTGTAGAGAATCTTGTTAGAAAGATTGATTTTGGCTTCTTCCCTTCTGTTCATTGCATCTGAATAATCACTACAATCTCATCTATAAATGGTAAAATTCCTAAATCAGGTGTAACCGAAATCTCCATTTTGTAAACTCTAAATTAATTCCATAAGACATTTTAGTGCCATGCAAAGTTATTGACGTCGTATCTAATTCTATTTGGTCTTTCCATCAACCATAGCGTTTTTCTTGCTTCTAGAGATAAATGCCATTATAAAATATTTAGAATTCTATAGTGTCTCATTGGGAGTTTCACTTGAGGGCGGTTGCCTCCCAGGGAACTGTGTGGTGCTCTGATGAACCCCATCTTTCTATCTGTAGTCACTGCACAGCTCCCCAAGCTCCCCCTGGGGTGGTCCCCTCAGCCGGAAATGTCCCCACCTCCTCCGGCCTCTGCTTATCAGCCTGTGCTCGTCATTCAGCATGAAACCTCCAGGTCACGTCTGCAGAGAAGCCATCCCAGAACTACCCCCAGTGGAAAGTTCCTCTGTTACCTGCTCTGTGGCAGAGCCCACAACATAATTAATAACATGTCATGTGACAAAGCTTCATGTCATTTTCCCTGCCTTAAGGGCAAAGGCTGTATCTGCCTCACTTTCTGCTGTATCCCCAGAGCCTGGCCAGCTTTATTTAGGTTAAAATATAAGAAATCACTGGTATTTCACTGTCCTTAGTCTACAAAAGCGGCAATGTCATATGAGTCAACCAAATACTTAACATTTAAAGGATGCTTTTTGCATATTTTATGACTGTAGGAATATTTGCTGCAACCTATTTTAGATTTCAGCCCATCTGCCTCCAGCCCTATCTCCTGTTTCTTAAAGAGGAAGATAGGGGGTCTTGGGGTGGTGGTTAGACTATATAGAGGACAAATAGTCTTCCTCCTAAAGTTGCCTCCAAAGTTATTTTCCAGTTTCTGGAATTGAACAACTAAGGGCAGTAGGTAATTTTGGCAAGTCCCCCAGCAATCAGTCAAATTGACCTGATGCTGAAGTCAGGGCTGGAGCTTCATTAAAGCAGAGAAAGATTAAGTGACTGTGGGTAAGCTCCTGAATTCTCTGCACCAACTGGAGTAGTAAATAACCGATCACATGTCTTTGTTTCCTCCAATATTTTGGAAAGAAAAAGAAATTGCTAATTATTGATTTCCCCCCTGAAATTTCACTGATCAATAGAAACTTGAGTGATAGCCAGAGTTCACTCTTTAACTGTGGCCAGTCTCAACAAGCATCATTCATTAAGATGACTGCCACAGTCATGCTTCAAACCAGGAAAAAATAACCTCAAATGAGAAATTACTGAAGGTCACAATGAGGTTACAGACACATAAGAAATGGAGACGTAATCGTGATTGCAAAAGGACCTAGGACTGTGGACAATTCTGGGTATTGCAAAGCTCAGGTTGCCTGATGATTTGGGGGGAAAAACAACAATATGGGAAGAAACTTAATCTCCACAGTGTCCTGATGTTCCAGAAGCGAACTTGCCGAAGTCAAGCAAATATAACCAGACAATGTTACTGATAAAAAGATATTATCGGCCGGGCGCGGTGGCTCACGCCTGTAATCCCAGCACTTTGGGAGGCCGAGGCGGGTGGATCACGAGGTCAGGAGATCGAGACCATCCTGGCTAACACGGTGAAAACCCGTCTCTACTAAAAATACAAAAAATTAGCCGGCCGTGGTGGCGGGCGCCTGTAGTCCCAGCTACTCGGGAGGCTGAGGTGGGAGAATGGCGTGAACCCGGGAGGCGGAGCCTGCAGTGAGCCGAGATTGTGCCACTGCACTCCAGCCTGGGCGACAGCGAGACTCCATCTCAAAAAAAAAAAAAAAAAAGATATTATCAAATTAGGAAAGATTTTTTAGATACGTAAGCCCTCAAAGGTATGTAATCATACCACATAATGGAAGGTAGACATATTTAAAGAAAGAAATATGTATCTGTCAATTATGCTTTAATAAAGCCAGGAAAAACAAATGGAAAGAAAGAAAGGAAGAGAAAAAATTTCATTGAACATCTATGGTACAGCAGCCTGAAATCTTTCACATTTTGAGATTTTATGTGTGAGTTGAAAGCACCGTTACTTGACTTTTAAATATAGATGACTATGTTGGTTACGATTATTATAGTTCCATTCAGGAAAACAATCAACACAAACACATTCTCTTTTCTGTTTCTTTTCTATGTAAAATGCTCCAAAATCAATAATATTATTCTTGAGTGTTGCATTTATTTGTCTGTTTATTATCATGCAACATTTTTTCTATTACCCGTCCACACTCAATTCCCTTTTGGGGAATTATTCATCCCACATTTTGTGCAGTTATGGAGGGGATGGTAAGTACGGGTGCCTTTCTCCTACTGTTGAAACTAAAGGAGCCGGCTCCTTTTTCTCCCACCAAGTACAGCTATAGAGGTGCAAGTGACTGATGCTTGGCCAATGAAACCATCTGCCAGAACTTTGACTCCGGAAAGAATGGCTCAGAGGTGCAAGAAGCCACTGCAATGGACTCTTCCCAGCCTGGGTATCCTGCTAGGTCTGTTTTTGCAGAAAAGCAGTTGTGACTGTAGCATCTCACCTCCCTTAGTAGGCTGACCGTTTCTTTAGCCTCTCATAGATTTTATAGACCCTCAACATGATTATAATAAACGCCCTTTGCTTAAGTGAGTCTGGATCAGTTTCTGTTGTTTCTAACCAAGGAGCCCTAGCTCAAACACTGCCTTATGCAACTCACATGCAAGGTAGGAGGAAGAGCCTACTAGCATGGCACGCATGGCTTCACAGAGCAAATGCTGTTATTGAAGGAAGGATGCTGGACTGGTGTTCAGTAAGGCTGAGTTCAAGTTCCACACCTGCCAATTAATAACTGTGTGTTTTGGGTTAGGTCTTGTAATGGTTCCAAACTTCATTTTAGAAGTTATATGCAAGTGACGAAAATAATACTTCCTTTGAGGTTGTTAGAAAAACTAATGGATTTATGTGCATGAAAAAGCTCTAAAGTGCAAAATCAAAGCTACCTGTCATCATAGAGCTGAAGGGCTGGCCGTCTCTTCAGCTTTCCTCAACAGCACAGAGGAAAGACGATGACAGCCCTCAGTTATTCATTTATAAATCAACAGATATTCCTCCACTTCTCCTAAGTGCCAGTCACCGTTCTAGGCGAATGTGAGACAAAGATAAAAGAGACAGAGCCTCCTCTTCCCAAAGGTCAAAGCCTGATAGACAGCAGACAGAAGCGCAGCAGACTATTGCAATTCACTGTGACTAGGTCAAAGCCAAAGGCAGCCAGTGAGCGGCAGCTTCATTGCGGGCATGAGAAAGAGGAATCCTTTATTTGGCTTAAGAGGGTGCTTGCTTGGCCAGGTGCGGTGGCTCACGCCTGTAATCCCAGGTCTTTGGGAGGCCGAGGCGGGCGGATCACGAGGTCAGGAGATCGAGACCACGCTGGCTAATATGGTGAAACCCCGTCTCTACTAAAAATACAAAAAATTAGCCGGGCGTGGTGGCGGGCGCCTGTAATCCCAGCTACTCGGGAGGCTGAGGCAGGAGAATGGCCTGAACCCAGGAGGTGGAGCTTGCAGTGAGCCGAGATCACGCCACTGCACTCCAGCCTGGGTGACAGAGCGAGACTCTGTCTCAAAAAAAAAAAAAAAAAAAAAAGAGGGTGCTTGCTCTTGGAAGAGTTGATTTTCATCAGATGGACAGGAGGACAGGAGAGATGGAGGTATAGGTAGAGGGTATAGCTCTGCAGGCTGCATGCCGGGACGCACGGTGAGCAGAATGGCGGAAGGGTGACGTGTATCGAGGTACTGGAAGGATGGGAGCTCCCAGGACTCTTTGAGAACCCAGATGGCACAGGGGGTTGGGACTTCACGGAGGAAGGGAGAAGTGGGCCCGACACAGGTAAGTGAATGGGCGAATTTTCTTACAGCTCTCCCTCTTTGCAACTCTGTGGCTGCAAAGGCATGCTTAGGCGATGTGAACAACTCCACGGGGTGGGGGTGGTGAGTGTCCCTTCCATGATTTACTTCCAGCAGACCCCCCACTGAAAAGGGATTAGGCTCACTCACAGAGGATGCTCATATCACTGTCTAGAAGGAAGATATAACTTTTACACACAATTTTGCTTTCAGCAAGGATCGTTTTCATGCTGAGAATTCAATAAAACCAAATTCCACTGTAACAGCCCAAGCAAATCAACAAACAAGCCTGGGATTAGAAGTGATGGGGAAACACACTGTCGAGGAGGCATGGGGGTCTGGAGAAAAGAAAAAGAAAAAAGAGCAGGGTGGAAATACAGACTCCCCGTCGTGATTTTTCTATTTGCTTGTCTTTCGGTTCTTATGTACCTTCTTTGGGTTATTTCCATTTTCTACTTTCCCCCCTATAGGTTCCAAGTCATTAGGAAAGAAGAGTCCCAGGCACGTGTATCCTGATTTCCATCTCCTTGGTGGAGGATTTTGACTTGCGTGGGAGAATTGCTCTCTTTCCCAGAGAGGCCCCACCTGTTTCAGAAGGAGCTGGCTGTGACTTAAATCATAGTCTGGATGATAGGTTTCCAAATTTGTTAGGCGCATAGATCCCTTAGTGTCTTCAAAATTTTTTCAAAATATTCCTAGGCTCAAAAATATATCTAAGAGTTCTGTTTATTAAGTAGAGAAGTTATAATACACTAATAAGTAGTTTGGACTACCAATTTAGCAGCCATTTGAAGAAATGCATAATTTAAAAAATTTCATTTTTAAATAACCACAATTACTTACTAGTGGGATGTGAGAGCCTATTGGGTACAGCCACTGCAAAATTTCTCAAATGTTAGAATCAGATTAGACACCACCGCCCTCATTTTCTTTCTTTTTTTTTCTTGTCACCCAGGCTGGAGTGTAGTGGTGCGCAATCTCAGCTCACTGCAACCTCCACCTCCCCGGCTCAAGCAATTCTCCTGCCTCAGCCTCCCAAGTAGTTGGGATTACAGGCACCTGCCACCATGCCCAGCTAATTTTTGTATTAACTTTTTTTTTTTTTTTTTTTTTTTTTTTTTTTTTTTTTGAGACGGAGTCTCGCTCTGTCGCCCAGGCCAGACTGCGGACTGCAGTGGCGCAATCTCGGCTCACTGCAAGTCCACTTCCCGGGTTCACGCCATTCTCCTGCCTCAGCCTCCCGAGTAGCTGGGACTACAGGCGCCCGCCACTACGCCCGGCTAATTTTTTGTATTTTTAGTAGAGACGGGGTTTCTCCTTGTTAGCCAGGATGGTCTCGATCTCCTGACCTCATGATCCACCCGCCTCGGCCTCCCAAAGTGCTGGGATTACAGGCGTGAGCCACCGCGCCCGGCCTTTTGTATTAACTTTTATAACTTTTAACTTTGGCTTGCCTGCTGTTTAATACAGGGGTCAGTAAATTACAGCCTGAGGTTTAAACCCAGCTGACCCTCTGTTTTTGTATGGCCCATGAGCTAAGAACGGCTTTTACGTTTTTAAATGGCTGAAAAGAATTTGCTTTTTTTTTGCTCTGTCTACCAGGCTGGAGTGCAGTGGTGCGACCTCGGCTCACTGCAAGCTCCGCCTCCCAGGTTCACGCCATTCTCCTGCCTCAGCCTCCCAAGTAGCTGGGAGTACAGGCACCCGCCACCATGCCCAGCTAATTTTTTGTATTTTTAGCAGAGACGGGGTTTCACTGTGTTAGCCAGGATGGTCTTGATCTCCTGAGCTCATGATCTGCCCGCCTCGGCCTCCCAAAGTGCTGGGATTACAGGCATGAGCCATTGCACCCTGTCAATAATTTACTTTTTAATTAATATTTTGTGACACACGAAAATCATACGAATTTCAAATTCCAGTGTCCATACTTAAAGTTTTCTTAGAACATATCCACACTCATTCATTTCTGAGCTGCCTGTGGTCACTTTTGGGTTACAGTGGCAGAATTGTGTAGGCACAATAGTCCTGAGTGGGGTCCTCGTAGCGTCATGCTCTTCTCAGCACATTACAAATCACAGTAAACTCAAAACTTGACATTATTTCAAGTGCCATACATATCTGCATGCTGTAATATTTATTTTATTACCCAGTGCATACCCATTATGTGAAAACAAAACAGAAAAGGAAAGAAAATGATGACTTTGTTTTTTTGTTTTGTTTTGAGACGGAGTCTTTCTCTGTTGCCCAGGCTGGAGTGCAGTGGTGCAATCTTGGCTCACTGCAACCTCTGCCTCCCAGGTTCAAGCAATTCTCCTGCCTCAGCCTCCTGAGTAGCTGGAATTACAGGCGTCCACCATCATGCCGACTAATTTTTGTATTAGTAGAGACGGGGTTTCACCGTGCTGGGCAGGCCGGTCTTGAACTCTTGACCTCAGGTGATCCACCCACCTCGGCCTACCAAAGTGCTGGGATTACAGGTGTGAGCCACTACCCTCTGTCAAAAAGAGGACTTTGAATGTAATACTTTCTTTTTTTTAATTGTTTTTGAGACAGAGTCTCGCTCTGGTGCCCAGGCTGGAGTGCAGTGGCGCAGTCTCGGCTCACTGCAAGCTCTGCCTCCCGGGTTCATGCCATTTTCGTCCCTCAGCCTCCCGGAATGTCACACTTCTAAGGCATAGCAGTGTTGATTATTTTGTTATTGAATTAGATGACAAAGAATCATATTTATAATAGAATGACACTGTAGTTAGGCTAAAAAATACAATATGCATCATCATAACCAGACTAAGCACTTATCACAATCTTCCTAACTTACAGAAAGGCAATGGTCTAGAAAATTAGATAATTTAAAAAAGAATATTTTAATATAGCTGAATTTGTTCACAAAAATGAACAATAAAAATGATGCTGTGGCCGGGCGTGGTTGCTCACACCTGTAATCCAGCACTTTGGGAGGTGGGTGGACTACTTGAGGTCAGGAGTTCAGGACCAGCCTGGCCAACCTGGCAAAACCCTGTCTCTACTAAAAAACATAAAAATTAGCTGGATGTGATGACAGGTGCCTGTAATCCCAGCTACTTGGGAGGCTGAGACAGGAGAATTGCTTGAACCTGGGAGGCGGAGGGTGCAGTGAGCCACGATTACACCGTTGCACTCCAGCCTTGGTGACAAAAGTGAAACTCCATCTCAAAAAAAAAAAAAAAAAAATTGCTGCAAGGAAAGTGATTTTCCATGAGGCTCATTTGTTAACCAAGCAAGGAGAGCTATTTATTGATGGTAAGTTAATTACATCATGTTTGATTAGCAGCCAAAGGAATGTGTCCAGAGAAAATAAACCCTGGACTCTGTCCAGAGGAAATAAGACTATTAGCCTTTCAGCAAGAATAGTTGCTCGAATAGTTGCTCAAATAGTTGGGGAATTTGGGATAAATAGCAGTATCAAAAACAAAGTAAGTGATTTCTGTTGGTTCTTAATGAGTTGACAGATGTTACTAATGCTTCTCAGTTGTTATTTAAGGAGTCAATGCTGAGTTTAAAATGATGAAAGATTAGGCCGGGCATGGTGGCTCATGCCTGTAGTCCCAGAACTTTGGGAGGCCGAGGCGGGCAGATCACGAGGTCACAAGATTGAGACCATCCTGGCAAATATGGTGAAACCCCATCTCTACTAAAAATACAAAAAATTAGCTGGGCATGGTGGCGGGTGCCTGTAGTCCCAGCTACTCGGGAGGCTGAGGCAGGAGAATGGCGTGAACCCGAGAGGTGGAACTTGCAGTGAGCCCAGATTGCGCCACTGCACTCCAGCCTGGGTGACAGAGTGAGACTGACTCTCAAAAATAAATAAATACATAAATAAATAAATAATAAAAAAATGAAAGATTAGGCTCGATGAATAGTCTACTGAGAACACTTCTGATGAGAATAGGGTCACAGAAAACACCAAGTACAACATCAAGTGGAATCTGATAAAATGGGTTACAGCTGATGATGGTAAAATATGTATGGAGCAGAAAAAGTCTTGGACAAATTTACAAAGCTTGTGAAAATGCAAAGTGTGTAAAGCCTATGGTTATTTATTTTGTCATCAGCAGGCACTATGCAGAAAATATTTGAATATATCGTATATTATTGAATCAGTAGTTTCAATGTTAACTCTCTTCGCTCTTGGTGGACTTTACCATTGTCCCTTCTGTAAAATATTGTCAGATATAAAAGTGAATGTCCTGACTTGTTTTCAGTGGCTTAACAGTGGTAAAGCTCTATGGTCAAGATTAAATTAATCTGAATGAGAAGAACTCCCTTCAATACTACATGGCTTTGGAAATTAATGTTTGTTCCAGACTCGACAATATTTTTAAGTAAACCTAAAATTTCAAGGCAAAACATTACTCGTTTATGAAGTTTACATTGCTGGAAAGTCATTTTGACAATAACATGTTATTTGGATCACAAATAATGCCAAGCTACTTATAGACTTGAAGTGATGTAAAAAGTTAAAGCAAGAAGTAAGACCTTTATTCTTACACAATTTTGTAGTGGGTATAATTTCTAAGCTTAAACTACAGTTTTATCCTCAATGCAAGTATGGATTGAAATTTCCATACTTCAAAATGTATTAAACTGTGGAATTGAGAGCTTCTACCTAGCTTTCAACTAGAAGTGATACATTTGCAGTGTAGCAATGTAGCAGCATGCTAAAACTATCAAGAGAAGAATCTAATAGAATCCTAAAATATCCTTGTGATGAATATTCTCCATTAAAATCATATGTTCGTGGATTTATGTCAGTACTTGGTCATTCCTATTTATGTGAAAAGACATTTTCAAGATGATGAAATTTCAAAGATGAAATACTCCAAATCTAATTACAGATAAACACAAACAAATGATCATTTTTTTGTTGTTGCTGTTTTTTCCGCTTTTTCTTTTTGAGTTGGAGTCTTGCTCTGTCGCTCAGGCTGTAGTGCAGTGGCACAACCTTGGCTCATTGCAAGCTCCGCCTCCCAGGTTCACGCCATTCTCCTGCCTCAGCCTCCTGAGTAGCTGGGACTTTAGGCGCCCGCCACCACACCTGGCTAATTTTTTTGTATTTTTAGTAGAGATGGGTCTTCACCATGTTAGGCAGGATGGTCTTGATCTCCTGACCTCGTGATACACACGACTGGGCCTCCCAAAGTGCTGGGATTACAGGCGTGAGCCACCATGCCCGGCCACCAACTCCTTGTTAAATATAGTAAGGATATGAGAGAAATGGGCCAGATTTATTTGGCTTATTATTCTTGCAATGGAAAACTACTCTATCAGGTTAATCAGTTGACCATGACTTAGTCACTTATTGCTATAACATTAACAAACATTGATATCAGAGCAGGCTGGCCTGGTTAGGAAAATGCGTGTTCTGAATCAGAATTCAGGCAGAGGGTCAGCAAATGGGAAGTCTGTAGGAAAGATAGAACAATAACTGGACAACCAGGGTCAGAGATCCCAGTACCGGAGCCAGGCCACAGTGAACCGGAGATCCCAGCACAGATGGCAGTTTGGTTTTGGGCCAACACTTTGCCTATTGAGCTGGCACTTGGCTTCATGAAGGGAGCTGGGCAAGACATGAAAAGTTTGGGTTCAGTGTTGGAAGATAGGATCATTAACTTGAGTGGAGGATGGTAATTGAAAATTAAGGGGTGCAGCCAGGCACAGTGGCTCATGCTTGTAATCCCAGCACTTTGGGAGGCCCAGGCAGGTGGATCACGAGGTCAGGAGTTCGAGACCAGCCTGACCAACACGGTGAAACCCTGTCTCTACTAAAAATACAAAAATTAGCTGGGTGTGGTGGCGGGCACCTGTAACCCCAGCTACTTGGGAGGCTGAGGCACGAGAATCACTTGAACCCAGGAGGCAGAGCTTACAGTGAGTCGAGATTGTGCCACTGCCCTCCAGCCTGGATGACAGAGCGAGACTCCATCTCAAAAAAAAAGAAAAAAAAAAGAAAATTAAGAGGTGGTAGAAGGGAGAAGGGGCTGTGGGTAGAGCAGCTGACCCTGGAGGAGGAGATTATGCATCTGTTGTACCTATTATAAGTCAAACTCTAGCACCAGCCTACAGAAAGACGACCTAACAAGAATCCTGCAGTCTAATTAGATGGGTAATTTAGTTCAATAACCAGAAAATCAGAATTTCTCTCTCTCTCTGTTCCTATTTTCTGTAGGATAAGGGGAAAATTAGGACCAGGTTTTAGAAAACCGATGGCTTTCTATCATATATCATTCAATGTCATTCAGTTCTTAATCTATTACACACTATGTATGTTTTGAGCATATTTGCTGGGCTCAGCCCAGGCTCATTGACCTGGGTCAGACTCCTTTGCGGCCAGAATCTGCCATGGAGGTCAGGTCCTGGGATGAGGGAAAGAGCTACCTGCTGTACAAGACTCAGAGGACGAGGAATGCTGTGTGGACAAGAACCCTGACACTGAGTAGTAGCAACGAGGCATCAATCCACAAGTCAGGGCAGGCAGAGATCAGAGATACCAGGCAGGCATCAAATAAGACATAAATGCGGAGAAAGCACAGTGGAAATGGTTAAAAGTGGCATGGCTGGGTGGGAGGTCCAGGGAAAATAAGGAGCTACTATGGTACCTAGAGGGTGTGTTGGGAGCTCGTTTTCTTAGCCTTAGACTCATGTCATAACAGCCCAGGATTCTTTTTGTTACAACTTATTGTGTTATAGGAAAGAAAAGCAACATTAATAACATTCGCCTCTCATATGGAAAGATAGAAAGAAAGGACCATTTGGCTGGGCGCGGTGGTTCATGCCTGTAATCCCAGCACTATCCCAGCACTATGGGAGGCCAAGGCAGGCAGATCACGAGTTCAGGAGATCGAGACCATCCTGGCTAACATGGTGAAACCCTGACTCTACTAAAAGTGCAAAAAATTAGCAGGGTTTGGTGGCAGGCGCCTGTAGTCCCAGCTACTTGGGAGGCTGAGGCAGGTTAGAATGACATGAACCTGGGAGGCGGAGCTTGCAGTGAGCCAAGATCGCGCCACTGCACTCCAGCTGGGGTGACAGAGGAAGACTCTGTCTCAAAAAAAAAAAAAAAAAAAAGAAAGAAAAAGAAAATGGACCATTTGTAGTTCCTGGTTTTTTTGGTAAGAAAATAGAAGGGCACATATGCCCTCAAAAAATTCAGTGGGTTTATCTTTTAGGAACATTTAAATCTTCCAGCCAATTGCCCTATTTCTTTTCTTTCTTTTTTTTTTTTTTTGAGATGGAATCTTGCTCTGTCACCAGACTAGAGTGCAGTGACATGATCTCGGCTCACTGCAACCTCCAACTCCCTGGTTCAAGCGATTCTCCTGCCTCAGCTTCCCAAGTAGCTGGGATTACAGGTGTGTGCCACCATGCCCAGGTAATTTTTGTATTTTTAGTAGAGACAGGGTTTCACCATGTTGGCCAGGAGGGTCTCGATCTCCTGAACTTGTGATATGCCCACCTTGGCCTCCCAAAGTGCTGGGATTACAGGCGTGAGCCACCACACCTGGCCCAATTGCCCCATATTCTTTCCCAGAAAATAACGTGTCCAATTCCTATGCATCGCTTAGGAATGGGCCAACTTTTCTGGAAGGAACTTGGCAACATGTGACCAAAGCATTAAAAAAGAGCATGTCACCCTATAGATGATATTTCTCTTCGTGGACTAAGTGTGGTAGCAGTAATGCTACTATCAAACCAAAGAAATAAGAACTCTATACTCATTTTCAACTCCATTTTGTCCTCTATGAGAAGCTTTTATGAAGGAAAATAGGCTCCGTGCCCCACCCACATGCCACCCGAACAGGGGAGCTATCAAAGCGATGCAGGAGTTTTTTGCTCCTTAGTTCATGTAAAATCCAGGTTCTTGCCACACAACCAGGAAAAATTAGGCACACGAATACACTCAAAGGTGAGGAGAGCGGGATTTATTAAAAGAAAGCTGTCGGCAAACAAAAAGGGGGTTCTGCCAACAGGCTCCCACCTCACAGATTGAATACCAGGCCACCAAAACACACACAGACACACACAGATGCACATACGTGAGCTGAAGAGGCCAGGCTCCTCCCCTCTGCATAAGGCGCAAATCCCAGTGGCTCCACCCCATTCTCCCAGTGCACAGGCGGGCCTCCAGTACATTGTGGGCAAGCCCAGACAAGGCCCTGGGAAGGTTCCTTCATGTTTACAAAAGCATCTGATGTAAACACTTGTGGGGAGGGTCAGAGATTCTCCAGGGAGCCTGCCTTATCTGCCTCCTGCATCTATCAAAGGGAGGTGCTGCTGTGAGAAATGTGCCCTTTCCAGGTCTCTATTATGCACCTTGCAATAAGCCAACTAACAGTATTAATGAGATGCCCTACATGTGGCTTAAGGGAGAAAAGATTTTGCATATTTCTTTTGAAGGAATACCAACCTCATATGTCATATCAAAGCCCCCATTTTTAAGCTAATGTCACATGGAATATTAAAAATGTTACTTGGTTGACCGTCCCCCTGCCCTGCACTGATATACTCTTCAAAAGGTGTGAACTGCAGGCCAGGTTTATTGTGCTCCATAGAAACTGCATGGACAGTTGTCCACAGGTCTGGGCAGGTCCTCTGTGTAATCATTCCAATGTGCTAGCTTGTATTTATCCTCTGATAGCACTTACCACTCTTCATTATAATTGCTTTTTTAACTGGTTTGTCTTCAAAATGGACTGTTGAACTTCCATTATAGTGTAAGGGACAGTAGGCACTTAAACAACAGTTATTGACTGACTGAGACCACTCTGTTCTGCATACTATTCAAAATGTGTGTTCCCTTCTATTTGCCTTGAGCCAAAAACCCAGTTGTTCAAGATTGAATTTTTTTTTATTATGGTAAAATAAATGGGACATAAAATTTATCCCTTTCACCATTTTGAAGTGTATAGTTCAGTGGCATTAAGCACAGTTTCATCTTCCCCTTTGAACACTAACTCCTCACTTTTTTTTTTTTTTTTGGAGACCGAGTCTTGTTCTGTCACCCAGGCCAGAGTGCAGTGGCGCCATCTCAGCTCACTGCAAGCTCTGCCTCTCGGGTTCACACCATTCTCCTGCCTCAGCCTCCCGAGTACCTGGGACTACAGGCACCTGCCGTCATGCCTGGCTAATTTTTTATATTTTTAGTAGAGAGGGGGTTTCACCGTGTTAGCCAGGATGGTCTCGATCTCCTGACCTCGTGATTCGCCTGCCTCTGCCTCCCAAAGTGCTGGGATTACAGGCGTGAGCCACCGTGCCCGGCCACTCCTCGGTCTTGTTTGTGACTGTCTTTTTTCACTTAGTGTAATGTCTTCAAGGTTCATCGAGGTGGTAACGTGTCAGAATTGCTTTCCTTTTTTAAGGCTGGATAATATTCCATTGTATGAATAGATCACATTTTGTTTATCCATTCATCCAAATATAAGACAGCTGGGTTGCTTCTACCTTTTGGCTATTGAGAACAATGCTGCTAGTAAGCTGGGTGAACAAGTATCTGTTTGAGTCTCTCCTGTCGATTCTTTTGGGCACCTACTTAGAAATAGAGTTGCCAGGTCATATGGTAGCTCAGTGTTGGATTTTTTGAGAAACCATCATATTGTTTTCCACAGAAGCTGCTCCATTTTGCATTTCCACCAGCAGTTCATGAGGGTTTCAGTTTCTCCACATCTCACAAACACTTGATATTTTTTGGTCTTGCTTTTTGATGATAGCCATCCTAATGGGTGTGAAGTGGTATCTCATTGTTGAAGTCTCTTAAAGAGTGTCTTATGTGTATCTTTGTGAGTGTGAGAAGGATGAATTCCTGACCTGATACCTGTGAACTCATGTACGGATTAGGAGACAGGAATAGGAGCAGGATGAAGGGTGGAGGAGGTATAGGGAGTCAGAGGAGGGTCAGGCAAGTAGAACTCGAAGGAAGTGGGTGATCAGAGCCGACCTCCTGGACTGCCCAGGTGTGCCTCGGTCTGGCTTTTGAATCCACTCCACTGTACACAAGTGGGAGACAGATCAAATTAAACTATAAATCACAGTGTTTAGTGGCTACTCTAGTCACGATAGCTGTTTCCAAAGAGCAAAGCTACATAAAGCGCCTGTATGTTGGCTGCATGCTATACTGTAAGCATTTTTTAAAGATTAAAATGATAAGATTTTGTTTTGTGATCCAATCTAAAAATCTGTCTCTTATAATAGTCCCCTTGCATTTTTTAATATGAAAGTGATATTTGATCTTGGTTGTATCATATTATTTAACACTTTGCATTGTTTTTATGTTTACAAATATTAAGATGATTTGGCAGTTTCATACAAAACTAAACATATTCTTAGCATGTGATCCAGCAATTGTGCTCCTTGGTATTTACCCAAAGGAAATGAAAACTGATATCCACACAAACACTTTCACACGGATGTTTACGGCAGCTTTATTCATAGTTGCCAAAGCTTGGAATCATTCAAGATGTCCGTCAATAAGTCACTGGATATATATACACACTGTGGCATATCCAGACAATGGACTATTAGCACTAAAAGAGATGAACTATCCACTGGGAGTGGTGGTTCATGCCTGTAATCCCAGCACTTTGGGAGGCCGAGGTGGGTGGATCATGAGGTCAAGAGATAGAGACCATCCTGGCCAACCAACATGGTGAAATGCCGTCTCTACTAAAAATACAAAAATTAGCTGGGCCTAGTGGCACACGCCTGTAGTCCCAGCTACTCGGGAGTCTGAGGCAGGGGAATTGCTTGAACCCAGGAGGCGGATGTTGCAGTGAGCCGAGATCGCGCCACTGAAATTCAGCCCAGGCGACAGAGCGAGACTCTGTCTGTCACACACACACACACACACACACACACACACACACACACACACAAAAGAACTATCAAGCCATGAAAAGACTTGGAGGAGTAAACTTAAATGCAGGTTACTAAGTGAAAGAAGCCAATTTGAAAAGGCTACATCCTGTATGGTTTCAACTCAAGACATTCTGGAAAAGGCAAAGCTATAGAGACAGGAAAAAGACCAGTGGGTTGCCCGGGCTTAGTGGGGAGGGAGGGACAAACAGTCAGAACACAGAGGATTTTGGGGGGAAATGAAACTGCTTTGTATGATGCTATAATGGTGTATACACATCATCATACATCTGTCCAAACCCACGGAATGTGCAATACCAAGAGTGACCCAAATGTAAACTATGGGATCTGACTGATAATGACGTTTCAATGTAGTTTCATCGACTGTAACAAACATAGCACTCTGTGTAGGGATTTTGATGGGGGAGGCTGTGAGCATGTGGGGTCAAGTATATAGGAATTCTGTACTTTCCATTCAATTTTGCTGTGGATCTAAAATTGCTCTAAAAAATGAAATATATTAAAAATATAGTATTGGCCAGATGTAGTGGCTCACGCCTGTAATTCCAGTACTTTGGGAGGCTGAGGCAGGCCGATCATGAGATCAGGAGTTTGAGTCCAGCCTGACCAACATGGTGAAACCCTGTCTCTACTAAAAATACAAAATTTAGCTGGGTGTGGTGGCGCACACCTGTGATCCCAGCTACTCAGGAGGTTGAGGCAGGAAAATTGCTTGAATCTGGGAGGCAGAGGTTGCAGTGAGCTGAGATCACGCCACTGCACTCCAGCCTGGGTGACAGAGCAAGAGTCTGTTTAAAAAAAAAAAAAAAGAAAAAGAAAAAGAAAAAATATATATATAGTGTTAACTGTGAACTCTTTGCTTTGTTTCTTTTCTTAATTTTTGGGTAATTAGTAAAGTTCGTATTTTTATTTTAGGGTTACTTTTATATAATCATATAATTATCTCAGAACTCTATTTCTTTAAAGAATATCTATTAGTTTCTAAGAAGAATCATAAAATTAGCTTGTTTTTTTCCCCATTTCCATTCCTCAACCACCTATTTTACATTTATTAATATTATTATTCATCATATTGTCTTAATACTATAATGGATGTTTAGAATTTACTTACTTTTTTAGCTCTAAGCTGTATTTTAGAACTGGCTATTTTGGATTAAGCATTCAATGAATTTATCCTAATTTCCATGCTTTCTTCTCACTTTCCTGCCACATTTCTACTAAACGAATCTTTTCTGCACTGTCAGGGAATATAACATGCATGTTACAGTCTACTACTTTAAACTTTAGAGTTGTTTATGTTTTAGTTCTATATAGTCAGCCATTTTTTTTTTCTGTTATTTCCCTAAGTTGGTTGGCTGAGATTCATCCTTTATTAATCTCCTCAGGAAGACTCATGGGAACAATGTTCCTTGAGTTCTTGTATGTTTATTTACTGTTAGTTATTTTTATACTTGAAAGATGAATTCTGGCGGTCACAGAGACAAACATGACTCATGTGTGTTATCCCTGCTGTTGGTTTCACTGAACCACACAGGACACCCCGCCCCTACCATTTCCACGCCCACTGTTGCAAATCGAGGGTAGGTTGCTGCAAATAAGGGATATAGTTGTTGCCTTTTGTTTTTC
Source organism: Homo sapiens (assembly GCF_000001405.40). NCBI lineage: Eukaryota > Metazoa > Chordata > Mammalia > Primates > Hominidae > Homo > Homo sapiens. The sequence continues at coordinate 6,334,824 of NC_000008.11, read as the reverse complement.
CCTCACCCCCAGGGAGCATGTTTTTGCTGGCGTTTTACAAGATTAACTTCCACTGTGTTTTGTTGTCTTCAATTCCTCTTGAGTGACTTTTGCCCCATTTCAGTGGCTTTTGGAAGCTTCTGTAGATAATTTGTAGTCTGTGGGTTATATCTGTCTCCTGGTTTCGCTAAAAAAATGGGGTTTATAAAAGTGGCTTTGGTTCTCCTTGCTGCTTCTTTATGATTTCCAGGAGGAGAAGGGGAGTATGCTGACTCCTAAAGCTTTGTTTGCAATGACATTAAGTGGTAACTATATAACTTTTTTTTTGTTGAACTTTTGGATATTTGCTTCTGATTTTATTGCTTAATGGTCAACGAACATGGTCAGGATGACATTGACTCAATTACATTGGTCGAAAATTCATGAACAACTTAAGAATGTGATCAATTTTTGTAATTGTTCCCTGTATAATGTACTTGAAAGGAAAATTCATTTATAATTATTGGGTGCAGGGTTCTATATATGCTCATTAGATTAGGCTTGTTTATTGTTTTGTTTATACTTTTTGAATCTTTTTTTTTCTGCTGGTTATATCACTTGGTAAGAGACATATATTAAACTCTTCAGTATGACTGTAGATTTGACCATTTTTCCTTGGAATGTTTTCAAAAACAATTCCATGTTTTGAGGCTATATTGTTAAGGCCACACGAGTTCACATAAGTTGTGATCATCTTTGTGGTGAATTGATCCCTTCCTCCTTATACAGCTCGCTTTAATCCTTCTGTGTTTGGAATTGGTTCCTTCTGGTGGGTTCTTGGTCTCACTGACTTCAAGAATGAAGCCACAGACCCTCACAGAGAGTGTTACAGTTGTTAAAGATGGTGTGTCCAGAGTTTGTACCTTCAGATGTTCAGATGTGTCCAGAGTTTCTTCTTTTTGGTGGGTTCATGATCTCAGTGACTTCATGAGTGAAGCCACAAACCTTCGCAATGAGTGTTACAGCTCTTAAAGGTGGTGCGTCCGGAGTTGTTTGTTCCTCCCGGTGGGTTCGTGGTCTCACTGATGTCAGGAATGGAGCTGCAGACTTTCCTGGTGAGTGTTACAGCTCATAAAGGTAGTGCGGACCCAAAAAGTGAGCAGCAGCAAGATTTATCGCGAACAGTGAAAGAACAAAGCTTCCACAAAGTCGAAGAGGACTGACGGGGTTGCTGCTGCTGCCTCAGGTGGCCAGCTTTTATTTCCTTATTTGGCCTCGCCCACATCCTGCTGATTGGTCCATTTTACAGAGTGCTGATTGGTCCATTTTTACAGAGTGCATATTGGTGCGTTTACAAACCTAAGCTAGACACAGAGTGCTGATTCGTGCAATTTTACAGAGTACTGATTGGTGCTTTTACAAACCTTTAGCTAGACAGAAAAGTTCTCCAAGTCCCCACTGGACCCAGGAAGTCCAGCTGGCTTCACCTCTCAGTAGGCTATTAGTAGTTATGTTTTGGGGGAGTCAAAAGTTATAAGTGCATTTTTGACTGCCCAAGGGATTGGTACCCCTAACCCTCCATGTTGTTCAAGGGTCAACTGGTCTTGGTGGCTCATGCATGTAATCCTGTAATCCCAGCACTTAGGGATGCAAAGGCAGAAGGATCTCTTGAGCCTAGGAGTTTGAGACCAGCCTGAGCAACATATTGAGACCCCTTTCTTTACGGGCGCACACACACACACACACACACACACACACACACACACGACTTAAGAATATTTAACTCTGATTAGGCTGGTCGCAGTGGCTTGTGCCTGTAATCCCAGAACTTTGGAAGGCCAAGGTGGGCGGATCACGAGGTCAAGAAATCCAGACCATCCTGGCCAACATGATGAAACCCCGTCTCTACTAAAAATACAAAAATTACCTGGGCATGGTGGCACGCACCTGTAATCCCAGCTAGTCGGGAGTCTGAGGCAGGAGAATCGCTTGAACCCAGGAGGCGGACCTTGCAGTGAGCCGAGATGGTGCCACTGCACTCCAGCCTGGGCGACAGAGTGAGACTCAGTCTCAAAAAAAAAAAAAAAAAAAAAAAGAATATGTATCTCTGATTAATAACTTCCTTCCTTACGTAGTATTTTCTTCAATATTTAGTTCCAACGTGTTTTTAATTTCCCCCAATTTATTATTATTACTTTTTGAGATGGAGTCTCACTCTGTCGCCAGGCTGGAGTGCCGCGGTGCGACCTCGGCTCACTGCGTGGGCAACAAGAGTAAAACTCCGTCTCAAAAAAAAAAAAAAAAAGTTTGTTAAGCAAGGATCTGTGAGTTGCAGATAGTCTCTGATGTGTCTTTATTTTCCCTTCACTCTTTGATGATAGTAACTGGGTGTCAACTTTTAGGCAGTTGCTTATTGTCTCTTAGCCTTTTATTGATTGGTTATTTTCTGATGTTTGTTAATCTTTGTTCTTTGCAGATGTTCTACATTTTCCTTTCCAGTTGTTTTAAATATATTCTGTTTGCATTTCCTGTACTAAAATTTCACAGTGAAGTTACTCAATGAATACTTATTTTTACCTCTTGGGATGCATATTAGCTATCTGTTGCTGTGTAACAAATTACCCCAAAATTTAGTGGCTTAAAACAACAAACATTTATTAGTTAGCTGTTTTTGTGGGTCAGGAATCCAGTCATGGCAAGCAGAGCTGTCACACCCTCCTCAGGGAGTTGGAGCGCTTCACCATCCTGGCACATCCATGTGTGCACTGACCAGGAGGAAGCTGCGCTGAGTTGGTGTTCAAAGACTTTACTGGGGCTTCATTGACTCAGTAAATCACTGGCTGCCCGATTGAACTTAATCTCCAGCCTCTTCCCGGAGGTCCGGCAGCTGAAAGTCCCAACCCTATATCTACCTGCTTGGTCTTCCTGGTGATAGCCCCATCATGAAGGGGGCCTAGGCTGAGTCACCTCATTAGCTTAACAAAGGCACTTGTACTGCTCAGAAAATTCCAAAGGTTATTGAAGCTCTGTGTCAAGAACTGGGGACAATAGTAGCTCTTTTGGAGGATATTCTTCGGATTCTCATTTTAGATTTCTTCCCATTCCCTCTCTTCTTCATGACCCAACAGAAGCCAGAGTTTATTTCGATCTGGAAGATGCACCAACTGTCTCTTCCTTCTTTAGGTGGCCAACTAGAAAACAAAAGGGATTTCAATGAAAAGAAGCCCACAGGAGGCCATTTATTTTTATTTATTTTTCCTCTAGTTCAGAAGAAAGTTTTGTTTTGTTTTGTTTTGTTTTTTGACTATTCATAGGATAGGAAACCAGAGAGTATGGGGGCCAACCAGAGAATCTTAATAGTGTTCATTTGCCTGGACTCGCTCTTTGCAGATGTACCCATTGGGAGCCAGCAGAGGGGGCTGCAGGTGTGGTGTTTGACCAGGGAAGACTCTGGGGCTCAGGATTCTGCCACACACCATGAGGATGTACACACAGTTGGAGGCACTTATTTATTTGTCTTCCCTCATGTTCTTACTTCCTTCCAAGCAGCTTCATTTGTACACAGATTGGTCTGTCTTTCCCCATTTCCATCGTATATAATTTTCCCGTCCCAGTTCTTGCCTTGGTCAGATTGTTTCTCTCCTCAGTGCTTCTTTCTCTGATCTTTTACAGTTCCAAGTGAAAGTGCATGTATTTATGTGGAGTGAATAATGTATGAATCCATTCTTTTCAATGCATGAAATTGTACTCCTTGTAATGTCACTCATTAATCTTTATGGCAAAACCAGTGGGAGAAGGTCAATATGGTTAAAGATAATTAGCGATTGATTAGCAACTGAGAAGCTAAATAAAAAAACACATTTCCCTCTCAATGACTTGAGTTGATAAAAACAAGAATTCTTGTTTGAGACAAGTCGTAGTATTCAGGACTGTGATGGAGAAAAATTTTTGCATTAAAATGGGCATAAATCAAGGCAAACATTTATTTGGGAAAAGAGACAGGAACCATTCCCAAGTTTTCATTATAATTAATTTTGTTAAAGAATATCCGTCACCAGAAATCTAAAATCCTTATAAATATTTAATGGCAAAAATTGGAAATGCTGATATTGCAAGACCAATTCAACGTACTGTTTACCCTTCCAATGTATTCAGTATTTTAAAGGAGGCTGTTTGTCTTCCTGACCTTTTTCAGTAGACTCACAAAAAGCCTGCTCACAAAAAGCAATTCAGGCATGTGCAACTGAATGATGATAAGACTGCTGGGGACTGAAATGTAGAGACCATCTTCCCCGGTGTGGCAAGAGCTTGCATGCAGAAACTGTGTGTTATTCATTTTGGTTTTTCTAGGGCCTTACACACATCTGAACATTGAAGATGCCCAGTAAGTCCTCACTGAAAAGAAAACGGTACAGAGATTGTTGGTAGATGTAGATGGCTTAGCCTTAGACTCATTTTCTTTGTTTGTACTTTCTGTTCTTCCCACTACTTGCAATCTATGATTCTTCCCACTCTCCTTCTTTCCTGTTGCACTAGTAGTTTGGAGGGACCTACAATAGTTTCTCCTGCCAATAGAGTAAGAAAGGAAGGAGGGTCGACTTGGCACAGTGGCTCACACCTGTAATCCCAGCGCTTTGGGAGGCCAAGGTGGGCGGATCACAAGGTCAGGAGATCGAGACCATCCTGGCTAACAAGGTGAAACCCCGTCTCTACTAAAAATACAAAAAATTAGCCGGGCGCGGTGGCGGGCGCCTGTAGTCCCAGCTACTCGGGAGGCTGAGGCAGGAGAATGGCGTGAACCCGGGAGGCGGAGCTTGCAGTGAGCCGAGATTGCGCCATTGCAGTCCGCAGTCCGGCCTGGGCAACAGAGCGAGACTCCGTCTCAAAAAAAAAAAAAAAAAAAAAAAAGAGAAATATGTAGGCGAAAAGGAAAATATTTGAATTTCAGGCTTCTTTCCTCCCACAAACTTCTCCCCATTCTCTGCCAAGACCTGACAGTAATTTCTTAAGGTGGAGCACCCTTAAGTGAACAAATACTTATTAAAGATTTTTTTGTGAATCCCCTTATTACACCTAATTACGGAGTATTTTATGATAATTTATTTGGAAACCCAGGCTCCATTTCCCGTTTGCCTTCTATAAAGTCCAATGGCATCATTGTGATATTAAAACCATGCAGTTTTTTTTTTTTTTTTTTGAGACAGAGTTGCGCTCTTGTTGCCTAGGCTGGAGTGCAATGGTCTGATCTCAGCTCACTGCAACCTCCACCTCCCAGGTTCAAGCGATTTTCCTGCCTCAGCCTCCCGAGTAGCTGGGATTACAGGCACCCACAACTAGGCCTGGCTAATTTTTGTATTTTTAGTAGAGACGGAGTTTCACCATGTTGGCCAGGCTGGTCTTGAACTCCTCACCTCAGGTGATCTACCTGCCTCAGCCTCCCAAAGTGCTGGGATTATAGGAGTGAGCCACTGCGCCTGGCCATGATTGGTATATCTAACCAAAAATAAGCTCATGAACAATTAACCTATTCAGCAGAGGAAAATGATCATTGACAGTCATTGGCTTGGTAATAAATATATATATATATTTTTTTTCTTAACTTCTCAGTAAGAGTCTCTGGCCGGGTTCCTAAACTTGAAGGCCTAAGGATAAGAAATGACTGATTACTGGCCAGGCACAGTAGCTTACGCCCGTAATCCCAGCACTTTGGGAGGCCAAGCTGGGCAGATCAATTGAGGCCAGGTGTTTGAGACCAGCCTGGCCAACACCGTGAAACCCCATTTCTATTAAAAATGCAAAAATTGGTCAGGCGCTGTGGCTCACGCCTGTAATCCTAGCACTTTGGGAGGCCAAGCTGGGCAGATCAATTGAGGCCAGGTGTTTGAGACCAGCCTGGCCAACACCGTGAAACCCCATTTCTATTAAAAATGCAAAAATTGGTCAGGCGCTGTGGCTCACGCCTGTAATCCTAGCACTTTGGGAGGCCAAGGCGGGAGGATCATGAGGTCAGGAGTTTGAGACCAGCCTGGCCAACATAGTGAAACCCTGTCTCTACTAAAAAATACAAAAAATTTGCTGGGTGTGGTGGCGAGCGCCTGTAATCCCAGCTACTCGGGAGGCTGAGGCAGGAGAACTGCTTGAACCCGAGAGGCAGAGGTTGCAGTGAGCTGAGACTGCGCGATTGCACCCCAGCCTGCGCAACAGTGCGAGACTGCATCTTAAAAAAAAAAAAAAATCCAAAAATTAGCCAGTCAAGGTGGTGGGCGCCAGTAATCCAAGCTACTCAGGAGGCTGAGGCATGAGAATCGCTTGAACCCAGGAGGCAGAGGTTTCAGTGAGCCGAGTTCATGTCAGTGCACTCCAGCCTGGACAACAGCATGACTCCGTCTCAAAAACAAAAAACAAAAAACAAAAAAACACACACACACTAAAAGGAGGCCAGGCACGGTGACTCACAGCTGTAATCCCAGCACTTTGGGAGGCCAAGGCGGGAGGATCACAAGGTCAGGAGTTTCAGACCAGCCTGGCCAATATGGTGAAACCCCGTCTCCACTAAAAATACAAAAAATTAGCCGGGCGTGGTGGCAGGCGCCTGTAGTCCCAGCTACTCGGAGGCTGAGGCAAGAGAATGGCGTGAACTCGGGAGGCGGAGCTTGCAGTGAGTGGAGATTGCGGCACTGCACTGCAGCCTGGGCGACAGAGCGAGACTCCGTCTCAAAAAAAAAAAAAAAAATAGATACACTAATGACAACTTTCAGGAGATTCTGTTGGGAAGGGTGCTGGAATCCACTGATGGGGTGACGTCAAATGAGAGGGAGATGGGACCCGGTACAGATGCAGCTAGGGGGAGCAATTTGGTTATGATGTGACTCCTGAATCAGTAGGCTGAACACACATTCAAAGGCCATAGGGGCTTACTTATTATGGGCTGTGTCCCTTTCCAAGGGGTTCTGATGTGGTGGGTTTGGTGCAATAGCACAGTTCTGAAGGCATTGATCAATGCTCACTGTCATTGATGTTCCAGCTCTCGCCAACCCCTTGTCCCTCAGCTATATTCTTTGCTGGTTCTCCAGAGTTCACTGCTACGGTTGTGTGCGTGCTGCCAGGCGTGGGAGTGCTGTCATAGTTAATTTTATGTGTCAGTTTGACTGGGCTAAGAGATGCCCAGGGGGTTGGTAAATCATGATTTCTGGGTGTGTCTGTGCTGGTGTTTCTGGACGAGATTAGCGTTTGAATCTGTAGACTGAGTAAGGTGGATGTCCCCTCACCAATATGCGTGGGCATCACCCAGTCTGTTGAAGGCTGAGATGGAATAAACAGATGGGGGAAGGGTGAGCTTGCTCTCTTTGCTTGAGCTGCGACATCTGTCTTCTGCTGCCCTTGGGCATGAGAGCTTCTGGCTCTTGAGCCTTTTTACTCAGACTGGGACGTACACCCTTGGCTGTCCTGGTTCTCAGGCCTTTGAGCTTGGATTGGAACTACACCACCTGAGTTTGTGGTCCTCGCCCTTGCAGATGGAAGGCTGTGGGACTTCTCACCTTCCATTATCATGTGAGTCAATCTCTAATAATAAATGTCTTTTCATATATCTGTATGGATTCTATGGATTTTGTGTCCCTGGAGAATCCTAACACAAGTACCCTAGCAACATCTTGTTGGTTTAAAATTTGTGATACTTGGGTCGAGGAGGCTCTAGGTATTTTCTGGGAGTTCTAAGTACATCAAGCCACTGTTAATGATGGGTGTAATGGACTAGAATGAACTAAGTTGATAACAGGGCTTCTATACCAATTCATTGTAAATAAGAGAAGTGAGAGAGAAGCTCTGTATCAGATCTCAGCAGATCTGATGGAAAGAGGAGAAGGCTGCTGCTGTGGAGGCATCTCAGTGCTCAGGGCTTGCTCCTACAGCTTACCAGTGGCTAATGTCACCAGGGCCACTTCTAGATACTCTCTTCCGATGAGGATGAGTCTGCTCACATATGCCAGCTTCCACCTGGGGGACCTGGAACAAGAAACGCTGAGTCTACACACAGCGGTCATCATGCCCATGGCAAATGACAGCCCCAGGAGAAAACCAGGAGATGTAAACATTGTCCCCTGACTTCAGAATGAACTCATTCTGCATTGTCAGGTAAGGGAGCTCCTTTAGAGCAAGACTTCACTGGCTTTCCTTCTGAAATAAAACAAATCTAAACATGGGAAACGGATCATGCTATGCTTGGGAAGCAGTTAATGTCCTATTAGAAAAACATTGATTTGCTATATCTTGTACAAAGTCAGAAATGTTTTCCCTAAGAGCTATTTGTATTCTGCTCAGGTTTCCGTTTGAATTCACTGTGTTGTCTTAGACTAAGTTAACGGTGAGTTTCTGTCTCTCTCATGAATTCTAAAATGCACACTGGAGAACTTCTAGTAGACTGTACAAGCAAAATGAACAAACAAAATTAATTAGAAAATGCTAGAAAATGCTAGTATTAAGCAGTACCTGGCTGGATCTCCTTTCTTCCTTTCTCTTCCTTCCTTCTTTCTTTGCTCTTCTCTTCCTCCTCCTTTCATTCCTTCTTTTCCCTTCTCCTCCCCTCCTTCCTCCCTCCCTCTTCCCTTCTTCCCTTCCTTCCTCCTGAGTTGACACCATTCTCTTGCCTTAGCTATGATGTGACTCCTGAATCAGTAGGCTAAACCCATATTCAAAGCTAAACCCATTCCTTCCTCCCTCCCTCCTTCCCTCCCTCCCTTCCTTCCTTCCTCTCTTCCTCCCTCCCTCCCTCCCTTCCTTCCTTCCTTCCTTCCTTCCTTCCTTCCTTCCTTCCTTCCTCCCTTCCTTTCTCTTCACCCATCCTTCCCTCCCTTTCTTCTATCTCTTTCTTTCTCTCTTTCTCCCTTTCTTTCTCTCTCTCTCCTTCCTTCCTTCTTTCTTTCCTTCCTTCTTTCCTTCTTTCTTTCTCCCTTTCTTTCTTTCTTTCTTTCTTTCTTTCTTTCTTTCTTTCTTTCCTTCTTTCTCCTTCCTGCCTGCCTGCCTTTTCTCTCTCTCTCCCTCTGCCTCTCCTTCTCTCATTTGCTTCCTTGCTTGCCAAGGGACTCTTTCCTGGGAGAGGTGATTTTAGAGCTACAGTCATATATTAAGAGAGCTCACAAAATGTCCCGGCCTTCAGTAAAACACTGTATCTGTTAGTGTATCTGTTTTTTTTTTTTTTTTTTTTGAGACAGAGTCTCACTCCATTGTCCAGGCTGGAGTGCAGTGGCGCGATCTAGGCTCACTGCAACCTCTGCCTCCTGGGTTCAAGCGATTCTCCTGCCTCAACCCTCCAAGCAGCTGGGATTACAGGCTTGTGCCACCACTCCCAGCTAATTTTTTTTTTTGGTAGAGATGGAGTTTCACCGTACTGGCCAGGCTGGTCTCAAATTCCTGACCTCATGATATGCCCACCTCGGCCTCCCAAAGTGCTGGGATTACAGGCATGAGCCATGGCACCCGGCCCGGTGTATCTGTTGATCCTGGAATAAGGAGCTGGAGGATGGAGGATGGTGAAGAGGCGGAGAACATAGCTGAGGTTAGGGTATTGGTGAGAATTGGAAGATCGGTGATAGGGACGGCAGGTAGGTAACTTACTCACCTTCGTCACCCAGGTGCCTAGCACAATGCTTAGCCTAAAACATGCGTTTGATAGAGTGAGTGAATTCAGGATCATAGGGCCAAAAGTTCAGAATGTTTCTTGAGGTCTGGCTGCTCCTTCACACCTGCCTGGGAATGAGCAGATATTTCATAGTCTGGCGCTGGGGTGGTTTCTCCTGCCATGAACTCCTTCAGGTATTTAAAGATCTGATATCCCCAATTTAGTGGGAGATTTCCCTGCAAGGCTTCAGGGATTTTCTGAAGGTTCAGAGTCAAGGTAGTCCTGGTTATCTATTCTTGTATTACAAACTACCCCAAAACTTACCAGCTTCACAGAACCATTTTATCATATCTGAGGATTCTGCGGGCCAGAAATTTGAGCACAGGTCAGCTTGGTGACTCTTCAGCTACTGGTGACAGTGACTGAGTTTTCTTCTACATCTAGCTGGTCTAGCGGGTCCCAGGTGTCTTTCTTCCCATGTCTGGCATCTTGTCTGGGATGGCTGGAATGCAGGGCTCAACTGGCATAGAGGACGGGACACACATCTGCGGTCTCTCCAGCATCGTGGTCTTCAGAGAGAAGGAAGGAGGCTGTCAGCGTTTTAAGCCTGGACACAGACACTAGCCCAGTTTCATTTCTGCTCTCCTACATTGGCCAAACAGTCGTAAAGCTTACCCGGATTTCAGGGCAGAGAACATCAATCCCACTTTTTTTTTTTTTTTTTTGAAACAGAGTCTTGTTCTATTGCCCAGGCTGGAGTGAAATGGCATGATCTTGGCTCACTGCAACCTCCGTCTCCTGGATTTGAGCAATTTTCCTGCCTCAGCCTCTTGAGTAGCTGGGATCACAAGCACCTGTCACCACGCCTGACTAATATATTTTTCTTTTTCTTTTTTTTTCTTTTTTTCTTTTTTTAGTAGAGACATGATTTTGCCATGTTGGCCAGGCTAGTCTTGAGCTCCTGACCTCAAGTGATCCAATCACCTTGGCTTCCCAAAGTGCTGTGATTACAGGCATGAGCCACCGCTCGTGGCCCAATCCCACCTGTTGATGAGAGGAGTGATAAAGAATATGTGGCCATCTTTATTTGATCACAAAAAACCCTCAAATTAAAGATGTGTGACAATGGCTAAAAGGTGGAAACAACCCTGGGTTGATGAAACCATAAACAAAATGTGTTCTATTCACACAATGGAACATTATTCTGCCTTAAAAAGACATGGGATTCTGACATGTGCTATGACATAGGTAAGCCTTGAGAACATTATGAAATAAGCCAGTCAAAAAGGCAAATTCTGTATGTTTCCACTTATATGGTACCTAGAGTAGTCAAATTCATAGAGACCAAAGTGAAATGATGGTTGCCAGGGGCTGGAGGAAGATGAGGAGAATGTTAGTGTTCAGTGGGTATAGAATTTAAGTTTTGCAAGATGAAAATGTTGTGGAGGCTGGGCACAGTGTTCATGCCTGTAATCCCAGCACTTTTGGAGGTCGAGGTAGGAGGATCTTTTGAGCCCAGAAGTTTGAGAACAGGGTGGGCAATGTAGCAAGTCCCTGTCTCTAAAAAAATAAAAAAAATAGGCCGGGCGCAGTGGCTCACGCCTGTAATCCCAGCACTTTGGGAGGCCGAGACAGGCAGATCATGAGGTCAGGAGATCGAGACCATCCTGGCGAACACAGTGAAACCCCATCTGTACTAGAAATACAAAAAATTAGCTGGGTGTGGTGGTGGGCACCTGTAGTCCCAGCTGCTCGGGAGGCTGAGGCAGGAGAATGGCGTGAACCCGGGAGGCGGAGCTTGCAGTGAGCTGAGATCGCGCCACTGCACTCCAGCCTGGGCAATAGAGCGAGACTCTGTCTCAAAAAAATAATAATAAAAAAAATAAAAAAATAGCCAGGCACAGTGGCATGCATCTGTAGTCCAGCTACCCAGGTGGCTGAAGTGGGAGGGTTTCTGGAGCCTAGGAGGTTGAGGCTGTAGTGAGCCATGATTGTGCCGCTGCACTCCAGCCAGAGCAACAGAGCAAGACCCTGTTTCTAAAACAAAAAAAAAAGTTCTGGAGATGGATGGTGGAGATACTTGTACAATGTTATGGTAGCTAATGGCACTGAACTGTATACTCAAACATGGACACCATTGTAAATTTTATGTTACGCACATTTTATCATAAAATACAGTCAAAGACATTATATTAAAATTTTAAAAATATGGCAGGTCTCTGAATTTGATTTTCTTCATCTCTATTAATGTCTGATTTTCCTGAAGGTCTCAGTTTCCACAGAGTTTCCTTTAAGGGCTGTGAGTTTCTCTTACCCTCTCTCTGACATTTTAGTATCTAACCTGATCTCCCTTTTATCTAGGATGAATTAGACTCACTGAAATAAGCAGAAGCACAGGCATTTTCACTCTTGGCACCAGTTAGAATAAAACGATTAGGTGATTTATAAATGTCATTTAAAAATTAAGTCCATCGAAGACTTTCTTATCCCCAGAAAAATGTATTACTAAATTATTAATGGTCCTTTATTATTTTTTATTGTTGCCTTATTAAAATAAATAAAACAATAAAATGGAGTTACTAAGAAGTACTTTAACTCACCTGTCAGCATTGATCAGCAGAATCAACACAGGATGCCTTATCAACCTTGCCTACTGTTTGCATGCAAATTATTTCAATTTTGCTTCGCATTGTAACGGTTCCATGACAGAATGACAGGCCCTGTGGGTTTAAGGAAGTGATAGTAGTAAACTAACTTCAATTTAGGAAGACTTTCTGTTGTCTTTTTTTCTTCTAGTAACATATCATTTATTGCCCTGTATTCTATAATAATGCTTAAATGGATTATTACACCAAAAAAATTTGAGAAGAATGCACAAATCATAAATATAGTTTATTGCTTTTTTTTTTTTTTTTTTTGAAACGGAGTCTCGTTCTGTTGCCCAAGCTGTAGTGCAATGGTGCAGTCTCCACTCACTGCAATCTCCGCCTCCCGGGTTCAAGCGATTCTCCTGCCTCAGCTTCCCGAGTAGCTGGGATTACAGGTGCACACCACCACTCCTGGTTAATTTTTGTATTTTTAGAAGAGACGGGGTTTCACCATGCTGGCCGGGCTGGTGTCAAACTCCCGACCTCAGGCAATCCACCTGTCTCGGCCTCCCAAAGTGCTGGGATTACAGGCGTGAGCCACTGCGCACAGCCGTTTATTGCATTTTTTTAATTAAAAAATTACACCCGTGAAACCTGTGACCACATCAGGAAAAAGAACACTTCCAGAACCCCAGAAGCCTCCCGGAGCCTCTGTTGTCAATATCCGTCTCCGTCAAGGGTAGCCTTGCTCTTGACTTTTAACAACATGGATACATTTTTCCCTGCTTTTGAACTTATTTATAAAGGTAAGCATGCAGTAGCTCCTCTTTTTGTGTTGGCTTCTTTCACTCATATTTGTGGTTGTGAGATTCATTCAGGTGCTGCTTGTGGCTGTAGATCATTTTATTCTCATTGAAATATACCACCATCTATTTCTCCATTCTGCTATTGGGCATTTGGATTATTTCTAGTTTTTCAGTAAATATGAAACTGCTACTATCAACATTCTTATACAAGTCTTTTGATACGGATGTATCTGCCTAGCTGTTGAATTTATACAGAGAAGTTGAATTTCTATGTCACAGGGTATACAAATATGCTACTTTGCTTGTACATAACAACCTTTTTCCAAAACCAGTTGTATCAATTTACGTTCTCACCCCTGTGAAAGAGCTTTCTTCGCTCTTCAGACTTGAAATTTTCAGACTCGTTCATTTTAACCCCTCTGGTAGTGGGCAGTAAGATAACATTATGGTATTTATTTGCCAATTATGTAACCACTTTTGTCATGTGCCTGTTCAAGTAATTTGCCCACTTCTTCTATTGGGGTGTCTATTTTTTTCTCACTGATTCACAGATACTTAAAAAAAATCTTCTGGATGTGAATACTTTATAGGATATATTTATTGGAAAATGAATTATCCCATCTAGTGCCTTGCCTTCTTACTCTCTAATGGTATCTTTTGGGGGACAGGAATTCTCAATTTTCATGTACAGTAGTATAATACAGTTTTTCAGTTTTTTCTTTTTGCATTACATCTTTCTTGATTTTTTTTTTTTTTTGACGGAGTCTCGCTCTGTCCCCCACGCTGGAGTGCAGTGGCACAATCTTGGCTCACTGCAAGCTCTGCCTCCCAGGTTCAAGCCATTCTCCAGCCTCAGACTCCAGAGTAGCTGGGACTACAGGCACCCGCCACCACGCCTAATTTTTTGTATTTTTAGTAGAGACGGGTTTTCACCATGTTAGCCAGGATGGTCTCAATCTCCTGACCTCATGATCCAGCCGCCTTGGCCTTCCAAAGTGCTAGGATTACAGGCATGAACCACCGCGTCCGGCCTGGTGTGTGTTTTGTTTAATATATTTCTCTAACACACAGGCAAGAAAAGAGTCTATTTTTAAAAAATGCTTTATTGTCTTTTCATTTTAGATCTGCAATATTATGGTGTGTGATGATTAGTTTTATGTGTCAACTTAGAGGATGTTTTGGGATGAGTTTAATATTTAAATGAGTGGACTTTGAGTAGAGCAGATGGCCCTCTAAAGTGTGGGTGGGCCCCATGCAATCAGTTGAAGGCCTGAACAGAACCAAAAGTCTGGCCACCCTGAGCAAGAGTGAATCCTCCAGCAGTCTGCCTTCGGACTTCCTCTGCACCCTTGACTCTCCTGGGTGTCCAGCCTGCAGCCCACAGTGCAGATATTTACTTGCCAGCCTCCATAACGGCATGAGCCAATTCCTTATAATAACCTCTTTGCATTTATAAACACATCCTATTGGCTGTGTTACTCTGGAGACCCCTGACTAACACAGGGTGTGAGATAGAGGTCAAGATCCCTTTTTCAGTGCCCTAAAACACCTGAACATAACCCCAGGACTCCATGGGAACCCAGTTTAATAATACGGGTCTGGGACATGGAACTTGAGTATTAAACAGATATATCATTCGTCACCTGTTCCTGGCTGTCCATTCTTCCTCACAGGCAATGTGGAGTTTCTGGAGCTTAGGAAGAGCCTTGAAATGGGAAAGGCCAGCCCATCACCAGACACAAAACAAAAGGGTGCTGAAGTTGAGATCTCATCAAGACGCCAGGCTTGCAAGCACAGTCAGTCGGGAGTGTCAAGGGAGGGGGCAGTGAATAAGAACAACACCACTGAAAAAATTGGGAGCAGTGGGGAAGGTGTGCTGGAGGAGAATCTGGAAAAAGTGCCCTGGGCCCATGGAGGGGGATGGGGAGAACTTCTGGAGCTTCTTGCCTCAGCCTATGAGTGGAGCTATCAGCCAGTTTAGCTAAGTAATAGATAACGTTATCCCCTGGGACCCAGCCGCAAACTCAGACGCTGAACCTTCCCGGGTAATCCCGACTCTGTTATATCTGGGTTTCCACGTCAGTTTTTGTTCACTCTGCTGGAGGGAAAAGAATTCGCATGGAATAGATGGTTGCTTCTGAGACATAATCTTATTCCAACAATGGTCAGGTGGAGGAAGAGACAGAGGAGGAGGCATGCAGAGTGCCCTGCACTCCTTGATATTTAATTATGTGCAAACCTGCCCTTCAGAACCTGCAGACACCTCAGGTAAAACTATTCTATCAGGTCATGAATCTTTATTACCCTTTATCTTAAACCTGAGCTATCTCATTGAGTCCGTAGTTTATTACAGGAATCCTATGGGCTCTTCTGGGCCTATTGACTGTATGGCTTGAGGAATATTATTTGTGTAGTATGTACCATTGCAATTTTAGATCCATAGCAGGTATTGAGATTCTGGAAAGTGTTTCTTTTTGGTTTAATTCAGCCAAGTAGCATAGATTAGTATATACATGGCTCTGATGAAATTTCCCATAGAGAGCAAGTTAGGAAGTACACTCGAATATGATATTATAATTTATATATGTGCTTGATTACTTGAAAGGCAAGGACATGACAGGATTAGAATGTTAGTCAAGCATTCTTTCAATAAGTCCTCCCCCTCCCTTTTTTGCAAGAGTAACTTGGTGTTGATGAAGATGATGATAAGGATTATCTAATTATATTATTTAAGACTAGGTTTTATGTATGACGCACATTCAGCCAGACTTAGGAAAGGTACATTTATTTTTGGTTACATATAGAAGACACTCAATAAGTATTTGTTAACTAAGCAAAAAAGTCACACATGGTACTTTTTTTTTTTTTTGAGATAGAGTCTCGCTCCATCACCAGGCTGGAGTGTAGTGGCATGATCTCGGCTCACTGCAACCTCTGCCTCCTGGTTCAAGCGATTCTCCTGCCTCAGCCTCCTGAGTAGCTGGGACTACAGGTGTGCGCTACCATGCCTGGCTAATTTTTGTATTTTTAGTAGAGACGGGGTTTCACCATATTGGCCAGGATGGTGTTGATCTCTTGACCTCATGATCTGCCCGCCTTGGCCTCCTACAGTGCTGGGATTACAGGTGTGAGCCACTGCGCCCGGCCTCACACATAGTACTTTTAAAATAAAATGTTTTATTTAAACTCTGTATTTATCCCTGAGTGGTAAGCCGTGGAAAAATCATTGCTTTTGTGAATGACTAACCATTTATGATTTATAGAGATATATATATGTCATATATGTGTGTGTGTGTATATATATGTATATATCATATATATATAGCATAATAGAGATGGGATCTCTGTTACCCAGGCTGGTTTCAAACTCCTGAGCTCAAAAACTTTATTTATTTATTATTATTATTATTATTATTATTGTTACTGAGACAGTCTTGCTCTGTTGCCCAGGGTGTAGTGCAGTGGCATGATCTCTGCTCACTGCAAACTCTGCCTCCTAGGTTCAAGTGATTCTACTGCCTCAGGCTCCCAAGTAGCTAGGATTACAGGTGCCCACCACCATGCCTGGCTAATTTTTGTATTTTTAGTAGACACAGCGTTTTGCCATATTGCCCAGGCTGATCTCAAACTCCTGACCTCAAGTGATCCACCTCCGTCAACCTCTTCAAATGCTGGGATTACAGGCATGAGCCACCACCCCCGGCCTATGCTTGCATTTATCCCTCTTATAATCAGTGTATAATTTTTAGTACAATTAACTTGCCTAACCCTGACACTCTGCTCATTCTAATGAAAATTTATACAATTGTTTCTATAGTTACTAAAGTGCAAACAAAACAAAGCAAAAACAGAAAAGTCTTCTGTGTTATGAAGACAAAAATGTCAGCACTGGAAAATCCTTGAAGCACTGAAATTCTGTGTAAAAGCATCTAAAGTCATTATTGTAGGGGTCATTTCCCTCTGAGGCCTCATCTTCAGACAGGACTATCGGATCGTCTTTTCTGGGACATGCTGCATTTCTGCATAGCATCATGCAGGACGCTACAAATGGACAGTCAGATTCTGTGCCGAGGAAGCCACTACCACAGTGTATTTGGATCCAAATAAGAAACAGATATGAGACTCTCATTTAATGGCAGATAGAAAGTCTGAATACCACAGGGACATGATATGCATCAGCATGTGGGTTGGCTCCTAGAAATGTAATCTCTCTTTTGATGTACCTTATTGGTTCATCCTATTTTATGCGAGATGAAGTATTGGAGCAGAAAATTGGGCTCAGCTGAGGTCAGATATATGAGATGGGGCAGCCACCAAGGCAAACACAGGTAGAGACCAAGGTAGGTCAGAAGACGAGGTAGTCAAAAAGCAGACAGAGTCTGTGCAAAGATGTGAGTTGAATGACAATCTAAGATTGGGGTCTGCAGGCATTGCCAAGGACACAAAGCAAGGGAATCCAGAAAGTATGTGTGGCACACTGTATTAATCAGGGTTCTTCACAACCTACAGGAGATATATCTGTATCTTTATATCCATCTGTATCTATATCTATGTATATCTATATAACTTATATTTACATCATCTATATCTAATATCATCTGTATCTGTATATATATGATCTATATATATCTAAAATCTATCAATATCTATATCCATATCATTGATATCTATCTCCATCTATTATATCTATATCTAATCATCTATATCTAAAAAGATATTTATTACCAGGAATTGGTTCACACAGTTATGGGGGTGTTCCTAGAACCAAACTTCTGCTGCTGTTGAAATGAGCTGGCAAGTCCATTTCTGTACGGTGGGCTGGGAACTGGAGACCCAGAAGAACTGATGGTGCAGTTAGAGTCTGCGGGAGAATTCCTTTCTGCTTGGGGAGGGCCAGTCATTTGGTTCAATTTATGCCTCCAGCTGATTGGATGAGGCCTACCTGCATTACGGAGGGCAATCTACTTTACTCAAAGTCCACTAATTTAAATGTTAATCTCATTCAAAAGCAACCTCATGGAAGCACCCAGAATAATTTTTGACCAACTATTTGGGCACTGTGGGTCAGCCAAATTGACACACAAAATTAACTGTCACACAGGTTCAGATAATACACTTTTGAATGATGGAGCCCAGCTGAGCCCGGTGGCTCATGCCTGTAATCCCAGTACTTTGGGAGGCTGAGACAGGCAGATCATGAGATCAAGAGATTGAGACCATCCTGGCCAACATTGTGAAACCCTGTCTCTACTAAAAATACAAAAATTAGCTGGGGTGGTGGTGTGCACTTGTAGTCTCAGCTACTTGAGAGGATGAGGCAGGAGAATCGCTTGAACCCAAGAGGTGGAGGTTGCAGTGAGCCGAGATTATGCCACTGCACTCCAGCCTGGGAGACAGAGCGAGACTCTGACTCAAAAAAAAAAAAAAAAGGAAAGATGGAGCCCTTTGCCCATGGCCATATTTCACCTGGCTTTCAAGTTAGAGCAAAGTGAGTTACATTCTGACAAGAATATTTACCTGAACTGTGTGCTTTATATTACATTAGGAATATAAATGGTTGGAGAAGACAGACAAAGAGAACCGCTCTTCTGTAACAACGGGAAGGTGAAACCCCTTTTTGGACTGGCAATGGTGAAATCTAAGCATGGCTCCAATTTGAGTAGGGGACACGGATACTGTTGACCTCTTTGCTGAAGGGGAGAATCTGGGAGAAAGTTTCTCTTATCCGTAATATCTGCATATTGTGCTTTGGTAAGGTGAACTGTTAGGAAAGAAGTACTAAGAAAATTGAAAAACTTTAATGATCAATATTGAGAATAAAAATGTTTATGCTGGGAAGCGTAATTTGATCATGACCTCGACCTGTGTAACTCTGAAGTGATTTGCATATCGCCAGTGCATGTGCTTCCCCCCAGCATCTGCATCTCCCCCAGGCTGGGCCATCTCCTGTGGACGGGACGTCTCCAGCACCACAGGAGAAAGAACAAAGAGTGCAAGGCGTCACTTGCTCTGTGCCTCTCAGGGTGATCCAAACACACAGCTGGCACTTAACATCAAAGCGAACTTGGCTTACAGGGATGTGGAGGAAGATCAGACTCTGGCACTTAGCGTTTTCCTTTTATTTTAGCATGATCACCAATGCCACAGACCCCCTGGGGATGGACTCATTTCAACAGCGGCAGAAGCTCCCTTCTAGAAGCACTCCCATTTGCACAGGACAGAGGTGAATGGAAATGAACGTATGACATTGAAAGGCATCTCTTGATATGTTTTTATAATCATTAAATTTTCTAACTGTAAAAGAAATCACGTTCTTATTCCTTTTTTTTTTTTCTTTCTTGAGTTGGAGTTTCACCCTGTCGCCCAGGCTGGAGTGCAGTGGTGCGATCTCGGCTCGCTGCAACCTCTGCCTCCTGGATTCAAGCAGTTCTCCTGCCTCAGCCTCCCAAGTAGCTCGGATTACAGTCATGCGCCATCGTGCCCGGCTGATTTTTTTGCATTTTTATTAGAGACAGGGGTTTCACCGTATTGGCCAGGCTGGCCTCGAATTCCTGAGGTTGTGATCCACCCTCCTTGGCCTCCCAAAGTGTTGGGATTACAGTCATGAGCCACCGCGTCTGGCCCCATGTTCTTATTCTTAAGAGAAAAATAGAAGAAACAGAAGAGAATAGAGGGGAAAATATCCAATATTAAACAATCAACAAACGTAAAGTATTTATTATGTGCCAGGCACTGTGCTTGAAATAACTACTACTAAGATCCATGCATTCCATGTATTCTGCATAGATCCATACATGTGAATCTCATGAATCTTCATAGAATATTCCCTCTGTCTCTCTTTTTCATATATATATATGTGTGTGTGGGTGTGTGTGTGTGTGTATATATATATGTATACATATATAATTTAAGTTTGTGTACACATCTATATTTTTAATTCAAAGTTGGAGAATGTTTGTATGACTCAGGATACAGCTTCTCATTTAAAAGTGACTTGTGGGCCGGGCGCGGTGGCTCATGCCTATAATCCCAGCACTTTGGGAGGCCAAGGCAGGTGGATTACCTGAGTTCAGGAGTTCGAGACCAGCCTGGCCAACATAATGAAACCCCGTCTCTACTAAAAATACAAAAATTAGCCGGGTGTGGTGGTGGGCACCTGTAATCCCAGCTACTCAGGAGGCTGAGGCAGGAAAATGGCTTGAACCCAGGAGGCGGAGGTTGCAGTGAGCTGAGATCGCGCCATTGCACACTCCAGCCTGGGCGACAAGAACGAAACTCCATCTCAAAAAAAAAAAAAAAAAAAAAAACAAACCAGTGACTTGTGGCCGGGCGCGGTGGCTCATGCCTGTAATCCCAGTGCTTTGGGAAGCTGAGGCGGGCAGATCACGAGGTCAGGAGATCGAGACCATCCTGGCTAACATGGTGAAACCCCATCTCTACTAAAAATAGAGAAAATTAGCCGGGCGTGGTGGCGGGTCCTGTAGTCCCAGCTACTTGGGAGGCTGAGGCAGGAGAATGGCTTGAACCCGGGAGGCGGAGGTTGCAGTGAGCTGAGATCATGCCACTGCACTCCAGCCTGGGTGACAGAGCGAGACTCTGTCTCAAAAAAACAAAAAAAGAAGAAAAAAGAAGAAAAAAGATTTCTGGAGAGCTTCCTAATGCCTGGCACTATCCTAAGCATAAAGAGTAGATGGGCGAACAAATCAGACAAAAACGCCTGCTCCCATGGATCTTAAATCTGGTGCGCATTTCTTATATGCGTGCATCTTTTCTGTTTTCATCTTTATTCTGTGCTCCATAGAATGCTCTTTTCTCTCATTTAAGTAACCCTCCCATTCTTGAGTCTAGCACTGTCATCCAGGCTGGAGTGCAGTGGTGCGATCTGGGATCACTGCAACCTCCGCCTCCTGAGTTCAAGTGATTCTCCTGCCTCAGCCTCCGAAACCCTCCCATTCTTTAGTACCCAGGTCAAAGTCCGCTTCCTTCTGTGACTCACCCTGGGCTTTTCCAGCTAGAATGCCAGCTCATCTAGTTACTGGGCATGTGCTCCGTGTTGAGCACTGACATTGCTTTTCTTGAATGTTTAAACTCTTACTCTTCACCTCCCGGCTGGCACTGAGCAATGTCTCCCTTGCACTGTGGTTCCTTATGTTCATGACCCTTTTCTCCTGTGAAACAAAAAGTTCCTTGCAGCCAGTGTCCAGGACTTACCTGTTTTTGCCTCCCTTGCATCACTAAGCACGGGGCCACGTGGACCACTGATGCGTCATACATGTTTCTTGAAGAAAGTAAGTGAAGGGGGAACTGGCCGTGATTCTTGTTGTTTTATATGGGCACGCATCGGACACTGGCCAGTGGACAAAGGAAACAAAGTCTTTTGTTTTGACTCTGAATGGGTCCAAGTCCTTCCCTGTAAGGCTTGGGGACAGGCCAGTGGTGGAGTAACTGCAGGTCGTGTCCAGGAATACTTCATACCTAACGCCATTTCAGGTATCAGGGATGTTATGCAACATTAGATCACCCCAAGCAAACTTTCCAAAGGATGCCTGTCCAGCTCAACTTCCTTGAAACTTTGGATGTTCTATGAGTTTTCTAATGCTGCTGTGAAAGAGTACCACAAATTTAGTGGCTTAAAACAACACAAAGTTATTATCTTAAAGTTCTGGAGGTCAGAAGTCCAAAATGGGTTTTAGTGGGGCAAGTAAAAGTGTCAACGGGGCAGTGTTCCTTCTGGCGGCTCTGGGGGAAAATGTTTCCTTGCTTTCTTCAGCTTCCAGAGGCTGCCTGTATTCCTTGGCTCATGGCTTCTTCTTTGCCCAAACCTCTGCTTCTGTGGTCACATCTCCTTCTCTGACTGTGACCCTCCATGTAAGGACCCTTGTGAGGACATTGGGCCCACCTGGATCATCCAGGATCATCTCCCCTCTCGAGGTCCTTCATTTAATCACACCTGTAAAGTACCCTTTGCTATGTAAGATGACCTTGTCACAGGCTTTCTTTGGGAAGACATGATTCTGTCTGTCACAAGATTTTTTTTTTTTTTTTTTTTAACGGATTCTCCCTCTATTGCCCAGGTTGGAGTGCAGTGGTGCAATCTCAGCTTACTGCAACCTCTGCCTCCTGGGTTCGAGAGATTCTCCTACTTCAGCCTCCTGAGTAGCTGGGATTACAGGCCCGTGCCATCATGCCTGGCTAGTTTTTTTGTATTTTTAGAAGAGATGGGGTTTTGACATATTGGCCAAGCTGGTCTTGAACTCCTGACATCGTGATCTGTCCGCCTTGGCCTCCCAGAATGCTGGGATTACGGGCTTGAATCACCGTGCCTGGCCAAGTCACAGGTGTTATTGTCACCATTTCTTTGGTTTCCAGGCCTCCCAACAGGGTTGGGTTTGACAGAGGGCAGATACGTCTGTGGTTGGTGTTATAAGCTGGTTAGAGCATGAAGATCATGAGTGTCCTGACTCACAATAGTTGGTACTAATGCCCTTGTGCATCCTTCTGATTTAGCATTGTACTATTTAGAACACGCTTGTTCTTTGGAGCCTACTTCCTGAGTTTTCTTTCACTCTCTTTCCACAGTTACGTTCCCACAGCCTAGAATAATAGGACAATAGAATGGTAAGCCAGAAAAATCAACTCTTGTTCCTGGGTGTAGAGAAGGTGAAATATCAGGGAGGGAAATGAGGGATGGGGAATAATTTGTGATTATAATATTTTATTTTTTTGCAATGCAACATCTTGTTAGGCTAGTTTGTCCCAAAATATTTTTAAAAACATACATTTTGCACATGGAGAATCCTAGATTTTTAAATATTACCATATTCTGATCCTGTAGCATTTTTTTTTTTTTTTTTTGCCTGGACATGCAACATATATTATTTGCAAAAGCAGTAAAAGTTCATCTATAGAGAAGATATGTTTAAACAATAGTAATTTGAAAATCATAATGCAGTGGATTGAATGTTTGTGTCCCCTGGCCAATATGTCAAAACCCTGTCTCTACAAAAATACAATGCCAAATGCATATGCCGAAGTCCTGGGAAGAGAGGCCTTAGGAAGGTGATTGGTTGTGAGGGTGGAATCCTGATGATAAGATGAGTGCCCTGTAAGAAGAGGCCCCAAGAACACTCATTCTCAGCTACTTGAGGAGGCAGTGAGAGGCACTGTCTATGAATCAGGACACAGGCCCTCACCAGACACTGAATCAGCCAGCACCTTGACCTGGGACCTCTAGCCTCCAGAACTCTGAGAAATACATGTTTGTTGTTTAATCCAGCCAGTATGTGGGATTCTGTCATAGTAGCCCCGAATGACTGAGACAGATACATAAATCAACAGCAGGATGACGCTCTCTTTGCTTTTCCTCATATTGTCCCTTTCTGGCTGTAATTTGAAAAAATAATATCTGCCACGTACGTGTGCATACTTACCCAGCATTAGGCGTGATAATGCTGCTTTGAATTTGAACAATTAAATATCTTCAAAGTGAAGTATCAGGCTGGTTCATACAATTTATTCTTGTTTAGTGAATGACTAAATCTTTTGTCTGTTTCATAAAACAAATTGAGTATGGTTTCCTTATTAGTTTCCCCAACAACTAAGATTTGTGATATCAGGCATTGGTAATCCTACTTATAAACATTTCTCACTCAGAAGCTAGTGAAGTCACAAGAAATGTTACACAAATGCTCTACGAGGAAGTCTAACAATATAGGAAAATGGTCTCACTGTCAATCTCTTGGATAAAATTGGACAGTTTACAGGGAATCAACTGATGGAACGAGAGACAGTCTCTACATACTGCCCTGAGAACATACATAACATTTAGGTTTAATTTTATTTAACCCAATAAACCCTGTCGCCAGGCTGGAGTGCAGTGACACGATCTCGGCTCACTGCAACCTCTGCCTCTTGGGTTCAAGAGATTCTCCTGCCTCAGCCTCCAGAGTAGCTGGGATTATAGGTGCGTGCCACCACGCCCAGCTAATTTTTGTATTTTTAGTAGACATGGGGGTTTCACCATGTTGGCCAGGATGGTCTCGATCTCTTGACCTGGTGATCTGCCCGCCTTGGCCTCCCAAAGTGCTGGGATTACAGGCGTGAGCCACCGTGCCCGGCTGAGTTTGATTTTATTTTACAGGAAATACAAGAAGAGGATCATGTGGGCCCCTCTTTCCATTTACAGTCTGGGACAGTCTTGCAAGTCTAGAAGAAGTGAGGAAAATGAGAAGTGTGATTATTGTAGTTAATATGCTAAGTCCCACAGCAAATTTTGATTTTGTTACTGTTTGGAAGTGAAACTCACTGCATTCAACAAGGATTTACTATCTGTGAATTAAAAATTAATGTGCAGTATTAAATTCAATTATTTATTTAAACAGATAAAATACATAAATCAGAAGTGGTATGCTGATGAAAACAAAGAAACACAGGCTGTATTTTTAGAAATAATTTAGAGATTATTTTTCAACTGTATTTTCTTTAACCTTGAGAAATATATTACACTAAAGAATGTATTTTTTCTTTGGTGGAGTGTGGAGCAAAGTTGTCTAATAATAATTTCTTCTATCTCCTCTACAAATGGAAAATAGCTGTAAATATGTTGGCTTTTAATTTGTTTTTGATCTCTGGAAAACAATGACTTTTGACTTCTTAGTGGAGAGGACTGGCTTTTATATTTGTGTGGTCTTCAGTTCACAATGGGTTATGATCGGAAAGGTTGCCTGTAAGTCAGTTGTTTGATTTCTGAGCCATGGTTGGATTTTGCAGACCAATCAGTGAAGGTAGCAGGTGCCAGTATGTACCTTTCAGATGGGCCCTGTAAGGGGGACACCTGCCTTAGTAACCACGGCTCTGGGGGAAAGGGGTGTTCCCTGCCTGCATTGTTCTGACTGTCTTGTCAATTGTTCCCCAAATCCCCACTTCAGGGGAGCCCTGACTCCCTGCACTTGGCTTCTGAGTTCCCCTCCGGCTGGGCTCCTCTTCCTGGCTGCTCACTGTCTTCCCAACCATCTCCATCTTCAACGCCGATGAGGCCCTGCACTTTGCATCTCAGATCACTGAGGGAGCCTAACAGACACTCAGGGCTTTTGCTTAACAATCCGCA
This sequence comes from Homo sapiens, assembly GCF_000001405.40. NCBI lineage: Eukaryota > Metazoa > Chordata > Mammalia > Primates > Hominidae > Homo > Homo sapiens. The sequence goes on along the minus strand of NC_000008.11, from coordinate 6,309,750 downwards.
CACCTCTGGCTTTTATTTTGCTATTTCTCATGATTATAGGTGGTGCCAAAACCCTACTGAACACATGATCTATCTGAATTAGAGGAGAAATCAGAATCACAGGCTAGAAGCCGGGTGTAGTGGCTCATGCCTGTAATCCCAACACTTTGGGAGGCTGAGGCACGCGGATCACGAGGTCAGGAGATGAAGACCATCCTGGCCAACACGGTGAAACCCCGTCTCTAATAAAAAATATAAAAAAGTAGCCAGGCGTGTTGGTGGACACCTGTAGTCCCAGCTGCTAGGGAGGCTGAGGCAGGAGAATGGCGTGAACTCGGGAGGCGGAGGATGCAGTGAGCCGAGATTGTGCCACTGCACTCCAGCCTGGGTGACAGAGAGACTCTCTCAAAAACAAAAATACAATTAACTAGAATACAATTAAATCCAAGTCTTCTCCTACAGATGAGGAAGTTTCCGGTGCACCAGGAACTATGCTCAATCGTTTACATCTGCACACTTAGTATTCAAGACAAATTTATGAGGCAGACATTACATTGTGAATTACCCCCATTTTACAGCTGAAGAAATGGAGGCTTACGGAGATGATGTAACCTGCTTAGCTTGTAGTCGGCATTCAGGCCTGGGCTAGACAGAAACATGGGGATCAAAAGCACACATCCCTCTCTTTGAGATGAACCCACCTCTTCCCTCCGGCAAGGAGGCTCCTGTAGAGCCAATGCCAGGGTATAAGGCATTTTCCATTTTCCAACTCCCAGTAGTCTAGAAAATAAAGATACTTTTCTACTTTCCACCATTGTGATAAAATGTATTAAAATAAAGTATTAAAAGAGGCTTAAAAACGACAAGAAAAAAGAATGCCAACTGGAATTCCCACAGTGTCCCTCCTGGGTATTTTTCAGATTACTTACAGAGGCTGGAAGGACTTTTTTTTTTTTTTTTTGGGACGGAGTTTTGCTCTTTTGCACAGGCTGTAGTGCAGTGGCGCAATCCCGGCTCACTGCAAGCTCCACCTCCCGGGTTCACGCCATTCTCCTGCTCCAGCCTCCAGAGTAGCTGGGACTACAGGCGCCCGCCACCACGCCTGGCTAAGTTTTTGTATTTTTAGTAGAGACGGGGTTTCACCGCGTTGGCCAGGATGGTCTCGATCTCCTGACCTCGTGATCTGCCCGCCTAGGCCTCCCAAAGTGCTGGGATTACAGGCATGAGCCACCTCGCCCAGCCGAAAGGACTCTTACAGCATCTAAGCTCGTAGCTGGCACTTGTAACTCACCGACCCAGGCAGATACCACTAAGGCTGCCACATTGTTGCTGTGAGGATCGATACTACAGTAATTCACTGATGTGGTCTGACTGCTGCTGCTCTCCGGTCCGTGGCTCGCAGGCTTTCTGACGTCTTTCACTTGCAGACAAGAAGCAGCTGAGCTGTGAGGCCCATGGGGTTGTGCAACCAGGGGAGTGAGAGAGAGCCCCACATGGGAATTGGCAAATGGGAGGTGTTCTGGATGTTTCATGGAAAAAGGGTTACACGGACCCATGGCTGGGCGTGCGTGTATTCTCTGCACACATTCATTTGTTGGAGTAGACTTGATTCACGTATGGGTCCTTAGAGGGGATGATGCTGGTGGTCTCCCCTGACCACAGGGGTGAATTTCTTGTGTGTGCGTGTCCTTGGGTGTGAGTTTTGCTCGAGCAGTAGCATCAGTTGCTGCAGGCTACGCGCGCCAGCTTTGTCTGTGTGTGCAGAGATGTGGAAGGGACCCTGGCTGAGTCTTATCCAACACCAGACAGGTCAGTGAGCGGGAAAACCCACAGGAGAGTGAACAGGAAACCCACAGGGGAGTGAGTACAAATCCCAGCATCCTTGCCTTGGCTTCGGGCTATTCCGAGGCATTCTTACTCCCATGGACTCAGGCTCAAGCTGCCTTCTGAGGGCTCTGCTGAGATCGCACCTGTGCTGGGTGCCGGCCTCCGTGTCCTGCTCCCTTGCCTGCCAATTGCTTTCTTCCAGGTGCGTGTCCCTACCTCAGACTCTGCTTCTGGGGACCTCAACCTGAGGGAGACCTAGTACAGGTAAATAAATTGTGGAATCTTCCCCAAAAGGGATTATGCAGCCATTAAAAGTGATGATGTAAAGGCTGGGCGTCGTGGCTCACGCCTGTAATCCCAACACTTTGGGAGGCCGAGTCGGGCGGATCGCGAGGTCAGGAGATCTAGACCATGCTGGCTAACATGGTGAAACCCCGTCTCTACTAAAAATACAAAAAAAAAAAAAAAAAAAAAAAAAAAAAAAAAAAAAAAATTAGCCGGGCGTGGTGGCAGGCGCCTGTAGTCCCAGCTACTCGAAAAGGCTGAGGCAGGAGAATGCCGTGAAACCGGGAGGCGGAGCTTGTAGTGAGCAAACATCGTGCCACTGCACTCCAGCCTGGGCGACAGAGCAAGACTCCATCTCAAAAAATAAATAAATAAATAAATAAATAAATAAATAAATAAATAAATAAAAATTAGCTGGGCGTGGTGGCCTACGCCTGTAGTCTCAGCAACTTGGGAGGCTAAGACAGGTGAACTGCTTGAACCCAGAAGGCAAAGATTGCAGTGAGCCGAAATCACGCCACTGAACTCCAGCCTGGGAGACAGAGCGGGATTCTGTCTCAAAAAAAAAAAGTAAAATAAAAAAAGTGATGATTTAAAAGTACAATAATGGTTTCACAAAGCAGTTTACAATTTATAGTTAGCAAGAAGACAGAGTCAACCAAAATGTCTATGGTTTTTAATTTTTGTAAGAAAAAATGTGAGCATGGATAAATCTCAAAATCTATAATAAGAAATATCTTCAGGATAAAGGGTAATTTTAATTTTTTTCTATTTGTTTGCTTGCATTTAAAAATTTTTCTATATTAAAAATAACAGCCGGCGGGGCATGGTGGCTCATGCCTGCAATCCCAGCACTTTGGGAGGCCGAGGTGGGTGGATCACCTGAGGTCAGGAGTTTGAGACTAACCTGGCCAACATGGTAAACGCCCCCGTGTCTATTAAAATACAAAAATTAGCTGGCGTGGTGGTGGGCAGCTGTAATCCTAGCTACTTGGGAGGCTAAGGCACAGAATCGCTTGAACCTGGGTGGTGGAGGGTGCAGTGAGCCGAGATCGTGCCACTGCACTCCGGCCTTGGTGACAGAGAGACTTTGTCTCAAAAAAAAAACAAAAACAAAAACAAAAAACAACAAAACAAAAAAACAGCTAACATTTATTGAATGCTTACCATGTGCAAACCTCTGTGATAAGCACTCTGCTTACATTATCAACTTTACAACAGCCCTAGGAGGTAGACATGAAGATAATTTGTATGCTATGGATTAGGCAACAAAGGCACAGAGAGGTTAGGTAACTGACATCAGGTCACACAGCTCCCAAGCAACATAACTGAGATTCAAGCTAGTCTGACCTCAGAGCCCATCCTCTGAACCACTACAATCTACTGCCTCCCAAACAAGCTTTCAGTATCCATGCCATCATATTATAAGAGTTTAAAGTTAAAAAAAAAAAAAAAAACACCAAATGAACCATGTGCATAGCAGCATTATTCCCAATAGCTAAAGGCAAAAACAACACAAATGTCCATGGGGGGATGAATGGATAAGCAAACTGTGGCAAACACATGCCATGGAATGTTAATCGGCCTTAATAGGAATGGAATTCTGACACATGCTGGAACACAGATGAAACTTGAGGACATCAGGCTAAGTGAAAGAAGCCAGCCACAAAAGAACAAACATTGTATGATTCACTTAGATGAGGTCTCTAGAGAAGTCAAAGCCATAGAGACAGAAAGTAGAATGGGGGTTGTCAGGGGCTGGGGGATGGGAGATGCAGAGTTACTGTTCAATGGGTGCAGAGTTTCAGTTTTGCAGAATAAAGAGTTGTGGAGCCTGGGCACCATGGCTCACGCCTGTAATCCCAGCACTTTGGGAAGCCGAGGTGGGCGGATCACGAGGTCAGGAGATGGAGACCGTCTTGGCCAACATGGTGAAACCCCGTCTCTATTAAAATACAAAAAATTAGCTGGGTGTGGTGGGTGCGGGCCTGTAATCTCAGCTACTTGGGAGGCTGAGGCAGGGGAATCACTTGAACCTGAGAGGTGGAGGTTGGGGTGAGCTGAGATTGCGCCACTGCACTCCAGCCTGGGCCACAGAGTGAGACTCCATCTCAAAAAAAAAAAATTAGCTGGGCATGGTGGCACATACCTGTAGTCCCAGCTACTTGGGAAGCAGGGAGATTCTCCTGAGGCAGGAGAATTGCTTGAAACTGGGAGGTGGAGGTTGCCGTGAGCCGAGATCGTACCATTGCACTCCAGCCTGGCAACAGAGCGAGACTTTGTTTCAAAAAGAAAGAAAGAAAGAAAGAGTTGGGGAGATGGATGGTGGAGATGGTCGTACACCGATGTGAATGTCCCCACTGCCGCTGAAGTACACATTTAAACATGGTGAACATTGTAATTTTTATGTTACATACTTATGAATATTTTACCACAATAAAAAAAAACTGATAAAAATAGAGACTCTGGGAGAGCATGGTGACAAAGATTCTTTGCATGACCCAACTTTCATGATCTATATTTATTTCATTAGCTATATATTTATCAGGCTCCCAAACCTTCTCCTAGGCCCATCTGTGCACTTCCTTGTAAAATCAGCTTTTGCAAAAATCTTGCTAAGTCAGTTTAGTTAAGAACCTGCCACCATCAGTATCTGATCACCCTTGATGATACTGGATTGGGTTGCCCATCCTCTGCCATCCCACTGGTGATGTCTGATCAGCCTGGCCTGCTTTCAACATGCATCCTGTTAGGTTGGTTTAGACAGCATCCCCCTGACCTACGGTTTCCTCTTAGTCACTTTCCACCCACTGACCTCGCCCCCACCTTGCTCCTTGGCTGTGCATTCCGACTTGCTCATGCTGTATTCGGAGGTGAGCCCCGTCTCTCTCCCCTACTGCAAAATCCTATTGCAGTGGTCTCTATGCCTATAGCCATGGTCTCCAGAATAAAGCCTTCCTTCTTTATTTTAACAAGTATTATTGAATATTTTATTTCTTTAGTAATGAGCACCAGGAGGCTTTCTGATCACTTTCAGTCTCTACAGGGAAACCCTTAGCATGTCACAGTTCCCCCGTGATTTCCACTCTGTCTAGTAGGACCTGTCCCATGCCTTGTCCCCTTTGCATATTGCCCTATGGACAGGGATGGCTGGGGCGATAAGACAAGGGTGTCAGCGACTGGTTGTCCATGTGACACTGAGACCTTTAGCAAGTCAACGCAGAATGTTCAGTGTTGTTTCCAGAAGCAGAGCTTTTTGAATCAGATCAATCTGGGCCAATATTTTCCCTGAGCAATCTCATCTGCGAACTCTTTTTAGTGTCCTGTGGATTATTGCTATTATTCTCAAGAATTTAATTGAAGGTGAGGGGAGGAATGTGACAGTAAAATTTGAGTATAAAAAGGATGACTTTAGAATCAGTGCTTTTCAATATGTCTGTAAGCACTAAAGTTTATTTGGTTACATTTTTTATTACTGACTTGTTAGCTGTATCTCTATTATCTGCTTTACGGATTTGGCTGTTCTTATTTAAAAGTCTAAACAAGCAAAACCTTTACTTTATAAGTCTGATAGTTCTGTGGCCAGATGGTGCCAGTTCACTTCCAGCTGAACTGGTACAGCCTGACCACACTCCATGCTGACAGATAAGATGCAAGATTCTCTTGTGTGGCATGAAACTGTTGAATATCTCAAATAATTTTCTTCTAGAAGTAGAACTGCTGCTGATACATGTGATACCAAGCAACTGCGGCCAGATTTTTTCCTTATAGCAAATGTTTGATCTAATTTCCCATTGGTCTTACGCTTCTGGTGTTATCTCATAGTCCCTAAATGTAAAATCATCCTCAGAACCTGCATTAACGTATAAAGCTGGGTGTAGGAAGCCGAAACAATGAAAAACAATACCTTAGAAATGCAAAGGCTAAATGGGGCCAAGCTGGTTTTATTATCTTTGTATATACTCAGTTTGCCAATTTTTTTTCCTGGGGTTCTTTTAATGATGGTGTAGAGGGTTTTGATAGCATACAGATCATGCCAATTTGGTTGACAAATCCTAGCAACAGAATTATCCTAAATGCACTTTTGGGGGACATGATTAGAATCATTATGCAGCTCTGTGGGCAGCTGTGGGAAGGGAAGACACTTTGATGTTAGGGCTAAGACAATGGCCTTTTTTCTGAAAAGTACTAAGAAGACAAACTCATTAGTGCTGATAGTGATGAATTAGCATGTCTTGGACACGGTGACCATGTTTTGTGAACCCCCATTAATAGAATGCATGTGGTTCATCTGAATAATTTGGATACATGGTCAGGAGTCCTAGCATAGCAGCTGTTTTATCTCTCTAATTATTATTCATAAACTTTCTTAGTCCATTTGTGTTGCTATAAAGGAATACCTGAGGCTGGGTCATCTATAAGAGAAGAGATTAGACCGGGTGCAGTGGCTCACGCCTGTAATCCTAGCACTTTGGGAGGCTGAGGTGGGCAGATCACGAGGTCAGGAGATCGAGACCATCCTGGCTAACACAGTGAAACCCTGTCTCTATTAAAAATACAAAAAATTATCTGGGCGTGGTGGTGGACGTCTGTAGTCCCAGCTACTCGGGAGGCTGAGGCAGGAGAGCGTCATGAACCCGGGAAACGTGAGAAACGTACCAATTTTTCTCATCCTCTCCCAAGAGTCTTCCTTTGGGCTGGGCGCAGTGGCTCAAGCCTGTAATCCCAGCACTTTGGGAGACCGAGAGGGGCAGATCACCTGTGGTCAGGAGTATGAGACTAGCCTTGAAATATGTGATACTTTAAAATTCTTTGCTTCCCTCCCTTCTCATCAGATACTTCCTTGCACTGCTAGCCTATCTAAGTACATGCTTTCTTAGAAGTTTCAGGGGCTAATCTTGAGACAAACCAGGCATGGAGACCTAGCTGTGAAATTCCAGAGATCACGTTAAGGCAGTTAGTCTACAACCCAGCCATTGTCGAGATGATGCCAGCCGATACTCCAGGTGAACTGTGACTCAAGATGGCCGCTGGAACACGACACACAGACCTTGGACCCAGCACCATCTCACATGCCTCCATTCCAAGTTCCCCTCTATAAATCCTTCTCCTCAGCGTAACGTTTGGAATGATCTTTTAAGGGCATGAGTCTGGCCATTCCCCAGCTGCTAGCCTTTGAATAAAATTACTTCCTTTCAGCATACCTCAATTCTTGAGTTTTTGACCTCTGAGTAGCTGCACTTGCAGCTGGACTTGGGTTTGGTTACGACAGGAAACGATCCTAAGTGACACTGCAAAGCTGCCCAATTTTAAGGCCACTCTATATTCATTTTTTGACAAATAATTCTTAATTATTGTTGCACCGATCCTGTTGATGGAGTAACTGACTTTTTCTTTGGCTTCCATACGTCCTTCATGTTTATTACATCAGAGGTACCTTATGCATTGCGTTTTTCAGTTGCATATTACCAGCATCTGAATGGCAGAATTAAAATAATAACATGTGAGGAGGTTGAAATTAATCCATTGGTTATCCCTGGGGAGTGGGGATCAAATGTAGTGGAGAATTTTGTTTTCTATTTCATAAACTTCTGTGTTGTTCATTTCCTTTTTACTACAAGCCAATGTCACATTTCTAATGACAAATAAAGAAAATATTTTCACAAGGCAGACAAGTAGTTGCAAAGATGGTTAAGTTGGTAAACCCAGATCAGTTATGCATCTCAAGTACCAATCGTCTTTGAGCAATAATTTCATTGAATCAAAGTCTAATTCAGTGTTTCTACTTGCTTTGTCGGGGCACTAATTCCTCTAATATAGAATGGCTGTGAGATTGACTGGGAATTACTTTTTGGAGTACAAAACTTCAGAAAGTGGAAAAGAGCCATTGTTGTATCTGAATGCATTTGTTATACATTTTCAGAAATGAATAGAAAAACACTGAAAACGTAATATATTTTTGCTAGTGTTTGAGTGATTGTTAAATAGCAATCCACTTGAAATTTTAACATTTGCTACTGCTGCTGAATATTTATGTACTTCTGCAGTGCTGTCTATTATGCTCAATAAAAGATGTATACATAAGGAGATATGAAGGTATGCCACCATTGGGGTGACCTTAACTTCAAGGAAGAACAAAACAAAAAAACTAAACCAGCAAGCTAATTAATGTGAGACTGTAGCCCAACCTTTGTGAAAATCATCTTCCAAATATTTTGGTCAAAATTTTTTAGGACAACGGTGTAGAATGGAGGAATGCAAGTCATTAAGAGGCAGTGAATGCCCTGGAAAATGTCTTATTCAATGTGTACATTAATTAGGCTCTGTTGATTAGGGGTGAGAGAAACCAGTCGACCCTACTGAAATCATGTGTTTCTTCCTGCTGGGGAGATGGATTCCCTAGTCATGTTTGTTTGTTTGTTTTTTTGTTTTAGTTTGTTTTTGTTTTTGAGACAGGGTCGTGCTCTGTCACCCAGGCTGGAGTACAGTGGCGTGATCTCGGCTCACTGCAAACTCTGCCTCCCGGGTTCACATGTTTCTCCTGACTCAGCCTCCCGAGTAGCTGAGACTACAGGTGCCTGCCACCATGCTTGGCTAACTTTTTGTATTTTTAGTAGAGACAGGGTTTCACCGTGTTAGCCAGGATGGTTTCGATCTCCTGACCTCGTGATCCGCCTGCCTCAGCCTCCCAAACTGCTGGGATTACAGGCGTGAGCCACCGCACCCAGCCCCGACTCCCTAGTTATTGACTGACCACCAGGTTGCAACCTGTGCCCATGATAGCGGGGGGAGGGGCCTGATAATGCACTATCCCATCAGGACGAGGGGCTGTTCTCCAGAATGTCACTGGATGGACAAACCGCAGTGCCCACCATGGAGGGCCATTTGCCTAGGGTCTGGTAAGTTTATCAGCGCTTGGAAGGCTACCTAAAGGGAATTACATTTAGACACTGAATAATTATGTGGATATATATTCTTCTAAGTTCCAGTCTAGCCAAGTACTTGTAAAAAAAATCACTTAGTCATAAATGACCTAGCAAAATGACCTAGCAAACCAAGAAAAAATATTGCTCAAATCATATCCTGTGACAGCTTTGTTGGAAATGCATAAACTGCATTTGGGACCTCTTGATGATCATTGCCTCAAAAATTTTTCATACTCCTCTGAGTCAGAGAAATCTCTCTTATCTAAACTAACTTATTTCATCGCATGTAAAAATTTGGATCTGTCATGAAATAATTATACTTAGGATGATGATGATCAATGCATACCCTTGTACAAAATGATGGCTATTTGCCAGGCACCTGTGAAGCTTATCACATGTGTTTTCTTACATAATTTTGTTTTTTTTTTGAGATGGAGTCTCACCTTGTTGCCCAGGCTGGAGTGCAATGGTGCGATCTTGGCTCACTGCAACCTCTGCCTCCCAGGCTCAAGCGATTCTCCTCCCTCAGCCTCCCAAGTAGCTGGGATTACAGGAGTGCACCACCATGCCCGACTAATTTTTGTATTTTCAGTAGAGACGGGGTTTCACCATGTCGGCCAGGCTGGTCTCAAACTCCTGACCTCAGGTGATCCACCTACCGTGGTCTCCCAAAGTGCTGGGATTACAGGCATGAGCCATCGCACCCGGCCCATGTTTTCTTACATAATTTCTACAAAAATTGTATAAGTTTAAAAATCCTCATTTTTATAAATAGGTTTGAACAAAGCACATAGCTTACCTGAGTTCACATTATGTCATTAATCAGGGGTTCAAACCAGATTTGCCTGTTTCTGCAGCCTGTCCTCCCACCTGCTCTCCTATATTGACCTGATCTGAGCTGCAGTATGCCTGTATGAATGAAGGGAAATGAGACGTTGCAGCAATTACTCACAGAGCTGAGCATGTGTATATGTATGCATACACACATCTCCTATCAGTTCTATCTCTTTGGAGAACCCTAACTAAAACGTGACTTGAAAAACACAATTTAGCAAAAATGATGCAAGAAGAAATAGAAAAGTTGAGGGCTATTATTAATATATGCACTTAAAAAATTTAATTCATAATTTACAATCTTTTCCAGAAGCAAATTGCAGGCCCAGATGATTTCACCATTATATTCTTCCTACTATTTAAGGAAGAAATAACATCAATCTTACATGAAATCTTACAGAACAATTTTAAAAAGGAAAAAGTTGAAATGCCAACTCTTTTGATAACAGTGACATAGCCTGGGCTGGGCGTGGTGGCTCATGCCTGTAATCCCAGCACTTTGGGAGGCCGAGGCGGGTGGATCACGAGGTCAAAAGATTGACACTACCCTGGCTAACATGGTGAAACCCCGTCTCTACTAAAAATACGAAAAATTAGCCGGGCGTGGTGGCTGGCGCCTGTAGTCCCAGCCACTTGGGAGGCTGAGGCAGGAGAAAGGCGTGAACCCAGGAGGCGGAGCTTGCAGTGAGCCGAGATCGCACCACTGCACTCCAGCCTGGGTGACAGAGTGAGACTCCATCAAAAAAAAAAAAAAAAAAAAAAAACCACAAGAAACATAACCTGGATACTAAAACCTAATAAGGACATTGCAATAAAAAGAAATATTACAGGTCAGTAATTCTCATGAACACAGGTGCAAAACAATACATAGAATAATAGTGAATCAAACCTAGTAATATGTAATAATACATAACCATGAAGTTGGTTTTATTCCAGGAATGCAAGATTGAGTTAAGATTAGAAAATTGATCAATGATATTATTCACATTAACAGAAGAAAAGAGAAAAAGAAAATAATCATCAACACAAATGTGCTGCAGGCAGTGGTGGTCGTGACACCCATTCTACAGCTAAAAAATTAGTGTGGGCCAGACGCGGTGGCTCACGCCTGTAATCCCAGCACTTTGGGAGGCCGAGGCGGGTGGATCATGATGTCAGGAGTTCAAGACCAGCCTGGCCAAGATGGTGAAACCCCGTCTCTACTAAAAATCCAAAAATAATTACCTGCGCATGGTGACAGGTGCCTGTAATCCCAGGTACTAGCTGAGAGGCAGAGAATTGCTTGAACTCGGGAGATGGAGGTTGCAGTGAGCTGAGATCACACCACTGCACTCCAGCCTGGGCAACAGAGCGAGACTACGTCTCAAAAAACAAAACAAAACAAAACAAAACAAAAAAGTATAAAAAACAACAACAACAACAAAACTAATGTGAAAATCACTGTCCTATGAAGTTATTAATAGCTTTGAATGACCTCATTATACTTCTTCCAACTGGCAGTTTACTTCCATTGTTAATGCTCATCTCTGTTTGATTACAGTACAACTCTGCTCACCTTTCTACCACCAGCATTCAATTGCTTTTTAAAGAATTGTAAGGAATAGAGCACGAGATCTGGAGTCTGAAGATTTAGAAAAAGTCACACAACTCTCTAAAATTGTTTCCTCATCAATGAAATAGAGGTACCAACACCTGCTTTGTTACATTGCAGGCAATGAATTGGAAAATGCTCAACTAATTATGAAGCACCTACAAATACTGTGATTGTTTTACCCTCCCAAAACTTAAATGGAGCAATTAACGGTGAAAGATATTGGGTTTCATTCAGGATACAACCCTCTTAATAAAAATACGTTTATCTATTTTACATATGGAAATTAAAAGTGCTTACCTTGCTAGATGGAAAATTGAATGAATACAAATGATCGGAATGATAACAGCTAAGTGAATGCTTTAGTTGAAAAATGATACCCCTAAGTCATCAAAGATGTCAAATCATCTCCCTCTCCAAAAAGAGTCACTCTCCACCCCACCCCCCATGCTCAGCTCTGTGAATAATTGCTGCAACGTCTCATTTCCCTTCATTCATGCAGGCATACTGCAGCTCAGATCAGGTCAATATAGTAGAGCAGATGAGAGGACAGGCTGCAGAAACAGGCAAATCTGGTTTGAACCCCTGATTAATGACATAATGTGAACTCAGGTAAGCTATGTGCTTTGTTCAAACCTATTTATAAAAATGAGGATTTTTAAACTTATACAATTTTTGTAGAAATTATGTAAGAAAACATGGGCCGGGTGCGATGGCTCATGCCTGTAATCCCAGCACTTTGGGAGACCACGGTAGGTGGATCACCTGAGGTCAGGAGTTTGAGACCAGCCTGGCCGACATGGTGAAACCCCGTCTCTACTGAAAATACAAAAATTAGTCGGGCATGGTGGTGCACTCCTGTAATCCCAGCTACTTGGGAGGCTGAGGGAGGAGAATCGCTTGAGCCTGGGAGGCAGAGGTTGCAGTGAGCCAAGATCGCACCATTGCACTCCAGCCTGGGCAACAAGGTGAGACTCCATCTCAAAAAAAAAACAAAATTATGTAAGAAAACACATGTGATAAGCTTCACAGGTGCCTGGCAAATAGCCATCATTTTGTACAAGGGTATGCATTGATCATCATCATCCTAAGTATAATTATTTCATGACAGATCCAAATTTTTACATGCGATGAAATAAGTTAGTTTAGATAAGAGAGATTTCTCTGACTCAGAGGAGTATGAAAAATTTTTGAGGCAATGATCATCAAGAGGTCCCAAATGCAGTTTATGCATTTCCAACAAAGCTGTCACAGGATATGATTTGAGCAATATTTTTTCTTGGTTTGCTAGGTCATTTATGACTAAGTGATTTTTTTTTACAAGTGCTTGGCTAGACAGGAAGTTAGAAGAATATATCTCCACCTAATTATTCCATGTCTAAATGTAATTCCCTTTAGGTAGTCTTCCAAGTGCTGATAAATTTACCAGACCACAGGCAAATGGCCCTCCGTGGTGGGCACTGTGGTTTGTCCATCCAGTGACATTCTGGACAACAACCCCTTCTGCACTCCATCTCATCCTGATGGGATAGTGCATTATCAGGCCCCTCCCGGCGCTATCATGGGCACAGGTTGCAACCTGGTCAGTCAACGACTAGGGTGTCCGGGCCGGGTGCGGTACCCCTCAATCCAGGATACCCCTTAATCCAGGCAAGTGTGACACCCAAAATCAATCACTGTCCATTTTATTTAAAATTTCTAAGTAATGGTATGAAGTTGCTTATAACATCTTCTTACTCTCTTTTTAATATCTCTAATGTCTTGAGTGATGGCTGTCTTTTCTCTGCATATTTGTAATTATTTATTTTTCTTTTTATTTTAATCAGAATTTCCAGGGTTGAATCAGTCTTATTTGTCTTTTCAAAAATGTCAGTTGTTGGCTTTTGTAATTTTTTTCTCTAATATGAAATTATTTTTACTTTATTAATTTATGTTCTTATTTTAATTGCTTTCTTCTTTCTTTTTTTTTTTTTTTTCTGAGACATAGTCTTGCTCTGCTGCCCAGGCTGGAGTGCAGTGGTATGATCACAGCTCACTGCACCCTTGACCTCCCAGGTTCAATCGATCCTCCCACCTCAGCCTCCTGTTTAGCTGGGACAACAGGCATACACCACCAGACCTAGCTAATTTTTGTATTTTTTGTAGAGACAAGGTTTCACCATGTTGCCCAGGGTGGTCTCGAACTCCTGGGCTCAAGCAATCCACTGACCTTGGCCTTCCAAAGTGCTGGGATTATAGGCATGAGCCACAGTACTTGGTTTTAAATGCTTTCTTCTTTCTAATATTTGTCAGTTTAATTTACTGTCATTTTATTTTAATTTCTTGTGATACATTCTTATATCACTAATTTTTCCACTTTCTTCTTTTATAATACATATATATACATTGATAACTTTCTCTTTAAGCATGACTTCAGCTGCATTATACAATAATTTATATTTTCATTGTCATCAGCTTAAAAATATTTCCTAACTTCTGTTATAAGTTTTTCTTTGATCCATGGGTTATATAGAATATAATTTCTTAGTCTGAAACATATGGGAGTCTTCGAAATTATCTTTTTTTTTTAGTGATGTCTAGGTTCATTTCACTGTAGTGAAACAGGTTCTAGATCATTCAATCCTTTGATATTTATTGAGTTTTTTAAATGACTCATCATATAATCAATTTTTGATAAACGTTTTACATACATTTTAAAAGAAAGTTCATTCTATAGTTATTAAGTGCAGTGTTAAGTATATGTAGAGTAGGTCAAATTTGCCAATTGTGTTGTCAGATATTTCATATCTCTGCATCTTTTTGTCTGACTCTTTTATCGTTTACCAAGAGAGAAACATTAAAATCTCCCAGTCTGTGGATTTATTTTATTTTATTTTACTTTTGGAGCTATGTTGCTAGGTGCAAGGAATTAAAAATTTTTTTCTCCCTGGAGGATCAACTCTTTTACAATCTTTAAATGTCTTTATTTCTATTAATGCTGTTCATCGAATTTGTTTGATATTAGTACAGCTATACCTGCTCTCTTTTGGTTAATGCTTATATGATACATCTTTTCCAATAATTTTACTTCAAACATCTCTGTGTACTTAAATTTTCCATATTTAAATATGCAAGCATAATATAGTTGTTTTAAAAATGTAGTCTATTAATCTTTGCCTTTTAATTTGGAGAACTTAGTAATTTATAATTATTGTAATTACTAGTTTAGCTCATTTATACTAAATGTAATTATTACCATATTTGGGTCATAGATATAAATATATCATATTACTATCTGTATTCTCTTTATTCTTTCTCTTTTCTGTTTGTTATTTTTGTTATTCTGTTGTTTTGGATTTGGGAACCTTCTGATTTTAGACACATTTTCACTTCTGCTTTACAGTCGCCTCATGCATGATTTCAATTTCTAAGAGTTTCTGGGGTTTACTGATATAAGCTAGCAATAATAAAAAGTTTTTTTTTTGTTTTGTTTTGTTTTTTTGAGACGTAGTCTCCCTCTGTCACCAGGTTGGAGTGCAGTGGTGCAATCTTGGCTTACTGAAACCTCTGCCTCCCGGGTTCAAGCGGTTCTCCTGCCTCAGCCTCCTGAGTAGTTGGGACAACAGGCACGCACCACCACGCCCGACTAATTTTTGTACTTTTAGTAGAGATGGGGTTTCACCATGTTGGCTAGGATGGTCTCGATCTCTTGACCTTGTGATCCGCCCGCCTCAGCCTCCCAAAGTGCTGGGATTACAGGCATTAGCCACAGTGCCTGGCCAAAATAAGTTTTTTTATTCAATTTCCTCTCTCTGTTAGCTAGTTATTATTACATGCTTTTATTAACCTTTTAGTGATTATTTTAGAAATTAAAATACGCATCCTTGGCATTTTAGAGACGGCTACAAATTATTCTCTTGTCTGTATTTTCTATCTTTTAATCTTTGTGTATTCAGTGAGAATATTTTATTTAAATCTCCCTTATTTTTTACTAGTATTCTCTTGTATTGGATTTATTCTGCTCTTAAACCTTTCTATTTAATTTCTTATTTTAGTTATTATATTCTCAGTACTAAAATTTTTATGTGATTTTTTTATTTTTTGAGACACAGTCTTGCTCTGTTGCCCAGGCTGGAGTGCAGCGGCACGATCTTGGCTCACTGCAACCTCCGCCTCCCATTTTTAATTCCCAAAAGAATTTGAGAGATTCTTTTGCCTCAGCCTCCCAAGTAGCTGGGACTACAGGTATGCACCACTGTGTCTGGCTAATTTTTTTTTTTTTTTTAGATGGAGTCTCGCTCTGTCTCCCAGGCAGGAATGCAGTGGCACTATCTCAGCTCACTGAAAGCTCCACCTCCTGGGTTCATGCCATTCTCCTGCCTCAGCCTCCCGAGTAGCTGGGACTACAGGCACCCACCACCATGCCTGACTAAATTTTTGTATTTTTAGTAGAGACGGGGTTTCACAGTGTTAGCCAGGATGGCCTCGATCTCCTGATCTCGTGATCCTCCCGCCTAGGCCTCTCAAAGTGCTGGGATTACAGGCGTGAGCCACCGTGCCTGGCCTTTTTTTTTTTTTTTTGTATTTTTTAGTGGAGACAGGATTTCAACATGATGGCCAGGCTGGTCTCGATCTCCTGACCTCACCTCAGGTGATCTGCCTGCCTCGGCCTCCCAAGTGCTGGGATTACAAGCATGGGCCACTGCACCTGGCCTGATTGTTTATTTAAAATAAATTTCTGTTTCCTAGTGAAACTATTGTCATCTGTTTAATTGAACACGTTAATCGCAGTTATTTAAAAATCCATATTTATTAACGTATCAATTTCTATTTATTTTTCCTTGTTTTTTAATAATTTTTATGGAATGCAAATATTAAGTATAAAAAATTTAAGAGCCATTGGATGATAGCTTCCTCTAGAAAGGATTTCATTTTCTTCTGGCAGGCAGTTATGGGAATGGTAGATCACTTTGATCCAACCAGGGATTGAGTTGATTTGAGGCTGTTTCTATCTTTGTGAGATCTGCTCTACTTCCATTTTGCCTTTACTCCTGGGGCACACTCTGGGATGTTTAGCAGGGCTAGCCTTCCCTAGCTGGCCGTGAACTCCAGTTTGTATTTTTTCAACACAACAGGGCTGCTGAAACTTTTTATTTTTGAGTCTTTGGTTGTTGCTTTCTGCTTAGCTTTTCGGTCTAGAAGAGTATTAGACTAAATCCTGTACAAGTCTTCTGTTCTTCAACATCTCCCTCTAAACCGTGGCTGTCTTGATAACTCTGACCTCCAGTCTTGTTTCCCCCGCTCTGTGAGACTACTGCAAACCCTTCGCGGTGACTTTCTGCCTGGTTTTCAGCCTCTAATTCGAGACATCTAATTGACCCACATTTCAGAGGAAAGGCACAAAGAAAGATTATTTTGCCATCATATTTTTTTTCTTGCCTTTGGCCGCTCAATCCATTGGTTACTCTCCAGTGTCTTCCGGCAGCATCTAAACAATTACCCTGATTTTACAGTGTTCCTACTGGGAAGGGTTGGTCTCATATGAGCAATACTGTAACAGAAGCGGAAATTATTTTGTTTTGATTTCATGGATATTTATTTTCTTTTGTTTTGAAACTTTTTTGTCTTTATCATTCATGTTAAAGATTTTCTTATATGTGGTAATTATTAAAGAAAAAAATATTCAGGACACTGAAGATGGCAAGTTCAGACTCTATTTAAAAGGGGACCATGGCAAAGTATGGTGAGTCACGCCTGTAATCCTAGCACTTTGGAAGGCCGAGGCAGACAGATCACCTGAGATCGGGAGTTCAAGATCAGCCTGGCCAACATGGTGAAACCCTGAGTCTACTAAAAAGACAAAAGTTAGCCAGGTGTGGTGCTGTGTGCCTGTAATCCCAGCTACTTGGGAGGCTGAGACCGGAGAATCACTTGACCCTGGGAGGTGGAGGTTGCAGTGAGCCGAGATTGCACCACTGCACTCCAGCCTGGGCAACAAAGCAAGACTCTATCTCAAAAAAAATAAAAGAAATGAACTTAATTTGTCTCATAGACATTCTTTTAAATATAGACATCCAAACTCAGACTCTCCTTATGTGAGTAGAATATTCTTATTTTAAGTAGAAGAATCTCAATTCAAATGACATGAGCATGGAGAGGGGAATTTACTAGCACACATCATTAGGAACTGCGGGATACAGCTGTATTTAGGAACTCCTGGATCTGGAACCGCAAACATGTGAGTGAGACTGGCCTTTTCTCTCAGTTCCTCTTTCCTCTGGATTATATTTATTTTTAGGCAAGGTTTCCCCACATGGTTTCTAAAATAACCACCAGCAGTGTGAGTTTACATTACACCAAAATTAACCACAGGAGAAAAAGAACATTTATTCCAAAGAACTCCGGAAGAGTTCCGGAGTCGTCTCCAGATGGCAGGGCGGGGGCCATTTGCCAGCTCCAAAACTGGTGGTTATGCCCCAGGAAGTGTCACGTGCTCCCTCCTGGGATCAGGGAGAGGTTTAGCCCCACTGAACCGTGGAAGCTCAGGGTAGGAAAAGACTGCTTCCTACTTTTTAAACATACACTACACTTCTGTAATGCATGTTCAACGTTTTCCTCCTCAAACCTTCCTGAGTCTTCAGGCTCATATGTGCTCCTTACCCATTTCCGCCTCCAAATGGTGACTACTTTGCCTTGGCTTGGTACCTCTGGACATTGTCGGTAACTGGTTGTTGGTTTGAGAGAAATTCCCTACCCAGTTTGTCTGCTCCCTAGGAGTCTATGAGCCACTCCTCTCCCTCTGAGAGCTTAAAGCGCAGTTCATTCTAATGCAGGCACGTTCTTACACATTCTCACACAACATCTGTCATCTGCTTCCTTCCTCAAATGCTCTCCTAGCTCTTGTCTGTCTACTTCTGAGAATTCTCTCTTTTCCTTTCTTCATTTAATGTTTGATTTAAAAGCACCCACAATCGTGGCTGATAGGTTTCAGAGTACATACTTACATTAAGGGAAAGTGACGTCGTATTTTAAAAATATTCGACATACTAGAGTCATTCTTTACGGTTTTCAAGTCCTCTTCAGAATCTTCACAAATATTCTTCCTTTATCGAAGACATTTTCTAATTTGATAGTTTTTAACTGATTATTGCATTATAGACGCTTTCATGGTAAATTTCCCTTTAGTTTTGTTGAATTGTGGGTATTTCAAAAGTATTGCAAAATTGTTGCAGCTACATTATAGTCTCAAAGTTCATGGACTGAACTGTAAAACTACCAATGGTTTATAATAATTCGTCTCTGCAAAGATGCATTTTTCTCTCTTTCTGCTAAACCTGCCATACCTCAAAAAATAAAAATTATAAGCATAATTTTTATTTTCTGAGACAATTGAAAAAATTTATTTATGCGTGGCCAACATGGTGAAATCCCATCTCTAGTAAAATACAAAATTAGCTGGGCGTGGTGGCGGATGCCTTTAGTCCCAGCTACTTGGGAAGCTGAGGCACGAGAATCGCTTGAACCCGGGAGGGAGAAGTTGCAGTGAGCCGTGATCGCGCCACTGCACCCCAGCCTGGGCAACAGAGTGAGACTTTGTATCAAGAAAAATTATTTATTAAGACTCTTATAAAAGCCCTGTGTTATGTGCTGGACTGGCGGCTGTAGAGTTGAAGGTCAGGTGTGGGTGGAGAGAGGGTTAGATTGTAAAAATGAAAAGGATATTGTCCCTGCCCTTTGGGAATGTATCATCCCGTAGAGAAATGAAAGTTTCAGATTCGCACTCAGAAAAGGCCTGTGGAGCTGGAATAAAACCTGCATCTCAGGCCCCTGTGCTCCAAGCTCCTCGCTGTGTCCTGTGTGACCATTAATAGCAAAAGTGTTGCTAATCATCAGTCTAAGTTCAGAGACTGCATTTGTGGTTTTGAAAGCCTGATGTGTTTGTACTTCTTTGCGTCTGTACAAGAAACTACGACTCAGTGTTGCTTCTAGAATTTCCATCTTTGAAGCCATGGCGTAAGCCCAATGTCTCACTACTCTGTAAACCAAAAAGGCCCCTAGATGCTTTACAAAGGGGATGGTGAATTTTTCACGTGGGAGGAGTGTTCTCTTGCTCTCTGGGCTTCACTTCTCTGCCTGGGGCAGATGCATTCCTCTCTGCGCTCTGCAATTGATAATTTCCTTTGCCTTCCGGTTGCATCTTCCACATTCTCCCGTTGCTCTGAAAAGCCTTCACTCAAATTAATTTCAGGAGTGTGCAGGCAAGAACAAGCCTTAGCTCAAATGCCCATGAGTCTGAAATACTTCTCATTTTATTCTGCTTTGACTTGTGCTGTGGAAAAATTCCAAAAGCTGATGATGTCGATGAAGATCTTGACCAATGGAAACACACAGGAGGGTGGTGGTGGGGAAATTAGGGAGAATGGAATTACCAAAGCAAGTGGGGCCGGCAGAGACTGAGACTGCAGAGGCTGGGTCGTCCTGAAGCACTTGGCCTCTCCACCGCCTGCAGTGCCACGGTAACGCTGGCACACAGGCTTTCTGGAAATTTCAGGGAATAGCGCACGGAGAGCACTGGAGGCGCCACGTGGAGGCGCCATGTCATTCTCAGTTAGTGTTAGGCCTGTGCTTATTGATTGGTGGGTTGTAACACAGTTAATTAGTTGCTGAGGCATGCGGTTGTCAACTCCTGTTAAATGATTTTATATCCAATATACGGAGATCTAAATCTACTCATTGGATTCAAGATGTAATACTGTAATTAATTACCAATATTAAATTAAGGCTTTATGCCATAGTATGGATTGCCATACATTTTTCAAAGTTTTTAATTTTTTTCCAGTAGAATGTATAGAAATGTCTACAGCTTTTTTGAGGTGCATTTATGTCTTTATGTCAGGGTTTGAAAAGTTGATTGATTTTTATAAAACATGAAATTAAAAAATTGTGTAACTAACTGTGCCCTTGAGTAGGTTTTTGAGGAACACAGACTATTTTCAACCAACCCGAGAATTAGTATTCTAAAACAGTAATAGGCCATGCGCGGTGGCTCACGCATATAATCCTAGCATTTTGGGAGGCGGAGGGAGGCGGATCGCTTGAGTTCAGGAGTTCAAGAACAGCCTGGGCAACATGGCAAAACCCCATCTCTGCTAAAAATATAAACATTAGCCAAGCATGGTGGCATAGGTCTGTAATACCAGCTACTCGGGAGGCTATGGTACGAGAATCGCTTGAACCTGGGACGCGGATGTTGCAGTGAGCCCAGATCACGCCACCCCACTGCAGCTTGGTGACAGAGATGAGGCTGTCTCAAAATAATAATAATTAATAATAATAAAACAGTAATAAAAAAGCATTATTCATTTTCAGAAGGTAAAGCATCCTTAATACCATTTCCCAAAGAAATTACTTTTTGTTTGAAATCTGCAAAAGAAGTCAAAGAGGGAGAGCAAGCACTAAAGCCAAGGGAGGCCTTTGGAGACTCTCAGTCCAGGCACACAGGAGGGGTCCGCAGCACGGGAGCATCACGGTGTCCTGGTTCCTACCTGGGGAGTGGGCAGTGGGACGTGAGGACAAGAAGGAAGATGCAGGGCTCTGTTTTTCTGTGTCTGCGATCTTCATCAGGGCCTGACCATCCTTGCCTTGAGCTATTGAAAATGACTCTTCAGGCTGGGTGCGGTGGCTTACACCTGTAATCCCAGCACTTTGGGAGGCCGAGGCAGGTGGATCACCTGAGGTCAGGAGTTCGAGAGCAACCTCGCCAAATGGCAAAACCCTGTCTCTACTAAAAATACAAAAATTAGCCAGGCATGGTGGTGGGCACCTGTAGTCCCAGCTACTCAGGAGGCTGAGGCAGGGGAATCGCTTGAACCTAGGAGGTGGAGGTTGCAATGAGCTGGGATCATGCCACTGCACTGCAGCCTGGGTGACAAGAGTGAAACTCCATCTCAAAAAAAAAAAATGCCTCTTCACTATCAGGTCATTACTTTTTGCTCCTGATTATAATTCCACCTGTTCAAGGAATTGCCTTTCTAAATGGCAGGTGTGATGTGGTCGCCACAGGGACCGTTCTGCAGGGACTGCCGTCACTACAGCCATTGATGGCTGTCTGACGTTGTACATGCTTTCTTCTGCACCACGTTGATGTGTGTCACTTTTATTTGATTTCATTTCATTCATTTATTTATCTATTTTGAGATGGAGTTTTGCCCTGTTGCCAGGCTGGAGTGCTGTGGTGCAATCTCGGCTCACTGCAACCTCCACTCCCAGGTTCAAGCAATTCTCCTGCCTCAGTCTCCGGAGTAGCTGGGACTACAGGTGCCCACCACCATGCCGAGGTAATTTTTGTATTTTTAGTAGAGATGAGGTTTCACCATCTTGGCCCGGATGGTCTCGATCTCCTGACCTCATGATCCGCCCGCCTCGGCCTCCCAAAGCGCTGGGATTACTGGTGTGAGCCACCGCACCCGGCCCATGGGCGTCTCTTTTAATCTGAAAGCTCCTTTGATGAGGAGAGAGATCTGATCGCACCAATCTCTTGCTTTGAGAGTTTTAAGGGATCATCTCCTTAGAGATTAAGGGCACATGTGCCTGTGTGGCATTCCAGACCTCTCCTAATGTCTACTGACACCTTCTCTTAGCCTCACAGCTCACCTTCCCAAACCTCACCCCCAGGCTGAGCTGTGTTAGGCACCGGGCCACATTTAGTGCATGTGGCCTTCTTTACCCCTCCCAGTCATTGCTAAGTGGGTCTTTCTGTTTGCAATGCATTCTCCACTCTCTCCTACATAATGCTCTCCTTCACTCTTTGGCACCCAAAACCTCCTTTCTGACGGTTTTTCTTTTTTTTGACCACTGATCTCCCAGAATGCTTCCCGGTGTTTCCCTATGCTCCGGTGGAATTTTGTTTATCACTATTCTATTTCTCATTACGGTGTAGTCACTTGTTGTGTTTATGTGTTCAGTTCTTCGGGAGGACTATGAGGGTGAGAAACATGTCTTCACTTGGCAATGTCATAGGGCAGAGAATTCAACACTTGTCGATTCTACCTTCATAATTTGTGAGCGTTACAATCTTGTACAAAACCTGGAATAGTTTCAGTTTCCTTATTCAACTTGTGTGGTCTCAAATTAGAGTTTAACATAACTACCTCATTTGACCCACAAGAAGAGCTTGAAGATATTAATGGGATGAATGAATGAGAACACGGTGATGAAGATTTGTGGGGAGGGATTTGCATCATGTACCTTTTGAGAGGCTGTGGAGATAGGGCTAGTGACTCATAGGACCAAGTGGAATTGTGAGTTCCCACGCTTCCCTCTGCACTGCTTCCAGACCTCCAGGAACCAGAGATGTCGCCTGCGATGCTGGTTGCAACTCTTTAGGTGCAGGTGCAGAAAACCCAACTCAGACTTGCTAAAGGGAAGAAAACAAGAAGTGCTGGAACTCAGAGTTCCTTGCAGTAGTAACAGTCAAGCCCCATTGCTCAAACAATTCCCGAGAACCTTCTTTGTCCTTCCTTCTATGTCAGCTCTCTGTCTCTGGAGATGTGCTTCCTTCTCAGGTTCCATGTAGAGCCCCTGGCAGCTCATGGCTTTAAAGCTTGCAGGTTCAGGAAAGGGAGCATCTCTTTTCCGGAATCTCCAGGAATCCCAGGAATGAGTCTTATTGGCCTAATTATGGTCAACTGGCTGTCCCTGAATGGCCACTGTGTCTGGGGGAAAGTACGCATATTGGTCAAGCTGGGAATATGGGACCATCCCTGGACACTGAGGGGTGAGTGGGGCCATACTCCTTAAGCCACAGAAAGGAAGACTCGGGTAGGAGAATGTGACAGTTAATCTTATGTGTTAACTCAACTGGGCTAATGGATGCCCAGATAACTGGCAAACCATTGCTTCTGAGTGTGTCTGTTAGGGTATTTCCATGAGAGAGTAGCATTCGAATCAGTAGATGGAGTGAAGAAGGCCCACCCTCATCAGTGTGGGCCTCATCCAATCTGTTGAGGGTTTAAAAGTAGAAGGGAGAATTTACTCTCTCTATCTGAAATGGGACATCCATCTTCTCCTGCTCTTGGATGTTGGAGCTCCTGATTTCTGGGCCTTCGGACTCTGGGACTCACAGCCTTGGCTCCTCCAGGCCTCAGGCCTTTGGACTTGGACTGAATTACACCACTGGCTCTCCCGGGTCTCCTCCAGCTTGCAGCTGGCAGATCACAGGGCTTCAAAGCCTCCAGAATCATGTGAGCCAGTTCTCATAATAAATTGCCTCCTCTATATCCATATGGGCTCTTTTTCTCTGGAGAACTCTAGTGGGGGAGGCATAATATAAAAGGAATAATCACAAAAGGCAGTAAGTCAGGGGCACAAAGGAGATGTCAGCTTGCAGACTAGACGCAAGCATGTGAAGGGTGGCTATAGACATAGTTGCAAAGCTGGGTATGGTGGCTCACGCCTGTAATCCCAGCACTTTGGGAGGCCATCACGGGTGGATCACTTGAGGTCAGGAGTTCATGACCAGCCTGGCCAACATGGTGAAACCCCATCTCTACTAAAAATACAAAAGTTAGCTGGGTGTGGTGATGGGCACCTGTAATCCCAGCTATTCAGGAGGCTGAGGCAGGAGAATCGCTTCAACCCAGGAGGCGGAGGTTGCCGTGAGCCAAGATCGTGCCATTGCACTCCAGGCTGGGTGACAAGAGCAAGACTCCATCTCAAAAATAAAAATAAAATAAAAAAAGAAACAGTGGCAAATGATGTGGAAATAGGTAGAAAGAGAAAATATGATGTTCTGCAACCATTACCAGGATAAATTTCAACCGCCCCAAAACAAAAGACAAAAACCAAAAAAGCAGCTATTGTAACACTTAAGCATTTTAGTTAGAAATACACTTTGCATGAACAGTCAGAATCAGCAAGAATGTTAGCCTTAAAGGGGCACTTTTGGAGTGGGAGGGATGTAGTCCCAAAGGAGAAAGGAAGGAAGATCATTCTGATTAAACGCCCTGCTGCTGCTGTCAGGAATGCGTTATTACTAAAACCTTGAGCATCTCCGATAAGTGAGCTCCACGACCTGCCTTGTGTATCAATGGTAACCTCTTTGTTTGAAATCATAACACATGTTGCCCTGGATGGTTATAATAATGGAGTTTAAACTGGTGGATACAGATGCTATAATTTTCACTAGGTTGTTATCCTTGTGTGGAAATTTATAGAATCCATTAAAGACACATTTCAGGGTCTACGCAGGAAGGTGGAGAAGTCTGCAGAGGCTCAGATTTATCTTGGCTCTCACACCAGTTTCTCCCCACTTCAATCCAGGTTTTGCACTGCTGAGAGAGCCGTCTTTCTCAAACCCTAATCTGATCACGTTTCTTTCCTGCTTAAAATCTCCTGATGGCTCTCAATTGCCATTAGACTTAGGCAAAGTCCAGAATCCTGAGTGAGACTGTCAAAGCTTTCTTCTTTTTTTTTTTTTTTTGGCCACATTTTCTCTGTGCCCTCCACTGTAGCCACTGCTATAGACACAAAGCCACTTTCTGTTTCCCACAATGCCCAGCTCCTGTGGGCCTCTGGGCTTTGCTCTGGCTCTTCCTCCAGCCTGGAAGGTCTTTCCTCATCTTTTCTCTCTATGGCTAACCTTAGTGCACTCGGAGACCCTCACTCCATTAAGCCTCCTAGGACAGCCACGGCAGAATTCATTCGTTCCCCACTCCTGCTGCGAGGATCACCAGACTCACCCTGAAGGAGTTGGTCACATCCCTGGCAAATGCGAGCCCTTTACAGTATCGTTTTTTGGTCTTTTGCCTGCACCATAACTAGCACCTACTAAGCACTCAATGCACATTGTGGAATCAATAAACTTCAACAAGATTAACAATGCAAAATACTTTATAGGCCGGTTGCGGTGGCACACACCTGTAATCCCAGCACTTTGGGAGGCCGAGGCAGATGGATCACCTGAGGTCAGGGGTTCAAGACCAACCTGACCAATATGGTGAAACCCCACCTCTACTAAAAATACAAAAATTAGCTGGGCATGGTGGTGTGTGCCTGTAGTCCCACCTACTTGGGTGGCTGAGAGGGGAGAATCGCTTGGACCTGGGAGGCAGAAGTTGCAGAGAGCCGAGATCGTGCTACTGTACTCCAGATTGGATAAGAGAGACAGACTCCTTCTCAGAAAACAAACAAAAAATAACAATAACAAAAACCCCAAATACTTTACAAATTGTCTGGATTTCAAATGGTTGTTTCAAAACTGTTTGGAACATGAAACTAGTTTCTATAGAAACATGCATGTGTGGGGTTGTTCTAGAGCCTGAGGTTCACCCATCAAAGCCAGATTAATTTAAGGAAGGACAGAGCTACTGAGTGTCCACCCGTGTAAAGCGCCTGGGTCACAGTGTGGTCTCAGTGACAGAGAGCCTGCCCTCCTGTGCACTAAGATGTTGACATGCGACCCAGCTCCTGATGCCTGGAATTGGTTCCAGTGGGTGTGCTGTGGTGGAGGGCCGCTGGTCTGTGGTCCACAGCAGGCAGGGATGGGACATGGGAGGGGCTCCTCATGTCACATGGAGTCAGGCCCCTGATGAGAGGCACTGGGGAAGGGTGAAGAGCCCTGCAGGATGATGCTTACTTCCCTGCTCTCTCCCTCAGCTCGATCTCCTGACCATGGTGGGGTGGGTGGCATTGCCAGGAAGGAATGGAGGTGGCCATGAGCAGGGGAGCTGAGGAATGGATGAATGGATGGATGAATGTATGTATGTGTGTATGTATGTATGTATGTATGGATGTATGGATGGATGGATGGATGAATGGATGAATGGATGGATGAATGAATGGATGGATGAATGGACGGATGGATGGGTGGATGAATGGATGGATGAATGTATGTATGTATGGATGGATGAATGGATGGATGAATGGGTGGATGGATGGATGGATGGATGACTGGATGGATGAATGGATGGATGGGTGGATGGATGGGTGGATGGATGAATGGATGGATGAATGGATGGATGGATGAATGGATGGATGAAGAGATGGTCCTTTTCAGGTCCCTATCCCTGACCCCTCTCCACCTCTGTCACTGCCAGTGGGGCCTGTAGATGGCAGGAGAGTCTTTTCCTTTTCTCACCTTCCTCTTTCTTCCCTATTCTCTATCACTCAGCCCATATGTCTGATGGTGACCAGCACGAGGTGAGGGACTGAGAGAAGGTGAGCAGTGGGTCAGAGTGGAAACAGCTCTTCAGTGGGGAGAGAGGGTGAGGCAGGCTCCAGGCCAAATGGCAAATCAACTCTCTGGATAATAAAGCGGAGATCTTAAGGCTTTGGGCTCTCATCTAAGACGTCTGTGCTCTAATCCTGATTTCACCAGCTGAGGAAACTTGGGCAAATTATTTCAATTTTCTGTCCTCAGTATTCGTGTCTAAATGGTAAGGATACTGATAGTACCCCCTCCCCAACTAAGGTGGTTGTGATATTGACGGTTCAGATAGCCTGGAGCTGAGAGCTAGGAGTTCTGGACATCTCTCTGTCTCTCTCTCTCTCATCTCTCTCATCTCTCTCTTACTCTCTCTTACTCTCTCTGCCTTCCTCTCTCCCTTTCTCCCTATGTCTCTACATCTCTTTCTCCCTCCCTCCTTCTGTCTTTTTGATTCTCTCTTTTTCTTCCTCTCCTTCTCTCCCTTCCTTTCTTTCCTCTGTCCCTCTCCCTCCATCTTTCTCTCCATCTTTCTTTCATCTCTCTTTCCCTTTTGTCTCTTTGCTTTTTTCTCTTTCTGTCTCTTTCTGTTCCTCTACACTAAGCTTGTCTAAATCGTGGCCCAGGACGGCTTTGAATGAGGCCCGATATAAACTTTTAAACGTTCTTAAAACATTATGGAAGCTCTTTGTCATTTTTAAATTTAGCTCATCAGCTATACTGTTAGTGCATTTTATGTGTGGCTCAAGACAATTCTTCTTCCAATGTGGTCCAGGGAAGCCAGAAGATTGGACACACCTGTGTGAATCTATGCACTCCCGCGATAACATTTCAATCCACACATCTGCTTTTCTCTCTTTGGTTTGCAGGCTCTTTGAAGACAGGCACCGTGTTTGTCTTTGTGCTTGTGTTTTGTTTCATTCATTCCTGTGTCCCAGTGTCTAGCACCAGGCCTGGCACATGCCAGGCAATGAATGTTTGCTGAGTCAATGGCTGAATAAATGTATGAATGCATTCAGTCAAGTTATAAGTAACTTAAACTGTGCTTGAGAGGCTGAGGTAGGTGCAAGTAGGAGGCTGTGCCCTGTTCCAGCAGATTGTGGTAGAAAACCAGACATTGGGGACCCTTAGTGCTGCTATACTTGGGGGGGCCTTGTAGGGTTTGATTTTGGAATTACTGAATTTGTTAGAAGAGACTGTTGTGCTGGAGAAGGAGCTGGCTGCTGAGCTCTAGGGAGTAGACATAACGAGGGCAGAGTTCAGCTGTGAGGGCTGTAGGTAAGAATCTGGGGTGACAGACGGGGGAGGAGTGCAGGATAAGATTTTGAACCGGGGGAGGATGCCAAGAGCCAGCAAGTGTCACCCCGAGACTCACTCAGAAGGGAAGAGTGGAGTGTGGGAGACCCAGCAAGGAATGTCAGCAAGCAAATTGGTCCTGGGGTGGACTCTGAGTACAGTCTTTTTTTTTCTTTTTCTTTTTTTTTTTTTTTGAGACAGAGTCTCACTCTGTCACCCAGGCTGGAGTGCAGTGGCACGATCTCGGCTCACTGCAAGCTCCACTTCCGGGGTTCAAGTGATTCTCCTGCCTCAGCCTCCTGAGTAGCTGGGATTACAGGTGCTTGCCACACTCCTATTTTTTTTTTTTTTTTTTGTATTTTTTAGTGGAGACGTGGTTTCACCATGTTAGTCAGGCTGGTCTCGAACTCCTGACCTGATGATCCACCCGCCTCAGCCTCCCAAAGTGCTGGGATTACAGGCTTGAGCCACCGCGCCCGGCCTAGAACAGTCTTATTATTATTACTTTTTTTTTTTTTTTTGTGACAAGGTCTTGCTCTGTTGCTCAGGCTGGAGTGCAGTGGCATGATCATGATTCACTGCAGCCTTGACCTCCTGGGCTCAAGCAGTCCTCCTGCTTTAGCCTCCTGAGTAGCAGAGATCACAGGTACGAGCCACCATGCCAAGCGAATTTGTTGTATTTTTTTGTAGAGATGGGGTTTCGCCACGTTGTCCAGGCTGGTCTCGAACTCCTGGGCTTAAGTGATCCTCTGGTCTTGGCCTTCCAAAGTACACGAGCCCATCCTTAGAGCTGTATTTTGATGTAACTTGTAATGCACTGAATGATTGTGTCCCACAGATTCACATCTCTCTCCAGGTGATGGTAGTAAGAAGAGGGGCCTTTGGGAGCTGACGAGGTCGTGAGAGTGGAGCAACTATGGATAGGGTTAGTGCCTCAGAGAGCTCAAAACAGGCCTCAGAGAGCTCTCCCTTTTCCTTGTACCCTGTGGAGCTACTGTGAAAAGTTGGCTACCTGCAACCCCTGGAAGAAGCCCTGGAAAGAGGGCCTTCACCAGAACCCAGCCATGCTAGCGCCCTGATTTTGGCACTGCAGTCTCCAGATTGGTGAGCAAATTTCTGTTGCTGACAAGCCACCCAGCGGATGGTGTTTTGCTGTAGTGGCCTGAGCTGACTGGGACAGTTGTCTGGCTCACTTGCTTGCAAAGTGGTTGGAGCCCACTGGTGTCTGCACTGTTTTGGGATGTTAAAGATTTTACGTGGGGAAAAAAGAGCTCTGAGTAAAGTACCCATCAGATTTACCCCTACTTGATAGGTGATTTTGCCTAGAAACTGAACCTGTCAGGGTCCCAGTCACTTGATCAGTATAAAGGAAAAAAATCAAGGCTTCTCATCCTCTTCACACTTTCAAGTCTTAGGATATCTGTGGGATTCTGGATGCCATTAAAAAGTAAACACGAGACTAAAACTAAAAGTGGCCGGGCACAGTGGCTCACGCCTGTAATCCCAGCACTTTGGGAGGCCAAGGCAGGTGGATCACCTGAGGTCGGGAGTTCGAGACCAGCCTGACCAACATGGAGAAACCCCGTCTCTACTAAAAATACAAAATTCGCGAGGCGTGGTGGCACATGCCTGTAATCCCAGCTACTCAGGAGGCTGAGGCAAGAGAATCGCTTGAACCCGGGAGGTGGGGGTTGCAGTGAGCCGAGATCGCACCATTGCAGTCCAGCCTGGATGACAAGAGCTAAACTCTGTCTAAAAAAAAATAAAATAGGGCTGGGCACAGTGGCTCACGCCTGTAATCCCAGTAGTTTGGGAGGCCGAGGTGGGTGGATCACCTGAGGTAGGGAGTTCGAGACCAGCCTGACCAATATGGAGAAACCCCATCTCTACTAAAAATACAAAATTAGCCAGCGTGGTGGCACATGCCTGTAATCCCAGCTGCTCAGGAGGCTGAGGCAGGAGAATCGCTTGAACCCAGAAGGCAGAGATTGCAGTAAGCTGAGATCATGCCTTTGCACTCTAGCCTCAGTAACAAGAGGGAAATTCTGTCTCAAAAATGATAACAATAATAATAATAATTTAAAAATAAATAAAACTAAAAGCAAGTTTTAGAATCCTCTAGAAACTGTATAGTTACCAAGTGGCTGCCTGTTGGTCCCTCTGCCTGCTGTCCTGATGTATTTCACATGCACAGAGGCAGGGCTCCTTCCTGGTCCACCAGCTACTCCACTGGCCTCTGCTTGGCATTACTCTGTGCTCTTCCTGGAGATGAATGTGTTGCACTTTGGAGGAGGAGCACAGACGGAGAGACACAGGAACTGCGGCTCCATCTTCCTTCTGACAGACATCGCGGTGCACTATTTGTCCTTAGTCTTAGCAAAAATGGCTTTCAACCTTTGGTGGAAGTGTGGGGGTGTACACTGTGACAAGCATGAGGCACTCAGGCTATGGCGACTTGGAGGGTGGGAGCTCCTGGCTCGGAAGACCTCCAAGGCACATTTTAGCTTATGAGCTGCTTAAAAGGCAAATCTTCAACAGTAACTTTTCTATTAGTGGAATCTGTAGTGGATTCCTATTAAAAAATGGGAAACTTTTATTATGGCCAACTGTGATGACAACGCATGAAATTTGCATAGGGAAGCATTACATGCAAAATGCTTCAGGAAGCTGGTATAGGTTGAGTATCCTTAATCCAAAAATCCTAAATCCGAGATGCTCCAAAATCCAAAATGTGAGTTCCAGCATGGAAGTTGAAGCCTGCCATGTTGTTGCTGCTGTTTAACAGTGAATGCGGGTGTTCTGGTGAGGCTACCGTGCTGTTTAGTGACCCTCAACACTTCATTTCTTCACTGTATTAATGGTATGTCACCTTTTATGGTTAACTACTTATGTGTGAATAAGTATAAGGAAATGATTGCTTATTGGTCATACAAACTCAGAGTCAGGAATGATGTGAGGCTACATGACGCTTGTGAAGTTTGTATACATTGTATACATTGTACATGTCATCTCCTGCATGGAATTGTTAAAAATATTGAATAAAGCTATCTTTAGGCCATGTGTATAAGGCATACATGAGACATAAATGAATTTTGTGTTTATACTAGGGTCCCATCCCCAATATCTTTCATTATGTCTAAGTATACAAATATTCCAAAATCCAGAAATATCTGATATCTGAAATGCTTCTGGTCTCAAGCATTTTGGATAAGGGATAGTCAACCTATACTAACTTTTTCTGGGGGGGACATTCTGGCTCTGTCGCCCAGGCTGGAGTGCAGTGGCATGATCTTGGCTCACTGCAACCTCTGCCTCCCAGGTTCAAGAAATTCTCCTCCCTCAGCCTCCTGAGTAGCTGGGTTTACAGGCATGTGCCATCATGCCTGGCTAATTTTTGTATTTTTAGTAGAGACGGGGTTTCACCATGTTGGCCAGACTGGTCTCGAACTCCTGACCTCAGGTGATCTGCCCGCCTCAGCCTACCAAAGTGTTGGATTACAGACATGAGCCACTGCACCCTGCCCTGTACCAACTTTCAATCCTCCACGTAATGCATGAGACAGGACATCTCTAGACTCATACTTTGAATAGGTTGAGTACTCAAAAAATTTGAGACCATTTGGACAATGGGGAGCATCTATTGGTTTGCACAGGTAAAGATACATGAAATCAAAACATAGGTAGTTGTGAAAATTAGTTGATGACAGGAGGGGACGGCCACCTGCCTTTGCAGATGGTAGTGATCATAATAAAGGACTTCATTTTTTTTTTTTTTTTTTTTTTACTCATCCATGTTTCTGTTTATATATAGGATAACAAAGTCAGGAACAATGGGAAAGTAATATATGAAACCTTAATAGGAAATATAATAGAGATTACAAAACACCACCATTTGATTTTTTATGCAAATACTTCAATATTCCAATATTTTTACTCACTTGCTAAATAAAGCACATGACTCGAAATGCTAAATAATTCTGTTAGTCTAAATCTTTTAAAGAAAAAAATGTTGGTGAAAAACCAAAATTGTTTAGTAAAGTATGTACGACCTTGTTTATTATCTACCGTAGACATCAAGATGATCATAGTTAATACCAATTTAAGCTTTATAGAATACTGTTTTAGGCCCAATATATAATAAGGGACTTCAAAGTGCCAGGTGGAAATTTAGTCTTGCGAATGACATTGACAATGATAGAAGGGTCCACCTAGTGATTCTCTGTGCATTGAACATACTGCTTTTCATTCCATTAAAATGTTCAACTTACTTGCAACCTAAAAAAATGAAAAGTTTTCATGATTCTTTTATTTTTTTTAGTCAATAACCTCGTTCATTCTTGTGGCCTTCAGAAGGAAAGCCCTGAGGCCATTTAGATAGAGTTAGAGACGTCCATTAGTACCATGGCAAGGAAGCATTAACGAGCTCTGTGAGTCTGGGCAAGTTACTCAACCTGTGTCTGCAGCCTCAGGCCTTAAGGGATCATAATAGTACCTAAATCACAGGCTTGACATGAGGGTTGAGTTAATTAAAATATGTTACATTTTTAGAGCGGTACTTGGCACATGGTAAGCACTAATAAGTGTTAGAAACGATCATTCCAGACTTCTGAGAAAGAAGTTCTCTTTCACCTGTTAGCCAGTGACAATGTAAGAACATTAAACTTCCAAAGCCTCAGGTTTCACCTGTGTAAATGGGCAATAACAGTAATTCTCCCAGAAGATTACATAGGATTATACTTGTTTGTAGAATACTTGGTGTGGGCTGGGCGCAGTGGCTCATGCCTGTAATCCTTGCACTTTGGGAGGCCGAGGTGGGTGGATCACCTGAGGTCAGGAGTTCGAGACCAGCCTGGCCAACGTGAGGCAACCCAGTCTCTACTAAAAATACGAAAAATTAACTGGGCATGGTGGCGCACGCCTGTAATCCCAGCTACTGTAATCCCAGGCAGGAGAATCACTTGAACCCTGGAGGTGGAGGTTGCAGTAAGCCGAGATCACGCCACTGCAATCCAGCCTGAGCAACAAGAGCAAAACTGTCTCAAAAACAAACAAACAAACAAACAAACAAACAAACAAACAGAAGAATACTTGGTGTGACCAGAAAGAGGCATGGTTGGTGTTATAGGTATTTCTATTATGGACTTAGAAATGGAGATAAGGCAACTTTTCTCCTACTATGAAGACTATTTAACAAGCATTTTAAAAATGATAGCTGTGTCTACCTAGGAAAGGAATGAACAGCCATTGTAGAAAAGTTGGAAAACACATTAAAAGGTTAAATGGGCTGTGCACGGTGGCTCACGCCTGTAATCCCAGCACTTTGGGAGGCAGAAGCAGGTGGATCATTTGAGGTCAGGAGTACGAGACCAGCCTACCCAACATGGGGAAACCCTGTCTCTACTAAAAATACAAAAAATAGCCGAGTGTGGTGGCACGCACCTGTAATCCCAGCTACTTGGGAGGCTGAGGCAGGAGAATCACTTGAGCCTGGGAGGTGGAGGTTGCGGTGAGCTGAGATTGCGCCACTGCACTCCGGTCTGGGTGACAGAGTGAGACCCTGTGACAAAAAAAAAAAAAGTTAAACATTACTTGCTAATTCCAACCCTGAGGTATGTGCTGCTAATATTGTATCATCTGTCTTTTGTCATATAAATGTGTATGTGTATGTATCTGTCACTCTATCCACATCTAGAAAGACGTGAAGCTCCAGATGTACATAAAATAAACAGCCAATCCACTCCCTCAAGGCCTGGCATTGTCCTGGGAGACAAGGGCTGGCAATATCAGGTAGCAAAAGAACAGGGGAAAGGTGTCTACCACTTGTTAAGTAAGGTGAGTTGTTTTTTTCTTTTTTAGATGGAGTCTTGCTCTGTTGCCTAGGCTGGAGTGCAGTGATGCCATTTCGGCTCACTGCAGCCTCTGCCTCCCAGGTTCAAGTGATTCTCTTGCCTCATCCTCCCAAGTAGCTGGGATTACAGGCACCCACCACAACACCTGGATAATTTTTCTATTTTTAGTAGAGACAGGGTTTCACCATGTTGGCCAGGCTGGTCGTGGACTCCTGACCTCAGGTGATCCACCCGCCTAGGCCTCCCAAAGTGCTGGGATTACAGGCTTGAGCCACCACGCCTGGCCAAGTGAAGTGAACTTTACAAAGAAGAAGCAGAAAGCAGAGGAGAGATGAAGACCCGTAAGTTAGAGAAGGTGGGGCCAGGGGCTTTCAGTGGATCCCCAAGGCCCACATCCCCTTTCTTTCTTTTAGTACAGTAGTGGAGCCCTCTTTAGGGGACAAGTCAGCCTGGTTTGTCCTGGTCTGTGGGGCCTCCTGGGACATGGAACTTCAGGTGCTGACACCTGAGGACAAGTCTGGCTAGCCCACATCCTGGAAGATGGATATGAGCAGAGGTGATGTGTACAAATTCCTGATCACCTCCTTTAGAAGGAAGGACACCTGCCCTTTATTCTCTTTGTTCCAGATTCTAGGAAGCGGCTATGGTGCTGGGCGTGGGGGCAGCCTCACCAGGAGTGCCAGTGGATGATTGCAGTGATGGCAGAGGACAGCGCTGGGCATTGGGCAGGTTGAACCACGACCATAAACAGTGTCAGCAAACCAGGGGTGCTAGAATGAGCAGACGGCCAACCTATTGTGCAGTCCACCTCCTGTCCACATTCACCCATGTGCAGGGACAGGGGGCTCTGCAGCCAGCTGGGGGCATTAGCCACATGAGCAGGTGGCACCTGCCCCGTGCCTTCTCTAGGTGAGGGGGTCATGCGAGGCCCACCTGGCTCTTTCATGGGATTCCCGAATCCACATTTTATAAGGAGCTAGGGAGGTGGCTGTTTTCAGAGGCAAGCCTTCCCATTGCATAATGTTTTCTTTTTTATGAACCTCCTGTCCTTGACAGCCTTGACTTCACTGGCCATCAGCCCAGTAGCCGGCTGGGCTCACAGGTGAGCAGCTGTCATTCCAGCTTCCTGCATGGGTGAAGCCCACGCCCCTAGGAGGTCAAACAACAAAATGAGAACAAATGAGCCCTCGGTGGCCTAGACCAGCCACTGACCTCGGTATAACAGTAAGCAGAGAAATAATCTCTGTATTTTTGACCACAGTATTTGTGGACCTCTTTTTTTGTAGAAGCTTAGCCTGTATCCTGCACACTGTCAGATCCTCCGTGGGGTCAGTGGCCTTTGACCTTGAGAAGAGAACAGGGGGCGGCGTGGGGGGTAATCAGTGCAGAAAGAATTTTTCTGGTGGCAAGAGAGTTTATTAAAAAATACCA
Source organism: Homo sapiens (assembly GCF_000001405.40). NCBI lineage: Eukaryota > Metazoa > Chordata > Mammalia > Primates > Hominidae > Homo > Homo sapiens. The sequence continues at coordinate 6,274,551 of NC_000008.11, read as the reverse complement.
AAGTTACCTTCATGGGACTCCTCATAACTTCAAATACTTAGGAACCTTCTATGCTCACAGTAGAACACAAATGGCTTTGAGAAATTCCTTTCAATGATGGTTCCAGTTGCTTCATTCTTTCCCAAGGGGGTAAGTGACCTTATTAGTTTGTGAGGAAAAATATACCTCCAGGATATTACCTTACTCTGAGATCTGCTTTTGTGTCTGGTAATTGAAGAAGTCACAGCACGCACCAGAATGATGAAGGTTTGTGTAGGAAGGAGGTTTTTTTTTTTTTTTTTTTTTAAAGTATTGGGCTCTTGTATGGTGCTATTGAAGTAACATTCTGTGCTGATTTCTTAGCAGAAATCTCCAAAGGAAAAACAACCACTCCTTTGTCAACTTCCTTCTCCCCCTCCTCCTCCTCTTCTTCTTCTTCTTCTTATTATTATTATTTTGAGACGGAGTCTTGCTTTGTCACCAGGCTGGAGTGCAGTGGTGCGATCTCGGCTCACTGCAACCTCCACCTCCTGGGTTCGAGTGATTCTCCTGCCTCAGCCTCCTGAGCAGCTGGGACTACAGGCATGCACCACCACGCCCAGCTAATTTTTGTATTTTTAGTGGAGGCAGGGTTTCTCCAGGTTGGTCAGGCTGGTCTCAAACTCCTGACCTCAGGTGACCTGCCCACCTCGGCCTCCCAAAGTGCTGGGATTACAGGCGTAAGCCACCGTGCCCGGCCTTGTCAACTTATTATTTGAGGACACCGAGTTACACAGCCTCTGTGTGGGTTTTAGGAGCCCTTGCTTTGGGGTATTTTCTGGTCAAACTATCATGGTTATTTGAGTGCATCACAGTTAAGTTAAATTTATATATATATATATATATATTTATTATACTTTAAGTTCTAGGGTACATGTGCACAACGTGCAGGTTTGTCACATATGTATCCATGTGTCATGTTGGTGTGCTGCACCTATTAACTTGTCATTTACATTAGGTATATCTCCTAAAGCCATCCCTCCCCCCTCCCCCCACCCCACAATAGGCCCTGGTGTGTGATGTTCCCCTTCCTGTGTCCAAATGTTCTCATTGTTCAATTCCCACCTATGCGTGAGAACATGTGGTGTTTGGTTTTTTGTCCTTGCGATAGTTTGCTGAGAATGATGGTTTCCAGCTTCATCCATGTCCCTACAAAGGTACTATTGGGTATATACCCAAAGGATTATAAATCATGCTGCTATAAAGACACATGCACACGTATGTTTATTGCAGAACTACTCACAATAGCAAAGACTTGGAACCAACCCAAATGTCCAACAATGATAAACTGGATTAAGTTAAATATTTTTACATATGAGAGCACACCCCAGTACCTGGTAGAGAAGTTAGAGAGGATGTTTGAGTTTCTTGGAAAATAGAGACAACCCAAGGATTTCAGGGCCAGATTGGCTCTGAATAAAATTATACGACCACTTTCTTACTAAGGTCTTCGGAAACTTCAGAGAGGCCACCCTGAGAATGTGACACTGTGGGCCCACAATTTGTTGAATAAACATCTATTAATACTTTAAGCAAGGACTTTAAATATGGTTAGAGTCTTATGTGCCCAGAGTAAACAGCCCTGCAGTCCGCGCCTCTTTATTAAAAGGCTGGAGGTTGGTATCCCTAAATAAGTCTCGCTGATGTGTAAGCCAAGTACTAATAAAACACTAAGCTATATAGTTCCTTGGATGAAACTGTCACTATTGAACCAGTGCTCTTAGTAAGAGAAGTCTGTTGTAACTAGACATAATATTAATAATGCTGAAAAATTCATTTCTTGCAGTATTTCCAATGCAACACATTGATAACATAGAGTAGATGTTTTAAGCAAGTCAGCAAATATATTCCATGTTTAGCCTGCAGTAGGAAGTTTTCCTAGCCTCTGTAAAGCATGCAAAAATGAATATGACAAAATCCCTGTCCTTGGTGAGCTTGGAGTCTGCTTAGAAATAATTTCAGTTAAAATAAAACATGGCAACTTTGACAAGAGAAGGTTTATGGTAAAGATATTGCCAGTAATATAAACTTAGGGTTAGAATTTTCTCAATGGAACAAAGACCAGACTGTTCTACTTTGGAGAATGGCATGGTGTTCTGCTGTATGTAGATGCTGCTGGTAGATATTTTTCATGCTTAGGGGAATAAAAATAGTTTCTCCTCATTTGGTTACCATCCATTGATAGTACCAGCTAACTGTGGAGGAGTCCTGGGCCCAGATAAGATTAATCCTGGTGTAGTGGCCTGTTAAACCAGGTATTTATCACAATGTTTTATGGGGGCAGTGGTTCATTATTTTCTCCGTTCTCTGTACTACAGGGAACATTAGCTTTCTGAATAGGTCATGTTGAAAGTACTCTCTGTGATAAGACTAAGACTTTATAGATTTCCTCCAGTGACAGTGGCTGTTGCATGCTCTCCATTTAGAAATAAAGCAGCCTGTGGCCTCATATCCAATTCATAGAATTCCAGGCTGCGGCCTAAGTTCTGCATAATAGGAACACCTTACTGCCAGGAGCCGTTTCTCTAAGCAGGCCACTTCTGAAGTTGCTTATTGATTGAACAGTTAGTTATGGCAGCGTAAAACCTGACCGTGGTAAGCATTTTCTCTTTCTGTCATTTGAGCCCTTGGAGGAAGAAGAGTCTTCAGTATATTGAGAGAAATGTATAAGTTATCTTGAAGGGGACAGGGGGAAAATGAGGAAAGCGGTATTGATTGCTTCCCATAACTTTCCCATACTCTTGGAGAATGTTTCACAGACCATTAAACTCAGTAAGCTTTAGGTGACTGAGGGAAAAATGAATGAGGGGCAGTAGGTGTGAGTTTTATCTTTGAAATCGCAATTTGACTTTACTAGGCAGCAAAAGGGAATATAATTAATCAACTCTTTCATAAAGAAAGCAACTTGCATCATCGTTGATGTATTGCTATTTAATTCTGCTGTGATATGCAAATTGGAAATTATGGCCAATGCTCCAAGCCTCTTTTTCAGCATGCTGTGGTTCTCAGGTATAAAATATGTATGCCTTCAAAATAATAGCCATTCCTTTATGTCCACACACGTGTACATAGTCACACACACCTCTGCAAGTTACTCATAAAAACAGAGCTTCGTGACATTGCTAATTTGGGGAAATCAGGACTCTACCTATAAAAGTGATTTCTTGGGTATAGAACTTTACAATAAAGAGAAAATAAAATTCCACAACTTGAGTGCTCATTCTGGATTGGAGAGATTTTTTTTTTGAACTAATTCCTTAAACAGTTGATCTCAAGGGTTGTTTGTTTTGCTGTTTTTCTGTGTTGTATCACAGATGAAGGAGATGGTTCTTTCACTTAATAAAACACATAAATAAATGTGTAGGTGAAGTTCTTTTCTTTTTTTTTCCTTAGGGAAGTGACAGTTGACAGAATTTCCTGAAAGTTGCTTTGCTACGTTCCTCATCTTCCTCTTAAATTCCTTCTTCTGGCATTCTTCCCCATCTCAGAAACGGAAACCCCATCTTTCCAGGCGTGTAGGCCACAGATGGTAGAGTTGCAACTTTACTTTTGCTTACAGACCTCATTTCTAATACAACTGCCAATGCTGTCAGCATTGCTTCATAGTATTCTCAGAATCTGACTGTCTGTCGCCCCCTAGACCCATGGTTCACCCCGTGCCCCACCTGTGTGGAGCCGCCACAGTCTCTTTCTTGATGCTCATGAAGCCCTCTAACTACTCTCCTTGCTTCTATCCTTGTCCGCCCCTCCTCCCTGGTCATCTCGCCCTCCGCTCACCATGTGCTGGTGCCCTCCCATCTCACTCCTTATGTGGGCTGCAGGGCCTCATCGGTCTGGTGTCCTCTGAAGGCTCCAACCTCTCCTCTGCTTTTCTCCCCATGGCTCATGTTCCCCCGCCACACTGATGTCCTTGCTATTTCTTTGAGAACTCAGACCGTTTTCTGCCTCACGGCCTTTGCACAGGCTGTTCTTGTTGCGTAGTCTGTTCTCTTCCTTGACATCCACATGGCCCCATCGCTCATCTCCTTCCTGTTGTTGGTCAAACGTGACTCTTTCAGGGAGGCCTTCCATGACCGTTCTCTTTAAAGTTGCACCCACCTCTTTCCGGTGCTCTTTTCTCCTTTATTTTTCTCTGCAGTACTTTGCACCATATGACATGCCTTAGGCTTTCTTTTTTTTCTTTTTCTTTTTTTGAGACAGAGTCTCGCTCTATTGCCAGGCTGGAGTGCAGTGGCGCGATCTCGGCTCACTGCAACCTCCACCTCCCAGGTTCAAGCGATTCTCCTGCCTCAGCCTCCAGTAGCTGGGACTACAGGCACGCGCCACCGTGCCCAGCTAACTTTTGTATTTTTAGTAGAGACGGGGTTTCACCATGTTGGCCAGGATGGTCTCGATCTCCTGACCTCGTGATCCGCCCACCTCGGCCTCCCAAAGTGCTGGGATTAGAGGCCTGAGCCGCCGCGCCCGGCAGCCTAATGCTTTCCTATCTGGCTCTTGTATGTGTTGCTCATCTAGACTGCAAACTCCAAAAAGGTAGGCGACTTTGTTTTGTCTGCTTCTGTAGCCCAGTACCTGGCCCATGGCAGGCACCTGATCGAGTTTGTTAAATGAATGCCTAATAAAGTAACTAGAATTTGGGAGGAGCCCTAGTGCAGCTCCAGAGGAAGATTTTTTTAGTCTCATCCTGTTGCCCAGGGTGGAGTGCAGTGGCAGGATCTCAGCTCACTGCAATCTCTGCCTCCCAGGTTCAAGCGATTCTCCCACCTTAGCCTCCTGAGTAACTGGGATTATAGGTGTGCTCCATCATGCCCAGCTGATTTTGTATTTTTAGTAGAAATGGGGTTTTGCCGTGTTGGCCAGGCTAGTATTGAACTCCTGACCTCAAGTGATCCACCGACCTCGGCCTCCCAAAGTGCTGGGATTACAGATATGAGCCGCTGTGCCGGGCCCAGAGGGAAATTTTTTTGAGGCCCTGGAAGAAAAATGGAGAGAAAATAGAGGGAAGAAGAAATACACCAATATATGATACTTGTATGCAAGACTTTGCACCCTTTTTATTTTTGGGGGGTGTTCTTGGCAAAGCCTCTAGCCTCATTGCCTACTTCATTTTATCTTTTTATTTGTTTATTTTTTAGAGATGGAGGTCTGGAGTCTCACTGATTTCCAGGCTGGTCTTGAACTCCCGGCCTCAAGTGATCCTCCCACTTTGGCCTCCCATTATTGTCTACTTTAAATGGTGGAAAAGTAAAAATCGTCTGATTAATATTTCAAAACTATGTCCTAATTGTGTATGTGTATGTTTACCTCTATTTTATGTATACTTTTATACCTATCTAGATTAAAATTGAATTGCTGTGTAAGTACCAGGTGATAATCTGGTGTTTAAATCGGAGCACTGGGATGAGTTAATTAAGATATCTGAATAATTGTTTCCTCTATCAGTATTGTTTTTGAATGAAATAGAATATATGCTAATGATATATGCTTGGTGGGCCTACTTTACCCACAGGGGTGGGGTCACCAAGTGACTAATTAACTCTCTGAGCTGATTAAAGATTTTTTTTTTTTTTTTTTTTTTTTAAGAAGGAGTCTTGCTCTGTCACCCAGGCTGGAGTGCGGTGGCGCCATCTTGGCTCACTGCAAGCTCTGCCTCCTGGGTTCACGCCATTCTCCTGCCTCAGCCTCCCCAGTAGCTGGGACTACAGGCGCCCGCCTCCACGCCTGGCTGATTTTGTTTTTGTATTTTTAGTAGAGATGGGGTTTCACCGAGTTAGCCAGGATGGTGTCCATCTCCTGACCTCATGATCTGCCCGCTTTGGCCTTCCAAAGTGCTGGGATTACAGGCCTGAGCCACTGCGCCTGGCCTGATTAAAGAATTTTAAAGAAAACCTCCTGATTGTCACCAGGTGTCTTTTTTAGAAAGCTATAAATGTCTCTTATACTTCAAAATGAAAACAAAATCCCTCAGCATTTTTAACCTCAAATGAGTGAAAACCAAACCACAATGACACAAAAAGACGATGTGAGGATCACAGAAGGAAAAGATAAATGACAGCTTTGCAAAATAGTCGGCCAGCAGAGCCCCATACTTATGGTCTATTGCATGCTGTCTGTTGTCTTTGAGGACTCTCATGTGATTTAAAAAAGATTTGAGAGGATTTGGAAGTTTTTAAAGGAAAGAAAAAATAATCTGCCAGATGGTCAATGAAGAATTCTTTCTTTAAAACAAAGTTTTATGATTACACTTGTAGTTTACTTATGCTTCCTTATTTAAGTTTTTGATGTAGTAGAACATAGACAATTACCAGTAAGTAGTCAGTCAAAATTCTGGATTGTTCTTTCATATTCCTAGTTTAGTGAGAGTTTTTAATCATCAGTGGATATCAACATTTATCAGTGCTTTTCACACATTTATTAATATAATCACTTTTTTTTTGCAATTTAGTCTATGAATATAGTAAATTATATTGCTTGATTTTAAAATATCAAACCAATTTTCATTCGTAGGATAAATATCACTTGGTCATGGTGGTCATGGTATATTTTTCTTTTCATATATTGCTAGCTTCATTTTGTTAATATTGTGTTAAGGATTTTTTTTTTTTTTTTTTGAGACGGAGTCTCGCTCTGTCGCCCAGGCTAAAGTGGAGTGGCGTGATCTCGGCTCACTGCAAGCTCTGCCTCCCGGGTTCCCGCCATTCTCCTGCCTCAGCCTCCTGAGTAGCTGGGACTACAGGCATCCGCCACCACGCCCGGCTAAATTTTTTGTATTTTTAGTAGAGTGGAGGTTTCACCATGTTAGCCAGGATGGTCTCAATCTCCTGACCTCATGATCCACCTACCTCGGCCTCCCAAAGTGGTGGGATTACAGGCGTGAGCCCCTACGCCTGGCCTTGTTAAGGATTTTTATGGTTATTGTTCATGGTCTATAGTTTTTTTTCTTCTTGTATCTGTTTCATTTTAGTATCAGAATAATTTTGGTCTCATATAAGGGACTTGGAAGTGGTGTTTTCTCTTCTATTTTCTGAACAAACATGGAGAATTGTTATTATTTCCTTATCAAATTTTTTAGAGAAATTCACCAGTGAAGTCAACTGGGCCTGGAATTTTCTTTGTAAGATATTAAGCTGTGAATTCAATATCCTTAATTGAGGTAGGATTTTTCAGGTTATCTATGTTTGAGCCTTGGTAGTTTGTGTCTTTCAAGGAATTTTCCCATTTCATATGTTATGAAACTTACTGTCATGATATTCCCTTATTATAATTTTAATATTTATAGGATCTGTAGTAACAGTCCCCTTTTAAGTCCTGCTGTCGGCAATTTGTTATTTCTTTTCCTTTCTTCTTTTTTTTTGAGACGGTGTCTCGCTCTGTGGCTCAGGCTGGATTACAGTGGCGCCATCTCGGCTCACTGCAAGCTCCGTCTCTTGGGTTCACGCCATTCTTCTGCCTCAGCCTGTTATTTCTCTTTCTCTCTCTCATCAGCCTGGCTACAGGTTTATTAATTTTACTGAATTTCAAAGAATCAACTCCTCGTGTCATTGACTTTTCTCTAATGCTTTTCTATTTCATTAATTTCTATGCTCTCAGTTATTTTCTCCCTTCTGCTTTCTTTGGGTTTAATTTGCTATTTGTTACTAGGTTCTTGAGGTGGAAGCTTAGATCATTGATTTGAGACCTTCTTCTTTTGTTACAGTAGCACTGAATTCTATAAATTTCCCTCTAACCACTCATTCAGCTGTGCTCCACAAATTTTGATATGTTTTTATTATCAATTAATTGAAAATACTTTCTAATTTCCCTTGTGATCCCCTCTTTGACCCATGGGTTATTCAGAAGGATGTTGTTCAACTTTGAAATATTTGAAGTATTAGAAATATTTGGGGATGTTTCAGATATCTTTCTATTATTTACCTAGGTATTCTGATAATTTTCCTGTTGATCCATTCTGCCCTGCTTTATTTATTATGGATGTTTAATGGCTTCTGTGGAAAATAAGGAAAGCGAAGCCCCACCCAGGGGGATTCTGAGCTTTCCGAACAGTGTAAGTTACACGGTGCTGAATCTTTCCATCGGTTTCCTACATCGAGTGCTCACTGAGGCAGATGGTTGATAAAGAAGCACACTCTGTTAGGGTCCAGCAGATCGCAGATCTGGGTTCTGGACAGCCCTTGCTTAGTATAATGTAACCTTGGCTAAAGACCTTAGTGGGGTCTCTGATTTTTTTTTTTTTTAGGCGGAACCTCCTTCTGCCCCCAGACTGGAGTGCAGTGGCAAGATCTCTGCTCAGTGAAACTTCTGCCTCCCGGGTTCACGTCATTCTCCTGCCTCAGCCTCCTGAGTAGCTGGGACTATAGGCGCCCGCCACCACGCCTGGCTAATTTTTTGTATTTTTAGTAGAGATGGCATTTCGCCATGTTAGCCAGGCTGGTCTTGATCTCCTGACCTCGTGATCCGCCCGCTTTGGCCTCCCAAAGTGCTGAGATTACAGGCATGAGCCACTGCGCCCCCCCTCTGTTTTCTTATCTGTGAAGTGAACATCATAATTTTTGCTTTATGATGCCACAGGGTTTTCATAAAGATCAAGTAAGCTAATTAAACACTTCTGATGAATTATTGAGCATGTAAAATCGAAGATGTTATTATTCTTGGCAGACATTTTCTACGCGTAAAATTATTTGTCACGCTATCCTTCACTAGAATTCTGTTTGACTATTGAAGCAGATTTTTCTAAAGATCTGACTTTAACTTATAATGTAGATGTTAAAGTATCAGATTAAAGATAGTACTCGCTTCATTAAGTTCCAATAACCAAATTTATAACTAAGAGGAGTGTGATTATGTAGAAGAGCTACCTGCTTGAATGAGAAAATGGGCATAATTTTATAGATGTTTTAATTAATAAACCAAACATCTTTTCAAAAATCCATACTGAGTAAAAGGTGGGTCAGACAGCCCTGAAATAAGATTTTAATTATAGGCATTTTCTGGTATTTCTGAGATACACTTTCCTAATCCTGCCTGCTCCTCTGTCACCATCGACTTGAGGGCCACCTCTTCTTTGTGTCTCACTGGGTCATGTTGCTCTCTGGTTAGCCAAGTTGAATCAGATAAGTTTTAATGTTTGATATTTTGACTTTAAATAGAAGAGCCAGAATAAAGAAAAACTGTCATGCTCCCTATCCTTGTGCCTTGTCCTGCTGTCAACAATTCAATGGCTTTAGAAGTCCTAGGGGCCAAGCATTATTGAAAAGTAGTGTTTTTAATTCTTATCAATGAGACTCTGGGGGGAATTCTCTCTGGAGGAATCCTTGCTTATACCATCTGCTCGACTGTTAAAAAGCTTTGCTGTAGTAAACTAGAAAAACTTTCAAGCTTTTTCAATGACAAAAAAAAAAAATTTCAACCATAGCCTGCTAACTTGGGAGGTCAAATTGTCTTTAATTTATTTTATTCATTCAACAAACAGCTGGCAGCGTCATAGGTGCTGATCGCTGAATAAGTGGGAATTCTAGAGCCGAAGCTTCTGCCTACATGTGAAGAATTAATTCCAGCTGGGGAGGCACTTAATATACAAGGAAACAGAGTAGATCATCCCAAATAGTGAGATGTGTTTGAAAGACGCAGGGTGTCCTACTGAGCAGGCGTCAGCGAACTTCAGCCTGGGGGTCAATCAGGCCTGATCTGGTTTCCCTGAGCAAAGTCTATTGGGTCACAGCCATGCTTACTCATTCATACATCCTCAGCGGTGGCTTCCATACTGTTACAGGAAGGGGGTCTCGATCCAGACCCCAAGAGAAGGTTCTTGGATCTCACTCAAGAAATAATTCGTGGCGAGTCCACAGCGCAAAGCAAAAGCAAGTTTATTAAGATAGTACAGTGGTGGCCGGGCACGGTGGCTCACGCCTGTAATCCCAGCACTTTGGGAGGCCAAGGCAGGCGGAACACAAACTCAGGAGATCGAGACCATCCTGGCCAACATGGCGAAACCCCGTCTCTACTAAAAATACAAAAATTAGTTGGGCGTGGTGGCGTGTGGCTGTAATCCCAGCTACTTGGGAGGCTGAGGCAGGAGAATCACTTGAACCAGGGAGGCAGAGGTTGCAGTGAGCCGAGATTGCACCACTGTATTCCAGCCTGGGTGACACAGCAAGACTCTGGAGACTCTGTCTCAAAAAAAAAAAAAAAAAAAAAGAAAGTACAATGGTAAAAGGACAGCTACTCCATAAACAGAGTAGGACATTCCTGTAAGTAAGAGGAAGAACGCATCCACCCTAGGTACAATGCTGGTATATATGGGCAGACGTGTTGTGCTACAAGAGTTTGTGATAAAGGATTAAATTTTTTTCTTTTTCTTTTTTTTTTTTGAGACAGAGTCTTGCTCTATCACCCAGGCTGGAGTGCAGTGGTGTGAACTTGGCTCACTGCAACCTCTGCCTCCCGGGTTCAAGCAATTCTCCTGCCTCAGCCTCCCGAGTAGCTGCAATTACAGGCAGACGCCACCACGCCCGGCTATTTTTTGTATTTTTAGTAGAGACAGGGCTTCATCATGTCAGCCAGGCTGGTCTCTAACTCCTGAACTCAATCTGCCCGCCTTGGCCTCACAAATTGTGGGATTACAGACGTGAGCCACCGCACCTGGCCAGTTTTTTTTAATCACTATATTTTGCAAGAAATGATATTATTATCTTTAAAGCAAGATGAGGAGTGCGTTTGTTCTCCAGTTATTGGGATATCTGAACACTCCTAAGTCTGGGTCTGTTTAGTAAACCTTATCAATCTGTTCCCTTAACCATAAACATCTAGAGGCCAGGAATGCCTGACTTTCTGAGAACACAGCCCAGCAGGCCCCAGCCTCATTCCCCAGCCCTCACTCAGAATGGAGTCGCTCTGGTTCCAGCGCTGCTGACAATACTACGATGACAGAGATGGAATGGCTTGCAAAGTCTAAGGTGTTTATCACCTAAATATTTACACTTTACAGAAAATGTGAGCCAACCGCTGGTCAAGAGGATGACAGAGGGGTAGGGGATCACGGGGAAGCCAGAGTGAAAGGAGAAAAACCAGCAATTGTGGATGATTTTCATTATATTGCTTATTTTGCATTTGCTTTGACAAGGTTTAGTGCCTATGCTCTCTGCAGAACTGGAGGGGTGAACTGGAACCACAACAAACTGGAGTTGAGTAGGTTAGAGTCTGTATCCCTGGCTCTGTCCTTACAGGAAGTAATTTCCCCTCTTGCCTCTGAGACCCGGTTAATTCATCTGGAGATTCAGAGGGTTGGATTTGACAGCCTTAAAGGTCCATGCAAACTCTGATATTCTGTAAGACTACCTTTTGTATTTTTAATCATGGGTTGCCATCAACAATTGTCTTCAGTCTTAAGTAGGTAGAATGAAACTGAAGGAGCTGATTGGAAAGTGTTCATGACAGTAACCGATTCATTACTGTTTAAGAACTAAGTCACAGCCAAGAACACAGAATGTTATCATTTTTAACTGACAAAAAGCACTAAATTATGCAAGGGGATTGCACTTTTTCATCACAGTCCCCATCTGGAATGAATCCGACACCGCCAGGCTTGTGCTCTTCTCTCAATTTCTGTTTCTGGTTCTCACATTGCCATTACCTCTGGAAGTCAATATTCTTTAACGGCTTCTAATGTTTTCCATCTACAATTAAATCGTCCCATGTTCATTCACATTTTCATTGAAATGTGAATCTCCTGCGTATTCAGTCTTAATCTATGAACCTTAATTGTTATGCTGAGCTATCCAATCCAGGTCATTATTACTTTATCTAGCTGAATCCTGTTTTTAGTTTGCACAGTTAAAAAAAAAAAAGGCAAAAAGGCAGCATCCTCACCTAAGATTGCAATAGAAACTGAAGTGTTCATGTCAAAGCTGATGTGGGGCGGGAATAGTACTAGACTGCACTTGTTTTTTCCAATATGCCCATGATATTCAAGCCAAGGGGCGTGTGGAGCCTGTCATCATAAAACAATTATAATTCTTCTATTATTAAAATACAGATGTGCCTGGCAAGCTGGAACATTCTGCGTATGCACATAATGATGAATTTCATTTGCATGCTTTATAGATTAGCCAAAGAATTATTCTGATAATGGACGACTGATTTCTTCAGGGGTGGGATCTGAAAATCATCCAGACAGGTTGTGGGTTTGTGGGCGCAGAAATTGTCGCAAGTGTTGGAACCAGAGCGAGTCCAGCGCAAACAGGGGCTGGGGGAAATGAAGCTGAGACCTGCTGGGGTGCATCCCCAAGAAGTCAGGCACTTAGTCACTGGATGAGACAGGAGGTTGGCACAAGATACAGCTCACGAAGACCCCACTGATAAAACAGGATGCAGTAAAGCCAGCCAAGACCCACCAAAACCAAGAGGCAACGAAAGCACCCTTTGGTCGGCCTCAGTGCTCATTATTTGCTAATTAGAATGCATTAGCTGCTAAAAGACACTCCCACCGTCACTAAGCCAGTTTGCAAATGCCACGCAACATCCAGAAGCTACTCTATATGTTCTAAAAAGAGGAGGAACACTCAGTTGTGGGAATTTCCCAGCCCTTTCCCAGAAAACTCATGAATAATCCACCCCCTCTTTGGCATATGATCAAAAACAACCATAAAAATAGCCAACCAGCGTTCACTGGGGCTGTTCTGCCTGTGGAGTAGCCATGTTTTTATTCCTTTACTTTCTTAAGAAACTTCTTTTTACTTTACTCTGTGGACCCCCAAATTCTTTCTCTCTTTCTTTGTGAGACGGAGTTTCACTCTTGTTGCCTAGGCTGGAGTGCAGTGGCGTGATCTCGGCCCACTGCAACCTCTGCCTCCCGGGTTCAAGCGATTCTCCTGCCTTAGCCTCCCAAGTAGCTTGGATTCCAGGCGTCCACCACTCCGCCCAGCTAATTATATATATATATATATATATATTTTTTTTTTTTGGTAGAGATGGGGTTTCACTATCTTGGCCAGCTGGCCAGGCTGGTCTCAAACTCCTGACCTCAGGTGATCTGCCTGTCCCGGCTTCCCAAAGTGCTGGGATTACAGGCGTGAGCTGTGGCACTTGGCCCTGAATTCTTTCTTGCATGAGATCCAATAATCCTGTCTTAGGGTCTGGATCGAGTAACAGAATTACTTGGAAGTGGAAACTCAGCAGGTCTCCGATGAAGATCTAGCTTGCTGGGGATGGGTCCCTTTTGTCTTGCCACTTGGTCCTGACCTTCTCTTTTCCTCAGAGGGATCCCACGTGTGCGGTTCTAACTGGGGAAAACGTCAGGCTGGCAGGAGCAGGGGGAAGCAAGGAGAGACAGCAGAGAAACTATAGGTCTACCTTTCTTTACGGCGCAGGACATATGGCCCTCCTGCGCAGATAGCGGACATAACTCACAAACTTCCTGCTCACCATCACGCACCTCAGTTGATCAGACACCCCGGCTGAAAGAAGAATGTAAGTTAAGCTTCCGGCTGCCGTGGCGTTCTCAATCAGCTGAGTTCCATTCTGTGAAAACGTCGGCAAGCCTTTGTCTCCTAGCAGACGGCTCCTCTTCTGCTGACCCTGCCTGTTGCCTCCTTGCAATGTATTTTCCTACTTTCTCAGTAAATCTGCGTTTCTCTACCTACAACTGTCTTTTTTTTTTTTTTTTTTTTTTTTTGAGACGGAGTCTCGCTCTGTCGCCCAGGCTGGAGTGCAGTGGCGCGATCTCGGCTCACTGCAAGCTCCACCTCCCGGGTTCACGCCATTCTCCTGCCTCAGCCTCCCGAGTAGCTGGGACTACAGGCGCCCACCACTACGCCCAGCTAATTTTTTTGTATTTTTTAGTAGAGACAGGGTTTCACCGTGTTAGCCAGGATGGTCTCGATCTCCTGACCTCGTGATCCGCCCGACTCGGCCTCCCAAAGTGCTGGGATTACAGTCATGAGCCATCGCCCCCGGCCTTTTTCTTGTTTTTTTTTTGAGACGGAATCTCACTGTCTCCCAGGCTAGAGTATAGTGGCGCGATCTCAGCTCACTGCAACCTCTGCCTCCTAGGTTCAAGTGATTCTCCTGCCTCAGCCTCAAGAGTAGTTGGGATTACAGGTGTCCACCTACACACCCGACTAAATTTTGCAGTTTTAGTAGAGATGATGTTTCACCATGTTGGCCAGGCTGGTCTCAAACTCCTGACCTCAGGTGATCTGCCCACCTCGGTCTCCCAAAGTGTTGGATTACAGGCGTGAGCCACCACACTTAGCCATCGTACAACAGTCTTGGTAATTTCTTTTAGCCTGGGGCTACCGGCACAAAGAGTCATTGCTCCCTGTGACCCCATGCTCCTCAGTATCCTCTTTGTTTTGTCACCTTTAGGAGAAGTCAGGAGAGAGGTTGGCTCTGACTGGGGTTGAGCTGACAAATTTTTGCCTTTAGCTTCCAAAGATAATGAGAAGGACCCAAAGGGAGAGTCACCCGCCGTATAACGGTGAGAACCCTGGACTGGGATCAGGAGCCTCTGCAGAGCTTTCTTTACTAATGTTAAGATGTAATGACCATTTGGAAAGCAAATATGTGTTATTAAAAGAGACGCAATATCCTCATTCTGTTTGTTTTTCCTCCACCGCTATTGTTAATGGCAAATAGAAGCATCTCGAGTATTCGTAAAGTTGAAAAATAGGAGCCTCGGAATCATTATTTGGTAAGGTCTTGAAAGATGGAAAATATTTGTCTGAATATCATTTGGGAATAATTATTTGTTTCTTGGAGAAATGATATTCCAAAGTTTATCTTCAACTATGGCTGAACGTTCAACTGTGTGTTTGCACATACACTTTGTATACAGCTTCCCACGTAGGTATCCGGGGAATAGTTTTGTGAAATCTGATGTTCATATCCCAGCGTATTTGTTGAAGTTGCAATGTAGACATCCAGACTGTTGTTATTAGGCATTATATTTTGTAAGTTTTAGTTGGAAAGTAATGTTGAAGAAAGTATGCTTCTTAGGAGGAGTGTTATAATGTTAACTATGACACCGATGCCACCGTGAGAAGACAAAAGAGATCACAGACCCTGATATCTTATCAGTTAGGACACCTTTCTAGCAACAAAGCATCCTGGGGGCAATGTGCCAGGGAACCGTGTTCCGCTTATCATTTCCCTCCCTGACATCCTCAGCTCAGAAACTCTCCTTGCTGTAGCCACACCTGCTTCTAGTCCCTGCTCCCTCCACAGATCCTTTCCACACTTTGTTCCTTTTATTTGGAGCCTGCCTGCCTGCCTGCCTGCCTTCCCTCCTTCCTTCCTTCCTTCCTTCCTTCCTTCCTTCCTTCCTTCCTGCCTGCCTGCCTGCCTGCCTGCCTGCCTGCCTGCCTGCCTGCCTGCCTGCCTCCCTCCCTCCCTCCCTCCCTCCCTCCTTCCTTCCTTCCTTCCTTCCTTCCTTCCTTCCTTCCTGCCTTCCTCCCTCCCTCCTTCCTTCTTTCTTTCTTTTGACAGAGTCTCACTGTGTCACCCAGGATGGGTTGCAGTGGCATGATCTCGGCTTACTGCAACCTCCACCTCCCGGGTTCAAGTGATTCTCCCGCCTCAGGCTCCCTAGTAATTGGGATTACAGGCACGTGCCACCATGCCCGGCTAATTTTTTGTATTTTTAGTAGAGACGGGGTTTCACCATGTTGGCCAGGATGGTCTCGAATACTGACCTTGTGATCCTCCTGCCTCTGCCTCCCAAAGTGCTGGGATTATAGGTGTGAGCCACCGCACCTGGCCCCAAGTGCTGGGATTGCAGGCATGAACCACTGTACCTGGCCCACCTCTGTCCTATTTTCTACTTAACTCTTACCCTACCCATCTCCACTCCAGCGCCTTCCTCGGATAAATCTTTGCTGACCTCCCGTGGTCAAATATCCCTATTACAGTTTATCAGAGCCCGTGCAACTGTCCTTTGAAAGTGCCCAGTGTAGTTTCTATTTTATATTAGCTGATATTTAGATGTGCATGTGTGGAATTTGGCAGAATCATTAGTGCACTGGACTTTTCGTTGGATGTATTTGTGTGTGTCTGACTCTTGTTGCTCCAACTTTGGGTGCTTTGCCAAAAGGTTGAGGGCAGAGGGCAGCTCTATCCCAGCTTCACAATGAAGGTCATTTCCAGGGTGCAAACACCAGATAAACCACCTTCTCCTGTCACCTGAGACTTAGAATTTTTGTCTCTGCATTAACTCTTACTAAGAGACAGATTTCCTGGGTAACAGGGAGGTTTAATCCAAGACATTACATTCACGGGCATTCAAATTCTCAATTTTTTTTTTCATAGTCAAGATATCAGTCCAGCCACGGTGGCTCACACCTATAATCCTGGCACTTTGGGAGGCTGAGGCAGGTGGATCACCTGAGGGCAGGAGTTCAAGAGCAGCTTGACCAACATGGTGAAACCCCATCTATAAAAAAAAAATAAAAAATTTAGCCAGGCGTGGTGGTGGGTGTCTGCAGTACCAGCTATTCAGGAGGCTGAGGCAGGAGAATCACTTGAACCTGGGAGGTGGAGGCTGCAGTGAGCTGAGATCGTGCCACTGCACTCCAGCCTGGGTGACAGAGTAAGTCTCGGTCTCCAGAAAAAAAAAAAAAAAAGAAAACAAAGGAATATCAGTGATACCTGTGAGCTCCTTGCCTCCACCGACCCCCTCCTCAGTGCCAGGGTTTCTACATTTCCATGCATTCCCTTTGCTTTCAGCCTGGCCCGGCTGTTTTGTTGACCCTAGTGGTCGGGGTTCATCTTCAGAGATATTACTGAAGATGTTTATCCACCTCAAATATAAGGATTATTACGGTGATATGGGTTGGACTTGTGTCCCCACCGAAATCTCACGTGGAATTGTAATCCCCAATGTTGGGGGAGGGGGCCTGGTGGGAGGTGATTAGATCGTGAGGATGCATCTGCCTCTTGCTGCTCTCGTGATCGTGAGTTCTCATGAGATCTGGGTGTTTAAAAGTGTGTAGCACCTCCTCCTTTGCTCTTTTTCTCTTACTCTGGGGATGTGAAAATGTGTCTGCTTCCCCTTTGCCTTTCACCATGATTGTGAGTTTCCTGTGCAGCCTGCTTCCTGTACAGCCAGGCTTCCCATACGGCCTGCAGAACTGTGAGTCAATTAAACCTCTTTTCTTTATCAATTACCCAGTCTCAGGTAGTTCTCTATAGTAGTGTGAGAACAGGCTGATAAAAACAGGTAGGGATAGCGCTTCTCAGGAGCCCCAGTATCTGAACAGCTCATTCTAGGACCTAAAAGAATATTTGTTCAATCAATCAATTAATGAATAAAATAAAAAAGCAGTTTTTCTTTGGAAATATGGTGACGTCACCGCAGGGCCAGTTAGCACTGAGACACAGGATGCGAAGCTAACAGTCCTGTACACTGTGTTTGCTGGCCTTGTTGGTTTGAAATGAAAATCAGTCTCAGGACCCCCAAATCACTAAGCCAAGGGGAAAAGTCAAGCTGGGAGCTGCGTTCGGGAAAACTGCCCCCCATTTTATTCCTAAATAAGATAGCTACAAGATGAAAAAGCTGTATACCTCCCTCATGATTTGTCCACAAGGAGATTCTTTGTTGCCCTCAAGAATTTTACCTTAAAATAGTTCTGCTGAATTTCATCAGAATTGATAGCTTGTTGTCGCAGGTGTGGGATAAAGTACAGACAGAACTCAGTCATCCCTTCGCTCACCTGAGACAAATGCAAATCTGATTGCTTCCTCTGCCCTACTGCTTATGTAAAAGTGTAGATTCACTGCCTCAGACTAAGGTGTCAATGACTATGCCTCTACTCTTCCTCAGCTGTAAATTGTGTATTCACTGAAAGACTGATGAGGGACTCAAAAGAATGCACCTGTTGGTCTCCTAGCTACCCAAGACCTGGAAACCACACTTCAAGTTGCCTCACCTTTCTGGATTAAACCAATGCACATCTCACACCTATTAATTGATGTCTCATGTCTCCCTAAAATGTATGAAACCAAGCTCTGCTCTGACCACCTTGGGCACATGTCATCAGGACCTCCTGAGGCTGTGTCGTGAGTATGTCCTTCACCTTGGCGAAGTATACTTTCTAAATTTCTAAATTGATTGAGACCTGTCTCAGGTACTTTTGGTTCACATTGGATTCCAAAGCACCTTCATCTGTTGTTTTATTTGTTTCCCTTGATAATTATGCGAGGCCAGCTCAGCAGCTCTCACCAACTCTGTGTTGCAGAGGCGCACACTGAGCTCCAGGTCACACAGAGCCAGCACCTGGACTGAGGTCTGGGGATTCCTGGGCCAGTGTCTTCCCTGCTTCAGGGCAGCCTTGGGCATGGTTTGAGAGACTGTGTGTTCACCTGAGCTTCTCTGACTTTCGAAACAGGGAATGAGAAGCATGCAGGACACTGGCAAGCCCTCCAGCCCCGTCAGGAAGAGAGGAGAGAGGTGTGTGCACCTGCCATTTTGTCAAAATGATGTTGACTTTTTCATTTGACACTCCTAGAAACATACAGGTTAAAAAGCACAGTAAAACCCCAAAACAACAAAAAATAGACCCACAGACACATAGAAGTCATCCATAATAGGAATTATCTTTCACTTACAAACCTCTAGGGTATCTTTTTTTTTATTATTATGCTTTAAGTTTTAGGGTACATGTGCACAACGTGCAGGTTTGTTACATATGTATACATGTGCCGTGTTGGTGTGCTGCACCCAGTAACTCGTCCTTTAACATTAGGTGTATCTCCTAATGCTATCCCTCCCCCCTCCCCCCACCCCACAACAGGCCCCGGTGTGTGATGTTCCCCTTCCTGTGTCCATGTGTTCTCATTGTTCAATTCCCACCTATGAGTGAGAACATGCGGTGTTTGGTTTCTTTGTCCTTGTGATAGTTTGCTGAGAATGGTTTCCAGCTTCATCCATGTCCCTACAAAGGACATGAACTCATCCTTTTTTATGGTTGCATAGTATTCCATGGTGTATATGTGCCACATTTTCTTAATCCAGTCTATCATTGTTGGACATTTGGCTTGGTTCCAAGTCTTTGATATTGTGAATAGTGCCACAATAAACATACGTGTGCATGTGTCTTTATAGCAGCATGATTTATAATCCTTTGGGTATGTACCCAGTAATGGGATTGATGGATCAAGTGGTATATATCTTTGAGCTGCTTTCCTCTCCTTTTTCATTGTACTTCTGGATGCATGTATCTGTGGTTTTTGGGAAGGAATGTGGATTTTGGCTATGATGTCTCTGCAATGTATTTGTCACCTTGGGTTATGAGTCTTGTTTGTGGATTACCTGTCCATAGAATATCTATTACCTGTTTTATTTTTAAGCTAGGCTCAGTGGAGGAAATACTCTTTAGGGGAAAAAGAATTTTAGAAACTCACAGAGAAAATACATTAAACAATATTGCTTTGATCTGCTTTGTGGCAGGTGAAATGGGCAGTCTGTGTCAGCCCCAGGAAGTCACGCCTGGAAACTGACACAGGTGTGCAAGCGTTCTGTAGACCTCCCCCCGCTCAACCCCACCAGGGGAAGAGAAGATTTCAGATTGGGGAATGTTCTATGCTGACAATTCAGTGAAATGCTTGCTGGCTCACCTCTAACTTTAATTACTTTCTCTTCCTCAGCTTTGCAATTAGCTGATGTTGCTACAAATTTTTGTCACATACTTAATCTTTATATAGTGTTTTTGGCCAGAGTGCAGTTCAAGTCTATGAGCTACTCTGATGTCTCTATCCAGAGGTAAGGCTGTGTGAGCGGTAGTCTCTAACAAGGCACACTCTTGCAAGGGCTCAGCTTGGACCAGAGCAGATAAGGCTTATTTTCAGTGCTCCCAGCTGCTCTTGTTCCTGCCAGGAGCACAGTACACTTGTGTCTGCATTTTGCTCTTACCCTTCTCTCTCGCTTCTAATTTATATAGCATTGATTTTGCACCAAACACTTTGTAAAAACTGTTAATCCTCTGCAGACATGCAGGACTGATTCTACCCAGTTAAAAGATAACTGAGTGTCAGAAAAGTTATATAATTTAGCTAATTAAAGGAAGAGCCAGAATTTTCACACCTGGCTCTCTCGTCACCAAATTGTCTTTTCTACGACTTGTTGCCTGCGATGTTGCACTGTCTGCTGCACTGCAGTGTCCGCTGTTGTGGGATCACCTGACATTGGAAGGAAGGAGGAGCTGCACACATTTCAGGGGGCAGCATGAGAAGCCAGGGTCCTGAGCGGGGAATTTGCAAGCTCCTGGGGGAAAAGAATCAAATGATTCTGTGGCCTGCTGGTGAAAGACGAAGTAGGGAACTGGAATCCCCAAGTTTTAAATTTAGAGAATTTGGAAGGGGTGGGTGAGGTCTGTTAATTGTCTGGCCACATTCAGTAATGCGAAATATGGAAGACGCCCTCATCGGAGGAATATAGATATGTGGTTTCAGAAGTGAGAATGACGTCCACGTCCAAGTGCTCTGCAGACACTGGGATTATGAACCCCAAATATCTGAGATAGGTCTCACTTAATTTAGAAAGTTTATTTTACCAAGGTTGAGGATGCATGCCTGTGACACGGCCTCCGGAGGTCCTGACACCATGTGTCTCAGGTGGTCAGAACACAGTTTGGTTTTATACATTTTAGGGAGACATGAGATGTCAATCAAAATATGTAAGATAAACTTGGTTCAGTCGGGAAAGGCACGAAAACTTGAAGTGGGGAGGGGGCTTCCAGGTCATGGGTACATTTTTTTTTGCATTTCTGATGAGCCTCTCCAAAGGAGACAATCAGACAGGCGTTTATCTCAGTGAGCAGAGGGGTGACTTTGAATAGAGTGGGAGACAGGTTGGCCCTAAGCAGTTCCCAGCTTGACTTCCCTGTAGCTTAGTGATTTTGGGGCCCCAAGATTTATTTTCCTATCACACAATGTACATATTTAGTTGAAGAATCAGAGCAAATATGTAGAATTCAGAGTTATTCATGCGTAGACAATAACCTAAGCCGGAATTGAACTACCTAAAAAAATCTCTACCAGAATTCATAAACCCATTTCCAAATGTGTGGTTGAGAACACGGCGACTTGGGACGATGAAACGTTGCTCAGATTTATTTCGAAAGTGGAGAGGCCGGAGTGGAATCCAGGGCTATTTGATTCCACATTCCAGGGTCTTCTCATGAGCCTCTCTTCCTCCCAGTACAGTGTGCAGCACAGCCAGCTGGAGGCTCTCAGGTAGAGGGCCGATGATTACCAGGCTATCCGTTGTGAGCCCTGCCTCAGTAGGGCCCTGTGGTCCTGGTAGTAATATATTATATAAAAATCCTGGCCGGGTGCAGTGGCTCACGCCTGTAACCCTGGCGCTTTGGGAAATGGAAGCAGGCAGTTCATGAGATCAAGAGATCAAGACCATCCTGGCCAACATGGTGAAACCCGGTCTCCAGTAAAAATACAAAAATTAGCTGGGCATGGTGGTGCACACGTGTAGTCCCAGGTACTACAGGTACCAGCTCCTTGGGAGGCTGAGGCAGGAGAATCACTTGAACTCGGGAGGCGGAGGTTGCAGTGAGCCGAGATCGTGCCACTGCACTCCTGCCTGGCAACAGAGTGAGACTCTATCTCAATAAGCCCTGGGGCATTTTTCACCCTGGTTCTTAAGATGGATGAACATTCTCTACTGTTTCCTGTGTTCCTGATTACATACAGAACGCTATAAAAGCCACATGTTTTTTGCTGGCAACACTCACCAGTTTTAAGCATTTTCAAAACCACAGAAATGTGTAAAGAACAGGACAGTGAGTACTCATACATCTGCCGCCGGGGCTCCTCGGTTCACAAT
This sequence comes from Homo sapiens, assembly GCF_000001405.40. NCBI lineage: Eukaryota > Metazoa > Chordata > Mammalia > Primates > Hominidae > Homo > Homo sapiens. The sequence continues at coordinate 6,252,707 of NC_000008.11, read as the reverse complement.
TTGCCACATTTGCTTCATCTCTGTAATTTTTGCTAAACAGTAAATTCTAAGTATCATGCTTCATCCCTACTTACTTTTAGCATGTGGTTCCCAAAAAGTAGGGGTATTATTAGGTTGGTGCAAAAGTAATTTCAGTTTTTGCCTTTACTTTTTATTTTTATTTATTTTTTGAGACGGAGTCTCGCTCTGTCCCCCAGGCTGGACTGCAGTGGTGTGATCTTGGCTCACTGCAAGCTCCGCCTCCAGGGTTCACGCCATTCTGCTGCCTCAGCCTCCCAAGTAGCTGGGACTACAGGCGCCCTCCACCATGCCCAGCTAATTTTTTGTATTTTTAGTTGAGATGGGGTTTCACTGTGTTAGCCAGGATTGTCTCGATCTCTTGACCTCATGATCCACCCACCTCGGCCTCACAAAGTGCTGGGATTACAGGCTTGAGCAACCTTGCCCGGCTGCTATTACTTTTAATGACAAAAATCATAATAACTTTTGCACCAACCTAATAGTGACCACAGAATTATTTTGACACTTACCCATTAACAGGAATTCCCTGATATGCTGACCACCCAGGTGCTGAACTGAGTGGCCTCTGCACTGCATCCAAAACACAATTTTCGTATCACTGTGTTTTGATCTGGTCTGTGTGTGATAATGCGGTTCTACCTTCCATGTCCTTGCAACCGAATATGCTTTTCTCGCTCAATAATAATCACCACATTGGCTATTGCTTATTGAATGCTTTATATGCCAGATTCTGGGCTCAGCTCTGTGTTCATCTTATTAATCCTAACAGCAACCCTAGAAGGTGGATTTTGTTACAATTCCCCCATTATAAATAAAAACCTGAGGACGGTATGGACACTAGCTGATGAGGTTTTGTGAATTGATTTCTCTAGATATCTGTATGGCTGTGTTGTTACAACTCTTTGTTTTTCTAGCAAGAGCGTGGCATATTGGCTTTTTGATCATGGAATCTGCCCTTTTATTTGTTCAGTCAATGATGAAAGTCCATTTTCACGCACTAGAAGTCAAGATGCTCCTTGTTCAAGGTGCAAAAACCCTTCCCGTGTCTCAGCATTGAGACTTCCTCGGGCAGTTGGCAGCTGGGACTAGCTGGGGGAGGTGACAATCTTATCACAGCCTCAAGTGATGAGTTACATTTCAGATGAGACCAGGTATTCTTTTGTAAAGGGATGAACTAAAGCAAGTTTCCTGTCAGGACCAGCTTTGAGAGTGTGTGACCTGTGGACTTTGGTTTAATTCTTTGTGGTCGCCCTATTGAAGTTCTTCGTTTCTTCCTTGACTTTGCGTTCTGTTGATGACCTCTGATGGAGCAATGGAGTATGTGTTGTGGTTGGTGCTGGCCGGGTGCACTGTCCTCCCTCCCCCAGGGCAGATTCTCCCCTGCCCACCCTACCACCTCTTCTAGTGCCTTTGCGCCAGGCCATGGGAGGTCATGGTCAGGTGCGTCCACCTCTGCAAGGAGTTGTGAGCTGCACTCCATGGGCACCTAGGCACCTGTATGAGTCTGCACTCACCACATGTAGATCCCCATGCCCCCAGGAGAGTGACATTAAATAGGAAATAAGCACAGGACTAGTAGAGACTGTTGAGCAAAGGACAAATGTTCCTGCTTTATGAACAAGAGCCCCTGCCTTTCTATTTTGCACTGGGTCCTCTTCTGACTTCCAAGCAGATGGAGTAGACTGACATTTCAATTGCTCCAAGATGCGAATGTGCCCATGATAGTCCACTCAGGCTGATGTAACAAAATACCGCGGACTGGGTATATTCTAAACAACAGATTTGTTTCTCACATTTCTGGAGACTGGGAAGTCCAATATCAAGGTGCCAGCAGATGGGGTGTCCAATGAGGGCTGCCTTGCTGCAATCTTACCTGGCAGAAGAGCTTGAAGGGCCGGTTGGCCCTCAACCTGACTACAGCACGAGAGTCAGGGCAGTGGCAGCTGGCTCAGAAGCTTGCGTTCATGCATCTGGGAGTCCAGAGCTCCAAGTGGTACAGACAGAATGGTAGAGACGGAGAGAATGATAGAGAGAGAGTTCTCACTCTGTTCTGCTTCCTAAATCACCTCCCTCCAGGAGATTCTGCACTGTAGGAGGGAGGTGGTTTAGGCAGAAGAACAGAGTGAGGACTCATAATCACAGCACCTCTTGTGTTCTAGGGACTCTTGGAAATGCTGATTAGGATTCATGCTTAACTTCAGGACTTGGCCTTTTTTTCAGAAGAAGGAACCCGGGGCATGATATGGTTAAATAAGTTGTCCAAGGAACAGAGTGACAGACCTGAGATTTGAGCCCTGGGAGCCTAACTAGTGCCCAGACCAGTTTGGTCGGGGAGACCCTAACCCAGCGGCGCTAGAGGAATTAAAGACACACACACTGAAATATAGAGGTGTGAAGTGGGAAATCAGGGGTCTCACAACCTTCAGAGCTGAGAGCCCTGAACAGATTTACCTATTTATTTATTTATTTATTTATTTATTTATTTATTTATTTTTGAGATGGAATCTTGCTCTGTCGCCCAGGATGGAGTACAGTGGCATGATCTCAGCTCACCACAAGCTCTGCCTCCCTGGTTCATGCCATTCTCCTGCCTCAGCCTCCCAAGTAGCTGGGACTACAGGCACCTGCCACCATGCCCGGCTAATTTTTTGTATTTTTAGTAGAGATGGGGTTTCACCGTGTTAGCCAGGATGGTCTTGATCTCCTGACCTCATGATCTGTTCGCTTCGGCCTCCCAAAGTGCTGGGATTACAGGCATGAGCCACTGCGCCTGGCAGAGACTTCTTAGTTGTCCAAAACATCCTTTATTTCAGCCCTTGGTGTGATGAATGATTTTTGAGGAATCAGGGAAGAAGGAGAAATTTCTTAAACTCTCTTTGCAAACATTTTCCAGCAGGATCATTCCCTAAAGAGTTGTAGAAAGATGGTGAAGAGCCAATCAATGTTCCCCTAGAAAGTTCTTTGCCAATTTAGTCATTTATCTATGCTTCTATTTCCAAACATTAGGAGGCAGTCAGATACTTGTTTAAAGTAATTCTATGGTTTGTCAGACTCGTTTAAGGATTTTCAGATGATAAAAGCACACATTCCTGCAAGCAATGTGGCCGGGGAGAATATACATGCAGATGGATACATCTGTCTTTGCACTGTTTACCTGCAGGAATGTGTGGATTGTGCAACCCTCGTGCCAAACTAAATGATCAAATAGGGGCTTGTGGCACCTGTAAATTCCTTTCTGACTTTTGCTCCCCACCTTAAACTGTTTAGGACAATAGTGCTCAAACCATAAATGTTCCATGCTTTGTTTTCTCAACATTGATCAATTATGACTAATCTAATAAATTAAATGTATTTTTCTCTTATTTACACTTCAGCTCTATTGGATTTGTTGAATGGGAAAACCATGAGAAATCTATGTAGCATTCTTTTCACCCAGATATATTAAAAAGCTGCCATTGATATCAACAGGTATAAAACTATATTAGGGGTGGTGGGTGGAGGTGTTGTCTGCCCTCCCAAAATTTGAATCCAAGCTTAGCCAGAAAAAGCTGTTGTAGAATCCTGCTTCATCATTATCAGGTGCTACCATTTGTTGAAAAGTGCCATGTTTCAGATCCTATGTTAAAGATTCTAGAGGCGTTATCTCATCTTTTTATTTTACAAATCCTCCTATGAGGAAGTAATTTTATCACAGTTTTACAGATGTGGAACTGAGGCTTAAAGTTTCAGTAAGTTACCCAGCAAGAGGTTTCCTGTTTTAGGTCTACTCAACAAAAGAGAAAATCTGAGGGTTTTAACAAGTGCTCTGCTGTTTTTGTTCATGCCACACTCTCTAATATGCCAGGAGAAAGAAATTTTTATTGAGTGCCCTTTATATACCAGGCAGTGTGAGGGTCACTGCCCATATGACCTCATTTTAATTTTCACAACCATCTTTGGAGATAGTATGGAGAAACTGAGGCTCAGTACTATTTGCCTAATACAAAAAAAGCTAGTGAGATGTGATGCTTTGAGCTACAGCAAGGCAGGGGCAGGGGTGCAGTAGAAGAAATGAGAGAGGACAGAGAGATCAATCATTGGCAATTCTTCAGAGGTGGAGGGGGTGGTGGGCTCTTGATGGAGGTATGGGAGCTTCTGTTCATTTCTGTCCTTTTATCATCTCTAGTCTCACCTCCCAGTGAGATAAAAGATCCAATTTTTAAAGAAATTCAAAGTCATCTTCCCCTGGTGAGCTGCAGAAGCCTTGTTTATTCTCCTCTCCAATTCTTCTCCCACTTGAACCTACACTACTTTGAGGGCAAGGCTGATCCAGGGAGCAGTCCTTTCTTATAGATACTTAATAATATAAGAAGTAGGAGGAGTGAGTCGTTGATGGTGACCTGCCATCATGAAAGATGCAGCCCATCACAGGAAAGAACCCAGACTTACATGGAGTGGAGCATGGGCACAGAGGCCAGAAGATGGTGTAGAATCCATTGGGTCATCCACTCGTCCCTGTAGTACCTGTTTCAGACAGGCAGACACACACACACACATCCCTTCCTTCTTACTTTCCAGTCCCTTTTCCCTTATTTTCTAGCTCTTCTGTTCTATTGAGGGTACTGGCTTAATCTTGTTTCTTGTGGGCAAGTCCTGTTTTCTTTGAATCTGTACCATGTTCAGAACTTGAACCCCTCCCAAGCTATACTAATCCCTTGTGTCTTAGTCAAGTTGGGTGGCTTTAACAAAATAGCGAGGCCTGGGTGGCTTAAATCACAAACATTTGTCACAGATCTGGAGGCTGAAGTACGAGATCAAGCCATCAGCAGATCTGGTTCTTGGTGAGTTCTCTCTTCCTGGCTTGTAGACGGCTGCCTTCTTGCTGTGTTCTCACATGATGGAGAGAGAATGAGCTCTGGTTTCTGCTCTTCTAAGGACAGTAGTCTCATTATGGGGGCTCGACCTTAAGACCTCATTAAATTTAATTACTTTTCAAAGGCCCTACTTCCAAATACCATCACATTGGAGATTTGGGGTTTAACATTTGAATTTTGGTGGTGGTGGGGAGGTGGCGACACAAACATTCAGTGCATAGCTCTCTCTTCTTGCATGTCTGAGACACATGGTTACACTAAGGGGTCCCCTTTGTAATGGGAATGAAGTTAGGTAGGGCCAAAGTGGGTAAGGATAGAGAACCCTGCCCTGGAGAACTCAGTGGAGGTCATGAAAAATACTATTTGGATTAGATTCTGACTAAAAGTAACAACCAAGAAACTCATAAGTTAGCTGAAAATTAGAAAACTGGATGTTATAAAATGACTTGTGACTTTCTCAGATGAAGCATGCCTGAGCTCCAAAGTTCCAGTTAAGGTCTCGTCTTTGAGCTGCTTATGCCAGTGGACAGCTCTTGCACTGAGTTTCTGCTTTATTCTGTTTGATTATGTGGCCGTATATTTCCCTCGTGAAACATTTTGAGTGACCCTTTACCAAGGAAATGGCTTTTTAAGCTAGTGAATCACATCTTCGCATATTTCCTTCCGTTTCCTCTCTTTATTTCCATGTAAAATATTCCAAATGACATTAAGTGTACGCTGAAATTGTCATGGGAAAAACCAAATAAAGTGCTTAGAAATATCTGCATATTCAGGAAAAAATCATTTGCCAAGTATTAACATGCAGGAGTGAGTAAATCATGTGGGAAGAAGGAAAAGGTCACATTCCAGTTTTACAAAGCAACAGCTGCCATAGCTGAAAAAGAGAAAAATCAATGCCATAAAACACTGTTTGATTTTTTTAAGGTGTAACAAATCAGAGAGTTTCCAATTAAAGTTTTTTTGGCACTGCCCCAATATTCACTTTTACATAAATGGATTTGATTGCTTTTTCTTTGACACGAAATTTCCAGAATTTGGTGTAACAGTGTAAGACTCTGAGAGGGTTGTGGAAAAAGATGGGTGTAGACGGCTGTGAGCTTTAGACTTGTGATCTGGCTTTTTGTATCAGTGAAGATAGGATTTGTGTTCCATTGACCCAAACTATGGTGTCTTACCGCAGGTAAAGGTTTATTTCTCCCACATAAACATCCAGAGGCAGGAAGTCTGTGGAAAGCATGTTGGCCTCAGGGATCTTGGCTCTTTCTAGCTCATGTATATGATGCCCAGAACTTGTGCTCATGGTCCAGCATGGTAACTAAGGCACCAGCTGGCCCATGAGCACGTCAGGCATCAGGGCAGAGGAACATGAAGAAGGAACAGAGGGCATGAAGCAGGTGCCCTTTTATTCAAAGATGCTTTAATTGATATTGAATACCCATGTGACAGTGAAACCGCATAACTAACACCAGTTTTGTTTAAGGGACCTCTGCCCATTCCTGTCCATAGGCTAGGATAATTTTAGAGCACTGAGATAAAACTCAAAAACAGCAATCATGTGGATGAATGGGGACTGTAAGCAACTAACTGTTTTGTTGAAGATTTATGGGAGCGAGGAGGTTTGGCTATCACCATATGAGAGATCATTACCGAGGACCCTTGTTGGTGCCCAGATACCTGTCGTTGTCAACCCCCCTTCCCCCTTACCTAAAGATAAAAGACAAGGCAAAGCCCACTTAACTTTGAGCTGGTTCTTCAGGGCATTAGTCCACCATCTTCTTGGCTTGCTGGCTGTCCTAATAAAGTGGTTTTCTGGCCGGGTGCAGTGGCTCATGCCTGTAATCCCAGCACTTTGGGAGGCTGAGGCGGGTGGATCACAAGGTCAGGAGATTGAGACCATGCTGGCCAACATGGTGAAAGCCCCGTCTCTACTAAAAATACAAAAAAATAGCTGGGCACGGTGGTGCATGCCTGTAATCCCAGGTACTTGGGAGGCTGAGGCAGGAGAATCGCTTGAACCAGGGAATCGGAGGTTGCAGTGAGCCAAGATTGCGCCACTGCACTTCAGCCTGGTGACACAAGACTCCGTCTCAAAAAAACAAAAAACAAAAAACAAACAAAAAAGTGGCTTTCTTTGCTCCAACTCCTTGTCTCTCAACTTACTGGCCTTTGTGCAGCAAGCAGAATGAGTTTGGACTCAGTGACACACAAAACAATAAATAGTATGAAATGTGCAGCTTAATAAATTATGATAGAGAAGATGCTTATGAATTTCCCACAGCAGTCAAGAGACACAGCCAGCCCCTGAGGATCCCACTACCTCTGTCTTTTACCACTTCTCCATCAGCACCCTTTCTTCTTTCTCAAAGGTGGGTAGGTCTTGACTTCTTTGCCTGTTTTTGAATTTTATATAAATTTAACTGTACACTATGTGTTCTTGAATACACCTTCTTTCTCTTTATATTTATGAGATTCATCATGTTGCTAAAGGTAGCTGCAGTTTATCAGACTTCATGGCTGTCTGTGTTGTATTTATTTTATTGTTGATGATTTGGCTTGTTTCTCAATTGGGACTGTTAGGAATAGTGCTGCTATGAACATTCTTTTCTTTTAATTATTATTTTTTTTGAGACGGAGTCTTGCTCTGTTGCCCAGGCTGGAGTGCAGTGGCGATCTCGGCTCAATGCAAGCTCTGCCTCCCGGGTTTATAGCATTCTCCTGCTTCACCCTCCCGAGTAGCTGGGACTACAGGTGCCAGCCACCATGCCTGGCTAATTTTTTGTGTTTTTAGTAGAGAGGGGGTTTCACCGTGTTAGCCAGGATGGTCTTGATCTCCTGACCTAGTGATCTGCCCTTCTTGGCCTCCCAAAATTCTGGGATTACAGGTGTGAGCCACTGCGCGTGGCCTTTTTCTTTCTTTCTTTCTTTTTTTTTTTTTTTTTGAGACAGAGTTTCACACTTGTTGCCCAGGCTAGAGTGCAATGGCAGGATCTTGGCTCACCGTAACTCCCGCCTCCTGGGTTCAAGCGATTCTCCTGCCTCAGCCTCCCGAGTAGCTGTGATTACAGGCATGCACCACCACACCCGGCTAATTTTGTATTTTTAGTAGAGATGGGGTTTGTCCATGTTGGTCAGGCTGGTCTGGAATTCCCAACCTCAGGTGATCCACCGCGCTCGGTCTTCCAAAGTACTGGGATTACAGGCGTGAGCCACCGCTCTGGCAGCTATGAACGTTCTTGTACTCATGTCCAGCACTCCTGTGTATTTGTGCTGGGTATGGGTGTGTTCTGAATGGTTGTACAAATTTACCACTCACAGAACACGTGCATTTCCAATCTCCCACTTGCCTGTCAATACTTGGTATTGTCTTTTTTTATTAGGCATTCTCATGGGTATATAGTGGTACCTTTTTGTTTTCATTTCACTGATTACTAATGAAATTGAACGTCTTTTTATTTTTTTATATTTATATTTACATTTTTATTTTTTGAGACAGAGTTTTGTTCTTGCTGCCCAGGCTGGAGTGCAATGGCGTGATCTCAGCTCACTGCAACTTCCACCTCCTGGGTTCCAGTGATTCTCCTGCCTCAGCCTCCCAAGTAGCTGAGATTATAGACACCCACCACCGCACCCGGCTAATTTTAGTATTTTTAGTAGAGATGGGTTTTACCATGTTGGCCAGGCTGGTTTCGAATTCCTGACCTCAGGTGACTCACCCACCTTGGCCTCCAAAGTGCTGGGATTATAGGCATGAGCCACCATGCCTGGCCAGTTGAACATCTTTTAATATATTTATGGCTTTTGAGATATTTATTTATTTATTTATTTATTTATTTATTTATTTATTTTTTTGAGACGGTGTCTTGCTCTGTCGCCAGGTTGGAGTGCAGTGGTGCGATCTCAGCTCACTGCAATCTCTGCCTCCTGGATTCAAGCGATTCTCCTGCCTCAGCCTCCCAAGTAGCTGGGATTATAGGCATTTGCCACCACACCCAGCTAATTTTTGTATTTTTAGTAGAGACATGGTTTCATCATGTTGGCCAGGATGGTTTCGATCTCCTGACCTTGTGATCCACTTGTGTCGGCATCCCAAAGTGGTGGGATTACTACTGGTGTGAGCCACTGCACCAGGCCGAGATTTTTTTTTTTTTTTTTTTTTTTTTGAGACAGGGTCTCACTCTGTTGCCCAAGCTGGAGTGCAGGGGCACAATCAAAGTTCACTACAGCGTTGACCTCCCCTGCTCAAGTGATCCTCCCACCATAGCCTCCCAAGTAACTGGGACTACAGGGGTGTACCGCATACCCAGCTAATTTTCTGTGGAGACAGGGTTTTTCCATGTTGCCCAGGCTGGTCTTGAACTTCTGGGCTCAAGAAATCCTCCCACCTCAGCTTCCCAAAGCACTCTGATTACAGGTATGAGCCACCGTGCCTGGACTGGATATTTTCAATTGTGAAGTACCTGTTCAATAATTCTCTTGATTGTATTTGTGTTGGGTTGTCTGTCTTTTTCTTACCATAGGTGTTCTTACTATATTCTGGATACTATTCTTTCGCCAGTTGAAGGTGTTGCAAATATGTGCCCCCCCCACTCCATGGCTTGCCTTTTCATTTTTATAATAGGGGTTTTTTTAATGAACACATGATTTAAATTAATTATTATTAATGGACTCTAAATATATTTTGTGTTTTTGCTTTTTTTTGTATTTTGTTTAATCTTTCCTTATGGCAAGTATTAGAATAAGGAAGGTATTAATCTGTTAGATTATCGAAGCTTTATTTTTTTTTATTTCACATTTAGGTTTAAAACCTGCTTAAAGTAATTTCTGTGAATGGTGTGAGAGATGAAGTTTCGTTGTTTTTCTTAGTGGGTATGTATTTGACCAAGAGCTAGTTATTGAAATAACTTTCTCCCTCTGTTGTGTAACACCAGCTTTCTCCATATGTGAATGGTTCTGTTTCTGAAATCTGTATTCTTCTCTATTTGTTCATTTGGCTAAACATGTGGCAATACCACATCTAAATTACTATAGCTTTATGTCTGATCTTTATATATGATAGACCCACCTTAACATTCTTTTTCAAGAATGTCTTGCTTAATTATGGCCTTTTTTTACATAAAAGGTAGAATGAGCTTATGTATCCATTTCCACAGGAAAATATATTGGGATTTTGATTAAAATTGCACTGAATCTATCGATAATTTGGGGAGAATTATCATTTTTTACCATATTTTTATTTTTTGAGAATATTTATTTTAACTAATGTTTTAAAGTTTACTGTTTAGTAGTCATGCAGATTGTTATATGTATTTATTTCTCCAGGTGGTTTTGAGTTATTATAAATAAATATATATAAATGTATATATATAAATGTGTGTGTATATATATATAGACACACACATATATACATATATATACACACATATATACACGCACACACACACACACATATATAGATATATATTTACTTTTTTAAAGATAGGTTCACACTCAGTTGCTGAGACTGGAGTGCAGTGATATAATTATACCTCACTGCCACCTCAAATTCCTGGGCTCATGTGATTCTCCTACCTAATCCTCCCTAGCAGCTGTGACTACAGATGTGTGGCACCCTGTTTGGCTAATTTTCTGAATTTTTTGTAGAGAAGGGGGTCTCGTTATGTTTCCCAGGCTGGTCCTAAACTCCTGGTCTCAAGCGATCCTCCTGCCTTGGCGTCCCAAAGAGCAGGGATTCCAGGTGTGAGCCACTGTGCCTGGCTGTATATAGTATCTTTTCAGAGTTGTAGTTTCCAAATTTTTGTTGCTAATGCATAAAGATGGAATATGTTTTTGGTTATTAGCCTTATGAACTACTTTGTTAAGCTCACTAATTTTTAATAATTTTTATGTAGATTTATTGGGATTTATTTTTTATAGAATCATATTGTCTGGAAAAATGACAGCTTTATTTCTTCCTAATTTTATTCTATTTTTATTTCTGTTTCTTGCTTTATGGGGCTGACTACAATCTTCAGTATAGTGTTGAATGGAGCTAAAGGTAGTTTTTGTCTCACTCAGGAACTCAGAGGGAAAGCTTTCAGTATTTTACCATTGAGTATAAAGTTTGTCGTAGGTTTTTGCAGGTGTCTTTTTCTTAAATTAAGAAATATTCTTCTATTATTTGTAGAAACAAATGAAGACCAGCCAAAGAGAAAAGCAAAGGCTATTTTTTAGAGTCTGCTGTTGCAAGGGAGTCCACCACCATCACCTGCATTTTGGCAGAGACTCACAGGCAGGCAGAGGAGTGGAAAGCTTTTTCTTTTCTTTTCTTTTTCTTTGTTTTTATTTTTTGAGACGGAGTTTCTCTCTTGTTGCCCAGGCTGGAGTATGATGGTGGGATCTGGGCTCACTGGAACATCTGCCTCCTGGGTTCAAGTGATTCTTCTGCCTCAGCCTCCCCAGTAGCTGGGATTACAGGCATGTACCACCATGCCGGGCTATTTTTTTTTTTTTTTTTTTTTGTATTTTTAGTAGAGATGGGGTTTCTCCATGTTGGTCAGGCTGTTCTCAAACTCCCGACCTCAGGTGATCTGCTCACTTCGGCCTTCCAAAGTGCTGGGATTACAGGCGTGAGCTACCGCACCCAGCGGGAAAGCTTTATCTAGGAAAAAAAGGGAGACTTCAGGTGTGCCCTGATTGCAGGCTGTTGGCTATTTTCTCTGTTTCTAAGGCAGAAGTGAGGACAAAAATTAGGAAAGCTGTCAGTTATTAATCGAGTCCCAGCCATTCTGGATCCATTGTTAAAAGGGTTATTGTTTGACTTCCTGGATTGTTACTAGAGATAGCAGCCTGACTTCGTACAAGCAGACAGCTTTCTGGGCCGTAGACTGTCCATGAGGGGTTGGTTTCTGGGCAAATTGCTGCAGGCTTTGGGTCTGGCCATTGTCCTTTGCATATTGTCTGCCACATAGTTTTCTAAGAGTTGTTATTATTACTATTTAAAAATCATGAATGAGGATTTGATTTTATCATTTTTTGGCATATATTGATATCTGTATTAGTTTTTCTTTTATTTTGCTAGTGAATTAATTGATTTTCAAACGTTGATTCAATTTGTAAATCCTGACAATAAACCCTATTTTGCCTTGATGAATGATCCCTTTTATACTGGATTCAGTTTGCAAATACTCTGTTTAGGATTAACTATATTCACGATTGAGGTAGAACTGCAATTTCCCTGTCTTGTCCTTGTAATGCCGTGTAATGGACAGGTTTTGGTAGCAAGATTAAGGTGTTTTGATATAATGAGTTGGGATTTATTTATTTTTTTGAAATGTTTGGTAAAATTCACTGGTGAAGCCATATGGGCCTGGAATTTTAACTGTTGATAAAATTTGTTACATATGAAATAATCAGATTTCTTATTTTTCTTGTGTCCATTTTGATAAGTTTTTTTAAAAAACATTTTATTTTGAATAATAGACTTGTCAGAAGTTCCAAAAAGCATGTACAAGGATGTCCTGTGTACCCTTTATTCAGTTTCCCCCAATGCTAACATCTCACATAACTGTGGTGCAATATAAAATCCAGGAAATTGAGAATGGTAGAATCTACAAAACATATTCATTTCACCAGTTTTACATGCAGTTGTGTGTTTGTGTGCATGCAGTTTGATACAATTTTATCATATGTGTAGATTTGTTGTAACCATCGCTGATCACCAAATACATAACTCTGATCTCATTACATGGTCCTTTATGCTACCCCTTTATAGACACACACCTCCTTCCCATATCCTTGATCGCTGGTGATCACTGATTTGCTCTTCATTCCCATAATTTTGTCATGTGAGGAATGTTTACCTAATTGAAATTATACACTATGCAGCCTTTTGGGGTTGTCATTTTTCATTCCGTATAAAATAGATGTTTCAAGTAAAAAATACTTAAAATGTGTGAGTGGCTTTGGAATTGCTCAGTGGACTTTGAGGAGAGAGAGTTAGTGGAACTCTAAAGTGCATTGAAGAAAGTGTTCAGAGAAATCCCATCATCTCTGAGAATGCTGCCAGTGAAGTTTTACTGGATAGTAATAAATATCTTATTGGAACTGGAGACAGGAGATTTTTGTTATGTAGTGGCAGAAAGTTCATGAAAGGTAGAAAATTTCCTTTTGAATGACATAACTAAAATTTCTAAGCAAAATTCTGAAGGTGTCACTTGGTTTCTTCTGATGCTTATAGCAAAATGTGCAGAGAGAGATAAATTGAGAGATGGGCTGTCAAACAAAAAGGAGTCAGAACTTAACTTGATGGTTTTGAAAATTCTCAGCCTATACAGATAAAAAATAATGCTAAAGTTAAGAAGTGGCTTCTGAACAAAGACCAAATACAAGGCATTCTCAAGAAAATTTGGTCTAAGGATGAAGCTGAAGGTATAATTGGAAAATCAAAGGTGGTTTACTCAGAGTATTATTTAGTCAAGTGTAAAGCTCTTTAAATTACTTAATCATGGGACTTGTAGATCCTCCTAAACAATATGGATTCTAAGAAGCTGAAGAGTATTATGACTCTATAGATATCCAAGATAGAAACATATTTATCTCGAGGAAATTTGGAGATGTAGCTTTTTATCTAATAAAGTAAATATCAAGAAGATTGGCAAGAGACCCACAATATTTTTAAAAGAGTTATATATGTACAAACATTGGCATCTTGGAATAAGGAGAACACAGTACCAGATGAGGGAAGCTTCTGGCAGAAAACAGACTGAGGTTTTCAAACATATACTAACTTCCATGAAAAAAGATGCCTTAGAGGGTGGAAATAAGAGCACAGAGAGCGAAGCGGGGAATCATGAGGAATTATTATCAGACCTCGGATGTAATCAAGGAGCTTGCAACATTTGCACATCTCAATTTTAAAATTGCTATGGACCAGTGGCTAGTTTGTGGTTCACATCTTCCTCTCTTTGAACAGAAATGTCTATAGTGGTTATCCTGTTCCTGTTCCACCAATGTATGTTTTGTGTGTTGGGAAAAGATTACTAGTCATTTTAGATTCACTGCTCTATAGATCATGAGGAACTATACTTGAGTTGCTGTAAAGATTTATACCTTTGGAGGTTCATCTACACCTGAGCTTGAATGACTTGCTTTGGTTGAAGCTACTTGCCATGTTGGGAGGAATCCTTGTCAATAAACCGACATGGCAAGGGATGGAGGCTTGCAAACAACCATAGAGGTGAGGTTGGAAGGAGTTTCCTCCTTCCTGTCTAGGCTGAGATTTTAGGTGGGACCTTAATCCTGGCTAATGGCTTGACTGCAGACGCAGGAATGACTTTGAGCCAGAGGCACCCTGTTAATCTACATATGGATTCTTTACCCACAAAACCTGAATGATAATAAATATGCATTGTCTGCAGCCACCAAGTTTTGGGGGTAACTTTTTATGCAGCAATGGATTATGTATACAATAAGATTCAGTGCTTTGAAAATATTCCCTCATCTTCTTGATTGTTTTATTTCTGTTGAGAAGTGATTCCTGTCAGTCTTTTTGATGGCTTCTCTGAAGCTCTGAAGCAATTTTCAGAACTTTAAAGTTCTTGGGGTATGAATTAGTTTTCTAGGGCTGTTGTAACAGGATGGTTTAAAAACAAGACATTTATTTTTTCACAGTTCTGGAGGCTAGAACTCTGAAAATTTTGTTGTTAAGCCAAAATCAAGATAGCAGAAGAAAGCAAACTTTCTCTGGAGGCTCAAGGAAAAAAGTTTTTCCTGCATCTTCCAGCTTCTTGTGGCCCCAGGCATTTCTTGGCTTATGGCAGCATCACTCCAGTGTCTGTCTCCATCTTCACACGGCCTTCTTCTCTTCTTGATGTATACTCTCCTCTTCTTATAAGGAATCTGGCGACTAGATTTAGGGTGAACCCCAAATCTAGGATAATTTAATTTTGGTATCCTTAATTAATTACATTTTCAAAGACCTTATTTTGAAATAAGGTCAAGAAGCTGAGGTTCTGAGTGGACATGGATTTTTGGAGAACACTCTTCAACCCACTACTGTGTAGTTTTTTTTTTTTTATCATGCTTGTGATATGCTAGAATTCTTGACTCAATACCTTGATGCCTTTCCTTGGCATTGGGAAATTTTCAGGAATTTTTCATGTCTTTAAATATTGCTTCTTTCCCACTCTTTCTCCTTTGTTTTTCTGAGCTTCAATTGTGTGTGTTTGTGTGTATTCTTACTGTATCTTCTATTACTTTAAGCTCATTTTGTTGCCTTTTTATGTTCTATTGTTTATTTATGCTTCATCCTGGGTGTTTTCTTCTGATCAATCTTCAAGTTCACAGATTTTCTCTTTAGCTGCATCTGATCTACTTTTAAGCACATCCTTTAAATTCTTAATTTCATTTAATTTCTCTTCCAGTTCTAGAAATTTTCATTTCTTTGTTTCCATTTATCTGCCAACTTTCTTGAGCTTTAAATTTATCTTCTTGAAAATATTCAGCTTAGCTATTTAAAATTCTTTATCTTGTAACTATTTGTTAGATTTCCTGTGGTTCTGTTTGTTTTGCCTGTTTTTTCTCTTTTTAAATCACATAGTCCTGTCCCCTATGTGTCTCATTCTTTTTTAGAATATATTTTGCTTGTGGCTGGTTGCTAGGGACATTGGCAAATCTGGATCATCACAAACTAATTTCAGTGATTGAGATTTTACAAAATTGGGCTTCATTTCTTATAGGTCCAGTGTGTTTCTATTTCACCTTTAATTAAAGGCTGCAGTTTTGGGGTCTCAATTCAAAGTGTTTGTTTCCTAGTGTTCCTTCTGCTTGGTAAGTCTTGGAATCTAATATTTGTGCCATTATTTACATGGGGCTGTTAAAACACTCTGCTCAGCATTCTCAGCCTTTCAGCTGCATGTTCTGAATTGGTACACAGACCTTACAGAAAAGGCAGAACCAAATGCTGAGCTTGTCTCTCTGGTGGTACATTTTCTTCTATGCCATAGTCTTGTAAATATTCACTGATTTCTTAGCTCCACAATGTCCTCAGACAGACTTTTAAATTTGTCTGGCATTCCCCATTTTTCTCAACAGGAATGGTGGTTTGAATAACCTAATCCGTCATTATCAGAAGTAGAAGTCTTGCAATGCCAACTGTATTTTAGGTTTCTGGATGCTGATGTACCACACTACATTTGTATCACATGGGCCAGATCCAAACCAGAAGGCTGGGAATAATATATGTCCAATTAAAAATGGGGTGGTGGGGCTGGGCACAGTGGCTCATGCCTATAAACCCAGCACTTTGGGAGGCTGAGGCGGGTGGATCAGTTGAGGTCAGGAGTTCGAGACCAGCCTGGCCAACATAAGTAAATCACATCTGTACTAAAAATACAAAAAGTAGCTGGGTATGGTGGTGCATGCCTGTAATCTCAGCTACTTGGAAGGCTGAGACACAAGAATTGCTTGAACCTGGAAGGTGGAGGTTGCAGTGTGCTGAGATTGTGACGCTGCACTCCAGCCTGGGTGATAGAGTGAGATTCTGTCTCAAAAAAAAAAAAAAGTGTTCTCATATTACTTGATGTGATTATTATACATTACATGCCTGAATCAAAACATCTCATGTACGCCATAAATATATACGCCTACTATGTACCAACAAAAATTAAAAAAAAATAAAACCTTTACATTAATTTTTTTATGTTAAAAAAATTGGAGGCTTCCTTATGGAAGAGGCCCACTTTAAACCCTATTTATAATAAAGTTCTTATTTATTTTTTAGATGAAAAACACAACCTACTACCTTGCCCTGCTGGGCCCTAACCGCAGGTATTGCTGGATGATTGAGATTGTGTGATAAAAAGATAACATTTGGAGAAAGCATACATTGTATAAATGTTTATTGTATTGAGTTAAGTCCAGTGATACAATCATAAAAGAAAACAGGTATTGGTATATTTTGTAAACCAGAAACCTGGTAAACCTTAAAATAATAGAAGCGTCATTTTCAAGGTGGATGCCAGAAAAAAAAAAAAAGTTATATTATGGCTTTGGGGACATCAAGATGTTTCTGTCATAATCTGCCTCCTATTAGTATTTGGAACTTGGGCTTTGATTGTCTCTAGTTCTTGTGTTCCCCACATATAAAATGTAGATAATAATTCATATTTACTTAATATTTGAGAGTTAAAATGGAGGATGCACTCTGAGTCATGAGTACAATGTTCCATTCTTCTTGACTAACACTACCATATATTGTAAAATGTTGAAAAAAATCAATGGTTGCTTGCTAAACCAATGAACCATCAGTTATTAAAAATTTCAGGGCCTGGCTGGGTGCAGTGGCTCATGTTTGTAGTCCCAGCACTTTGGGAGGCCGAGGTGGGTGGATTACTTGAGTCCAGGAGTTCGAGACCAGCCTGGCCAATATGGCAAAACCCTGTCTCTACTAAAAATGCAAAAACTAGCTGGGCATGGGGATGCACACTGGTAGTCTCAGCTACTTGGCAGGATGAGGCAGGAGAATCGCTTTAACCCAGGAGGTAGAGGCTGACACTACACTCCAGCTTGGGTGACAGAGCAAGACTCTGTCTCAAAAAAAAAAAAAAAAAAAAAATTCAGGGCCTAAAAATGATGAACTTTCAGTTGACCTTTTGAGAATGTTTTACTTTGACATTCTACCATTCAGTGGAAGTAGTCACATGTATTTCAGGAAGTTAGAGGGAAGTTACATCCTACTGACAAAACCCATCATCTATTAGAGCAATCAAAATCAAAATCTCTTCCATTTATTAATTGTCTCTTTATATGGGCACAGGACTAAACATTTAGTTTGTGTTCTTTACTTTTACCATTAATTCTTCTGATGAGTATAATTGTTTTTGTTTTTGCCTTTTTTGAGATGGAGTCTTGCTCTGTTGCCCAGGCTAGAGTGCAATGGCTCGATCTTGGCTCACTGCAACTTCCACCTCCCAGGGTCAAACGATTCTCCTGCCTCAGCCTCCTGAGTAGCTAGGATTGCAGGTGCCCACCACCGCACCTATCTAATTTTAGTGGAGATGGGGTTTCACCGTGTTGGCCAGGCTGGTCTTGAACTCCTGACCTCGTGATCCACACGCCTCGGTCTCCCAAAGTGCTAGGATTACAGGCTTGAGCCACAGCGCCCCAACCTGATAAGTACAACTGTTAAAATGAAAAAAAAAATGCTTTTGTTCGGTATTTATCAAGCTATTGTTTATCAGTACCAAGCTTTGAACCAATTAGGTATACATCTTTCTGATAGCCTCACAAGAGATAACACACAAAAGATAACTATTCAATCTTCTCAAAGACTTATATCCTCAAAATTTATTTTAATAATATAAAAGGTCTTTCTCTTTCACAGCTAGAAACCATTGTCCCAAAGAGCTGCAGTTCTTCTCTATATTTTATCAATATGGTGATGGTATTATCTAGGTCACTCCAAAATGAGACTTTGTGGTTTAAAATAAGTTTAAATATATAACTATATAGCAATAGAGATGTTGAGTTTTCTTGTGAGAAGCCAACGTCTGTTTTCAAGTGGGAATGAAACGTATTTGTAGTAAATCTGATGTTAAAACAGTGGTAGTATCAATATAGTTCCATCAACAAATACTTGTACAGTGCTCACTATTGGGTATTGATTCTTAATTTTTAGGGTCTTTAGTAAATTCCTTATATGTAGAACTTCAATTTCTTCAGGTAACTGAAGTGTTACAAAAGAAGTTACATATCCTCTAGTAACAAGTGTAGTACATGGTTCATACTAGATATTCAATAATTACTTGATTCAGTGATTCACGAGTTTATTGAGAGAAAAGCAGCTGGTGGCAGACAGAGTCCAGGATGAAAGGCCTCACTCTTGTATTTTAATTCCTTTCTTCGACTACTTTCCCCAGAAACCTTGTGTGTTATTCTTTCTTCTGGATATTCTTCTCAGATCCACAAGTCCCTTTTCTAATATTAGCTACTATGTATCCTTATTGTTGAATGGCGCAAGAAACAGAGAAGACAGATACTGAAATATGTTTTAATCTAACTCCTGAATTCGTGAATCCAAACCTGGTATTTCACATCTCTCACCTCTGCAAGCAGATGAAGAGACAATAGAATGGTGGGAAGAACAGAATTAGGGTCTCTGAATATTAGTACTGCTTCTACCATATACCAGAACTCCTTCATTGGACCAATTGCTCAACTTCTAGGCCTTACAGATGCAATGAAGGGCTCAAATCTGCCACCCACAGCTGGACTATTTCTATATTCTGATATTTTGAGATAATTTTTGAGGTGATTTCCAAGCAACCCTTATTAATGGCGATTAAACTACTGATTTCAAGACTGTTCCTACAATAATATCGCCATCACTTGAGTTCTGATGATTTCTTGCCAGGCAGAAAGAAGTGTGGTTACCGCAAATACATCAGACGTTGCAAATAACTTTTAGCTGATTTTAATATAAATACAGTAGATGGTTATCCATTGCTCATGTCAGAGTGATGTGGTGTGTGTTTTGCAATAAGGGAAAGGAATTGAGAACTTCCAGGCTTGATGATCTCAATGGGTTTAAAATTTGTGATTGATTTTCAAGAATATTATTCTAAGAACATTGCCATTACATATAGTCCTTGAAAACAGGAACATCACCTATGTGTAAGGGATGGTAGAGTCAGAATGAAAAAAATTTGAAATAGTAGACCAGAGTATGTGTCCCAGTGCTGATGTGCACTTTTTATGAGCCTTCTTAAAAAAACACATAAGCTCCTGGGCATATTTTTCTTACTTGCTAAATGAGAATATGATAGCTGCTTGAGAGTGGAGGTGGAAATGGAGAGCTGCTATTCAATGGGTATGAAGTTTCAGGTATGCAGGATAATTAAGTTCTAGTGATCTGCCGTATGGCATTGTACCTCAAAGTTAACAATATGGAATTGTACGTGTTTTTACCCCAGTAAAATAAGCTGGTATTATTTTGAGGATATTAAAGTGTTTATACATTATAAACACTTAAATTAAGTTGGTTATTAGAAATGGTACCTATTGCATATGCTTAAAAATGGAAAAAATAGGTTAATGTGTGACTATTTGGCTTCACTTTTTATTTTGTAGTCATTGTCAGTACACATACATTATATTTTTACTTCTAGTTTATAAAATAAACATATATGTTTTTACTTCTAATTTATAAAACAAACTTCTATATTTTATAGCATTTTGTTCCTGGTGTGTGTGTGTGTGTGTGTGTGTGTGTGTGTGTGTGTGTGTTTGAGTCAGAGTTTCGCTCTTTGTTGCCCAGGCTGGAGTGCAGCGGTGTGATCTCGGCTCACTGCAACCTCCGCCTCCCGGGTTCAAGCGATTCTCCTGGCTCAGACTCTCGAGTAGCTGGTATTACAGATGCCCACCACCACGCCCAGCTAATTTTTGTATTTTTATTAGAGATGGCGTTTCACCATGTTGGCCAGGCTGGTCTCGAACTCCTGACCTCAGGTGATCTGCCCACCTTGGCCTCCCAAAGTGCTGGGATTACAGGTGTTAGCCACTGTGCCTAGCCATTCCTGCTTCTTTAGTACTAAACTAATTAATGGAAGAAGTGGGTTGAAGTTTAATGTTATATTATAAAATTTAAGTAGATTACTACTCTAATGGGGATAAAGGGAGATTTTCCTTGAGTATTTTGCCATGGAGTGGGTCAACTATGTTTTTTAGGTTATGTGCAACACCTGGGAACTCATAAGTGGCCATATAAAATCTTCTAAAATACTATTATAATAGTGGCCTGAAAAAATGGGGGTAATTCATATTTGATTTGAGAAATATTGTCCCAAAATATAATCATTTACCCTATAATATGGTACATCTACATATTTGGTTACCATAAGAAATAGTCTTATGTTAATTGAATATAATGGATCCCAAGAAACTGTGCCTCACTGAATTATATCAATATTTTTTATTTAGCCATTTATTGAACCTATCGGCCATAAATATATTGAGTGAATCTGCCCGCTAAGGATGCTCATGGACTTCTTGTTTATGAACTCGTATGGAAGTTTATTTGGTGTTGGGTCATGAAGCTGTTTCTGGATGAGATACCAGAGTAGTTTCAAATATTTTTCTTATAATGCAATATATTTTGTTATGTGCTTTAAAGTCATTAAACTTAGTTAATATGGAGATGCTTTTAATTCATTATAGAAGTTTACACTCTTATATTAGCATTTCACTAACAAGGGTATTTTATGCTTTCATGCTTTTTTGCTGAAATATTTTATCTACCTAAAAATTAGCTTGCATTAGTCCTCAACTTTATATGATAAGACTTCATGAAAAAATAAAATTTGATTAAACGTTCTAGATAACTGAAGCTGAATTTTATTAAATGACAATGAACTGTTCAGGGAGTACTTTTAAGTTACCTCAGAAATTTGTTATAAATGCATCTGTGCTATTTTATGAGTTTTTTTCCCTCTCAGAGTGAGCCAGCTTATATTTAATTTTAAAAACGTATTTAGTTATAGCCCTGGAATATGAATAATTAGAATGAATTTACCAGGGTTCTTTAGTACTGCAAGAACAAGTTAGGTAACACATTAAATATGTATAGAAAGCTGCTTTCCAATACGATGTAATTAACAACAAAAATTCCTACTCCTACAGTATTATAACCATGTGATATAATTTATCCTACACAGTCATAAATGGCTAAACTATAAATCTTAATGACCATATTTATATTTAAAAATAAGATGATTATAATCTAATGCATAGAAAATCGTATGTATTCCAGGTGATTCTGAATCCCAAAGTTAAAATAGGAAAATGGACAATTTTCCAAATGTTTAAATGGAAATACTAAAATGGTTGAAAATAAAACAGAGACAGATTCAATGCTTTTTCCTGGTTCTGAATCTCAGCTCGGTCATCAGCCTGCTGTGATTGGTGACCTTGGCTTAACTTCTCTTGGCCTTAATTTTCCCATCACACAATCCATAAAAATAACACAATATTTTTATTAATTGCCTAATGTAGCTCTATAGTATTTTTCTCCTACAATTTATGGCTCATATTCTGATATGAGCCTTTTATAGGATAATTTTATAATATTGTTTCTTGTGTAGGAGGAATGGAGGGATTTTTTCTCTATTGTGCCAGATCGAAGTTTGTGTATTATTATTGATATTTTAGATAAGTTTCTTCCAGCTTCACAATTTGTCATTGAGTATGTCATGAAAAGTTCTAGGAATTTTATGAAGTTTGAGGAAACATTTATCAAGTTTCTTTTTTGCACGAGTTTAACATGCCAGGACATTTCAAGGTTTTGTAAGCAATGACTAATCTTTAGTAACCCACTGGGCCAGTTCTCCTGGCAATTCACTTTATTGAATTGAAGGCATTTTTGGGCATATTTTTGGTATATTTGATATATTTTTTGGTGTATTTGATTTTCAGTGCAACCAATAATTCTGAAACATATAAAATTAATTAAAATATAAAATATAAAAATTTTGTAAAATTGATAAGGCATAATCGGAAGCATTCCAGGCCTATCTAGGTGCTTCTCTCTGAAACACTTGTCTATATGGGTTCCTGCCGGCTCTTAGCGGCAAGTGGTGAACTGTTTTCATCTGGGTCCCCCATACTTGCCCTAGACAGGATGCTCAGGTGACATTCAAATGTGAGGTCTAATGTATTGCAGTATTTGAAATAAGGAACTTCATATACAGATACACAGACATACTTGTATATGGCATTGCTACAGATTTCTGCCTTATAAACACACTTTTGAATACGTTTTATTTTCCTGTTAATTCCATCAAAAACAAATAAAAATTATGGAGTATTTATAATCATATATGCTATGATTTCCACTCTATTCCTGACAAAAGACAGCTTCCATTGTGACTGGAAGCTATGAGCATTGAATTTTCTATTTATAGTTTTACACATCTGATGATTGAGAGGATTTTCCACAGATTAGCTTTGGCTCTGTACCTTTCAAACCTTGTTTACCTTTTATTACTCACATACTCCAATGCCAGATATATTGGAAGTGCATCTCATACAAGTATGTCTCACATAAGTATGTCTTATGTGACCTCTGAGCCTGGCTTTTGTGTCAATTTGCCAGGAGAATTGGCACAGTGGGTGATAGGAGCATTCCTGGAGGCCATATTCTTACACTAAGGCAATTTGCGATAACCTAGTGACTTCAAAGGACTTCTAACTGCCTCAATATTTCCACTAAATTCAAACTAAATGTAAATCCCACCCAGCTTCCCTTAGCTGGATGCCAACCATGTCCCCAGGAAATCTGGCACTTCAGGAACTGCTGAAATTTGTGACAGAAGAGAAGATGGAGAGAAAAGTGAGACTGATTCTTGATCTTATGTTTGCAGCCTTTATGAAAACATATGAGTATACAGAGATTGGAGGGAGTGTTTTTACAAGTAGATGGGTGGTCACACCAAATGCAGTTATATTTTAGCACAGGCTAAACAATCACATTAACGTTCTCTCCTACCATGAGCTCCCAGGTGGTTTCAGGCCAGGAAAGAAATCGATTCGAGAAGTAGTTCAGTTAATTTCAAAATTTTTCTGAAACATCCTGAGGACTAACGTTATGGTCATAGTTGAGTAATATATTTTGCAGCCCAGTCCTCCCACATTTGGTTGGTGTCAGTTGGGAGCTGACTATAATTTAACTTAATTAAAATTAAATCACTTTTAATTTTAACATGAATAGTCCTCCTATTGAGATATTTTCAAGTTCATTTGCCAAATACATACATTGAGCAACTACAGTCTATCAGATATCATATGAATAACTGGAAAAATAAAGATGCCTAAGACAGTCTTTGCCCTTATGGAACTTAATATTGAGTATTTAAATTTTTATGTTAAAAAAATTAAGGCAAAGTCCATGGAACTTTAAAAAAGCAATATATGATTCAGAGGGAAGAGGTGCTGTGTGAGTAGGTGGCATCTAGATGTTACTCAGCGGCTATTTGAGATCAGCCTTGCAGTAATAAAGACTTCAATTCCAGGCATTGGGTAGAATCCGAAGACGTGGAGGTGGAAAGGCAGGAAGATGCTCAGGGTATTGCATTTGGCCAGGACTTTGGGGGTGTGTGTGTGTGTGTGTGTGTGTGTGTGTGTGTGTTTGATATATGCTATATATGATACAGTGATTATATATTATATAAAATTTGGATCATATTAAAGAGTGAAGAGATTTATTTAATTTGATAGGCAGCCAGCAATAATTGAAATTTTTTTTTCTTTATTTTGAGACGGAGTCTCACCTTGTCACCCAGGCTGGAGTGCAGTGGTGGGATCTCGGCTCACTGCAACCTCTGCTTCCCAGGTTCATGCCATTCTCCTGCCTCAGCCTTCCGAGTAGCTGGAACCAAGTAGCGCCCACCACCATACCCAGATAATTTTTTTTTGTATTTTTAGTAGAGACGGGGTTTCACCGTGTTAGCCAGGATGGTCTTGATCTCCTGACCTCATGATCTGACTCCTTCGGCCTCCCAAAATGCCGGGATTACTGGTGTGAGTCACCGTGCCGGCCGAAATTCTTGATGAGGGGAAAAGTAGGATCGAAGTGGTGTTTGAGACAGATGAGAATCGGGGTAGGTGGATAGCACTGGAGTGGGATGGATAGAGGAGAGGGGACTGACTGGAGTCTGGCTGGGAAGATACATGTGAACCATGATGTGATTTTGTATGCTGATAATGGCAGTGGAGCTGGGAATGATTACAGGGCAAAATGTCAAGACTGTTCACGAAGAGAATGTGTCCCGGCTCCCAAGCTGAGGGTCTTGGGAAGACGGGGCAACTGTTACCAAAGAGAGGAAAGCAAGAGGCATGGTTTTCTTTCTTTTTTGCAGGGAAGCTGAGGTTTTGGATATTTGGCATCTCAGGTGAGGTGAACATGTCTGTCTGGGAGGGAGAAATATGCAGCTCAGGAAAGAGAACAGAGCTTGTGAGAAAGATTTTGGAGTCACCATTGCTGTGAATCTCCAGGAAAAAGCACCAGCGTTGCCAGATCTCCTCCTCCTCCTCCTTTCCTGTCTTCCTTCCTCTCCTTGGCAGGAGGATCACTGCTCTGGAGTACTTGAGCATTCTCTGCATAAGAGCAAACTTAAACTCTCACTTGGGGCTGGGGAGAAGGGCATCTCTCTCTGGGGTGGGGTATAAAGGAAAAAAAATTCCTCTTTTGAAATTTAAGAATCGTGGCTCTATGGTGAGAAAGAGACTGAACCTTGAGCATCTTTACCCTTGTTGAGGGGGTGTGAGGGGGGCAGCAGGGCAGTGGGACCATCCATGGTAGTTTCTTGATACAGAAACAGGTGCATGAATCCAGCGCAGGAGGGGGAGATGAGACAGGGCTTTGGGACGTGGGAAATGTCTCTTTGTTAGTAAGAAAATGGGTAGCTTTTAATTTCTCCTTGACTCTGAATGTCTCCAAATTTTCTGACCAGTTAGTGTTAACAAATGGGTGAGTAGGTGATAAAGTGAATAAAGTTTCCGACTTCTGTTGAATGCCTGTTCTGTACCAAGCACAGCTCGTAGGTGTGACCTGTCCCAGTGTTCGGTCCTATGTAGCCAGCTCATGCATCACTTAGGACCCAGTGACCAGCTGTGAGAGGCACTCCTGTTGGGGAGACTTGGGACCCCCCCATGTAGACTCCTCCAGTGGGTGGTGAATAAGGAACAAAGAGGGGCAGGTACATTCATTCTCCAGCTGCTGCAGAATGAGTGGGTGGTCTGGGGGGTTTATTTTCTTTTTTGTTTCCTTTTTAAAGGGTACACCAATTTTGTTAAAAACTTCCCTGGAATAGTGAAAACAAAATGTATCCTAAAAATTAATCACTGTAATTTAATAAAAATAACTACAGAAATTACAATGACCTTTTAAAAATCCACCGTGCACATACATCGGCAGTAGGCAAATCAGATTATGAAAAGAGTCAGATTCTTCAGCACTCGCATGACATCCCCTAAGTCGCAAGTTTCTGAGAGTGATATATAAATTGTTTGCATTACTTATAGCTTTCAGAGATGACAGACTAATCTGAGCAACTAGATTCTTGGGAAAGTTCAAGACGCTTATTAAATCTTATCTTAGTTACTCCCAATTACAGCCATCCATTTATCCCTGAGGAATCAATTACTAATGCACAGCTACAGTTCAATCGCAGCACAACTAGTCTTTATCTCAGATGATTAAAAAAACCACCATTATTGCCAGATATCCATCAAAGGGATCCATAATTAGTTAATGCAGTTAGACCCTGCAGACTCAATGGCAAGATGATGCAAAGTATATCTTCTGATTTGCTTCCCAAAAGTCACACACGTTACACCATACAGGGAACAGCTGTATTCAGTAACAGTGGACATTTATTGAGCAACCATATGCAGGCACTGTTGTGAATGCTGTGGATGTACTCATGGACAAACGAAGTAAAACCCTGTTCTTATCGAGTTTGATTCCTGTAGGCACAGAGAGATGAAGAAATATGTAAAACGTATACTATGTCTGCTTGGGCTTTGAAAACAAATAAAGCAAAGTTAAAAAAAAAAGAAAAAGAAAAAAGCAGGCTGGGTGTGGTGGCTCATGCCTGTAATCCTAACACTTTGGGAGGCCCAGGCGGGCAGATCACGAGGTCAGGAGATCAAGACCATCCTGGCTAACACGGTGAAATCCCATCTCTACTAAAAATCAAAAAATTAGCCGGGGGTGGTGGCGGGCGCCTGTAGTCCCAGCTACTTGGGAGGCTGAGGCAGGAGAACATGTGAACCCGGGAGGTGGAGCTTGCAGTGAGCCGAGATCGCACCACTGCACTCCACCCTGGGTGACAGGGCGAGACTCCGTCTCAAAAAACAAACAAACAAACAAACAAACAAAAACCCATCAGATGGGGAGGCTTGAGTTGCTTTATGTGTTTGATCATGGGAGGCTTCTGGACAAAGTGTCTTTGAAGCAGAGATCGTCAAGGAGGTGGAGAAGGAGCCACATGCGTATGGGGAGCAAGTTAGAACCAAGGACAGCAGCCCCATTGGTTAGCCTCTTTGGTGTGTGGGAGGAGCAGCCTGGAGGACTGCGTGGGGAAGGAGAGGGAGGGAGGCCGGACCATTGGAATCCTCGCAGGCGTGGCTGGGACTCGGGATTTTATTCTGGATGGGACAAGATTTGAGCACAGCGGTGGGGTGGAATGATGGAAACATTCTGGCTGTCTTGGGGTTTGGGTTGTTGGGAGCGAGGCGACAGCAGCTTCTCAAGCCAAGCACTCGACAGTGGGGAGTCAGGAACAGGTGCCCCCAGGATCTCCTAGGAGGTGGAGCGCTGGGCTTGTGGAGGGTGGCAGGTACGCCGCAGAGAGGAGACGCATGCTCTGCCCCTCTGGTGCCACCAAGTCAGCGCCCAGAGCCTGTTGTACCAGGCCTGATGATGGCTCCTCACTCTCAGGCTTTGACCCCTCTCACTGTTGACCAGTATCTGGTTGGCCTTTCTCCCCCATGCCACCAGCTCCGGGCAGCTGGATATTTCAACCGTGTATAAGAGGTGACTCTGTGTTTCAGGATCTATTCAAAGTCCACAGATCTGCAAAATGAGGTTTCTTGGGAACAAAGGACGCCAGATAGAAGAGAGCAGGACAGCACTGCGGCTTGGTGATGGAGTTGGTGGTGACTGTCTTAGGTTTAGAGCTCCTCCCGTCTCCTTCCCTGCAGAATATTAACTTTCCTACGTTGTCTAAAAAGAGTTTTATGGAAACTCCTGCGTAGGGCTAGTATCCACGAATGTTATGTTATTATATCATCCCATAATAATAATTTGTGTCATGCTGGTTTGAACATTTCTTAGATAATGATTTAGCAATGAGCAGGCTCTCTGCATCAGTACGAAATACTATTTTTGCTGTGCTACTAGCTAGCTTTGCGTGCTCAGGTGGCTGGACGCCAGTAGCCCTCACTGTGTTACACACACCATGGAAACATGTTTTTGCAGCAACAGGAGAATTGAGAAGCTTTATGAATTCTCTGTGCTTAAGTGGTTTGAGGAAATTATTGGTTTCCACCAAGCCCTGTGATACTTTCACCCAAACTAGTGATTTCTGGTGGACATGATTATCCCTCACCCCTTCTCCTGAGTGTGCAAATGCAGAAGCATTGATTTTCTTTCTCATCAAAGTGCAGCTGCAGGGTGCTGTCTGCTCTTCTTTAGAAATCCTATTGTAAGAAGATTGAGTTCTGCAAACGCAAAGTAAATATTGGTCAATCACAGTAATTGCTTTCACTGTAGCAATTTAACTCTTCAACTTTTTGACTCCCAAATTTAGTGTTTTTTTTTTTTTCTCTCTCACTTTCTTGGCAGGGTCTCACTCTGTCACCCAGACTGGAGTGCAGAGGCATTATCTCGGCTCACTGAAATCTCGGACTATTGGGCTGAAGCAATCTTTCCACCTCAGCCTCTCGAGTAGCTGGGACTACAGGCATGTACCACCATGCTGGCTAGTTTTTTTTTTTTTTTTTTTTTTTCTTTTTTGATGGGGGTTAGCCATGTTTCTCAGGCTGGTTTCCAATTCCTGGGATGAAGTGATCCACCTGCCTCAGCCTTCCAAAGTGCTGGGTTTACAGGCATGGTGCCGTGCACGTGGCCAGTGTTCTCTTCCCATCAGGTAGGCAGACAAATTCTGAGTGTCCTGCTGCAGCCTTGGTGTCTGTAGGATAGAGGTGTGGTATAGGGCTGGCCTCCCCGGCTCCCTTTATGACTCATTATCCAGCCGCACAAGCTGTCAGAAAGGGGAAATACGAACAGGTCTTCTGTGACTTTTTTTGTGTGTGTGGTGCCAGAATATTCCTTCAGGTTTTCTTTCTTTCTTTTTTTTTTTTTTTTTTTTTTGAGACGGAGTCTCACTCTGTCACCCAGGCTGGAGTGCAGTGGTATGATCTTGGCTCACTGCAACCTCTGCCTCCTGGGTTCAAGTGATTGTCCTGCCTCAGCCTCCCAAGTAGCTGGGATTACAGGCACATGCCACCATGCCTGGCTAATTTTTGTATTTTTAGTAGAGATGGGCTTTTGCCATGTTGGCCATGCTGGTCTCAAACTCCTGACCTCAACTGATCCACTCATCTTGGCCTCCCAAAGTGTTGGGATTATAGGCCTGAGCCACTGCGCCCAGCCCAGCTTTCTGCATTTGAACACCCTTCGCCAGTATTGAGGAACTTGGCTTTCATTGTCATGGATATTTTAATTTATTTGCTCAATTCTCCTGTATGTGGCCAATTTCCATGTTAGGTAGGCTTGGCCCTGGCCCTGGTTCTCACTCGGTGGCCATGCTGGGAGAGTTTTACAATCCCTGTCTGCCCAGGCCGTGGTTCTGTCACTAATGGCAGTGGTGCTGGCAACATTCTCCGGTGGTGTCACTCTGAGTCTGCTGTGCACCACAGCTTGTCAAGTTGACTTAGGCACCCTCATTCCCCAGTGCATCCAAACCTCATCAACTTTCACACCATCAGCTGTATGTGTCAATGAGAGAGGCAATGTAGTGGAAGTTTACTGCCTCTGGAGCCCTGCTCTATGGGCTTAATTCCTGGGAGACCTTGGATGAGTCACTCAATCTCTCTGGGCTTCATTTTCTTATGTGGGTAAAAGAGGTAACAAGCAGTGCTTCCCTCAGTGGACCTCAGTTGAAATCCAGGGAGGTCGTATGTGTAAAGCACTTGGAGGAGTATTTGGCACATTGTAGGTGCTATTTAAGAGTTAACTATTTTTATTAAAATACCGTATGCTTCTTTTTTGTGCGTTAATTTTGGCTTTCACAGGATAGCAGGCAAGGACCATGCTGCGAGCTTCTTATCCGCCTCCCCACAAGGCAAAAGCAGTGTTGGTCCCTTGGTAGGGTCTCAGAGCTGACTTGTTCTTTGACAGACTCTTAATTAAGACCAGCATCACCAGCCTCCCCTAGGAGCTTGTTATAAATGTGAATTCTGGGGCCCCGGGCCTGCTGGATCAGAGTCTCTGAGAGGGAGCATCCACGGATCTGTGTCTCAACAACTCCCCAGTGGTCATGCCTGTGAGAGTTTTAGATGTGGTGCCCTGGTGTGTACCCCATTGGGTATGGCCTCCCTTGACAGTTCTCATGCTCACCGTGGTTTTTTTCCCTGTGCTGAAGCTTTTCCAAACTTGTTATCATTTGCTTTCACAAATGATATAAATATATTGCTGTTCCCATTTAATTTAACATATTTACAGGACAGATAGATGGTGGACACTCTATTCAGAATGCTTTCCCCAGGTGTGTCCAATGGGCTTGTTTACTCATTTCTTACATAGGAAGACACTTCCAAAACTTACTAGACACATTTACAAACCTTTCAAACTTATTGGATCAATAAACAGAGACCTTAATATGCTATTATAGATGACACATTTTCAAGAGGGGGAATATTGTACGCAGCATGTCTCAAACTTATTTTACTGGAAAATCTGTTGGGAGTGGGATGGGGCAGGGAAGAATCTTAGAGTTCTCGGAATGCATTTTTAGAAATACTGCCTTACAGGAATAACTCTCCTGGTAGAAAACTCAGAGTGCAGGACAAGAATGAATTATGTTAGAGGAGGTCCTTAAATTTTACTTTCGAGATGCTGCGTTGTCAGGGGAGGCCTTTATAGTATGATCAAATGCGGAATCCATTCAACAATGCCTATAAAATGGAAAATAAAGACATTCACTGAAGCGTTACTGCCCTTTTCTTCTATTTTACTCAAGATAAATTTTAGTAGACTATAATAGTTTTGATCAATGTAGATTATATTTTATGTCCCCCCCTCAAAAATCTTTTAAATATGATCACAAACCCCAATGCATATACAACATAAAGACAGACAGATGTGGATCTGAGTCCTTTTCAAGAAAGTCAGCAAGTCCGAAAGGGAGGAAGAGTGAGGGATTCATACCTGGATACCAGCTTCCTGATACCTACTCCAGCTGCTTTGCCACTGCACGACAGATCCAGGACTTAACAGTTTAGTGTGCTGCTTTTTGATTAAACATCTAAGAACCTTTCAGTGGATTCTTCTTTGTTATTTTTCTTTGCATCCCCCGCCGGCCACCAAATATCCAGTGAAGTGTAGTAATTTCAATCACCTTCAAGGAAATTACGATGTAGAGATTTGGAATTGTTTTTTTCTGCAACAGGATGCGCCCATCTCTTGTTGATGGAAACATTGCCCACAGGCAGTTTTCTTGGCTGTGGTGGTGAGTCACATGCAGTGATCACGACTGCAACCCAAAATACTCCTGTTGATTGTTTTTCCCAATATGCTCATGCTGAGATTTTCTTCTTCCAAAGCTATTTATCTGAGAATAGAGAATATGGTTTCATTCTTTTCTTTTTAAAAATAACCCTAAGCGAATATGAGTATTTCATGTGAATTTCCCAAGTAGGTGCTGTTATGATATATACACTGATTCTGAGTGACTTTTTTAAAAAAACAGCACAACCATGGTGGCCTTATGCGGTCTGGAATGTGTCTCTGTGGACTTATAATATCAAACTTGGAGGTCATTTGCTGTTTCTTAGCTTTTTTCCTACTCAAGATACATTTTCAATTATTAAATTTTATTATGAGAAGGCAGTAGGGTCCAGTAGGCGAAGTCAAAGTAGACAGAGACATTAAAGGAAACCACTTTGAGGGATTCCTCCTCTAGACTTTTGGACCCATATCAAGCCATATAGAGAAGGGGTGCTGCTGTTAAGTCTTTTAGCAGTTCCTGGGACCATTGTTTGTTTCTTTGTTTGTTTATTTATTTAGAGACGGAGTCTCACTCTGTCACCCAGGTGGAGTGCAGTGGCACAATCTCAGCTCACTGCAACCTCTGCCTCCCGGGTTCAAGTGATTCTACTGCCTCAGCCTCCCGAGTAGCTGGGACTACAGGTGTGTGCCATCATGCCTGGCTAATTTTTGTATTTTTAGTCGAGATGGGGTTTCACTATGTTGGCCAGAATGGTCTCAATCTCCTTACCTTGTGATCTGCCCGCGTCAGCCTCAAAAAGTGCTGGGATTACAGGCGTGAGCCACTGTGCCCGGCCTCCTGGGACACTTCTACTCTACCATCATTGCTGTTTTGTCTCTCTGTTCCATGTGTTGTCCTTGACATTGACTTTAGTCTCAACAGCAGTTTTGTTCCCATAATTCATCTGCTTCTGCAACCTGCAGCTTCACCGCTTTGTGTCCAACACCTCCCAGTTCAGTATTGCTTAGAATCCTTGCTTTAACACATACTTCTCCAACTTCGTTCATTCAACAAACATTTGTTGGGCTGAGTGTGGTGACTCACGCCTGTAATCCCAGCACTTTGGGAGGCTGAGGCGGGTGGATCACAAGGTTAGGAGATCGAGACTATCCTGGCTAACATGGTGAAATCCCGTCTCTACTAAAAATACAAAAAAATTAGCCAGGTGTGGTGGTGGGCGCCTGTAGTCCCAGCTACTCGGAAGGCTGAGGCAGGAGAATGGCATGAACCTGGGAGGTGGAGCTTTCCGTGAGCCGAGATCACACCACTGCACTCTAGCCTGGGTGACAGAGACTCCATCTCAAAAAAAAAAAAAAAATTTGTTGAACACCTGCTTATGCTACTGGACACTCTTTGTATCAGTGAGTAAAACAAAGATTCCTACTCTTTTGGAGCTTACATTCTACCGGGAAGACAGATAATAAACAATGCACATAATACAAAGTGAATTACCTAGGATGTTAGAAGGGGATACTTGCTATGGGAAAAACGTGGAGCAGTGTAAAGAGGATTGAAAGGTCTGGGGGTGACACACAACTGTCTTACCAGCAAGACTAGAGTGGTTGCTACTTCCTGCTCTTGAGGTTCAATGCACATAAACCATCTCTGTAACGGACCAGTGTGATAACTGTGGAAGGGAAAGGCAATCAAGATCTCTGAACGAAACTATGACATAGGGTTGGAGAGTGGACATGCCCCTGAGGCAGGACAGTGAAGATACGTTGCTGGCCTGGCCAACTGAAAGCAAACTGCTTCTTGTGGGCCTTAAGGACAGGTATGGAGAAAAAAACATTTGGCAGCTTCAATAGCTGCATAATCAGGTAGCAGAGTATTGCTAATTTGCTCAAGCAATGAAACCACATCTGGTAAAGTAGTTGCAATTGGAGTCACCACCTGGTTAAACTTAGGATAATCCACTCTCATTCTCTAAGAGCCATCTGTTCTCTGCACAGGTCAAATAAGAGAAATGAACAGGGATGTGGTTGGGAATCACCACCCCAAGTCTTCGGTGGTGGCGCTGATCTCTGCATACCTCTAAAAATGCAGTGTCACCTTTGGTTTACTATTTTCTAGGTGGAGGCAGCTCTAATGGCTTCCATTTGGCCTTTCCCACCATACTAGCCCTCACCTCACAGGTTAGGGAACCAGTGTAGGGATTCTGCCAGCTGCTGAACATGTCTATTCCAATTATGCATTTGGAACTGGGGAACTGACTATGGGATGCATTAAGGGGCCCACTTGACTTACCGTAAATCAAACCTGAACTAAAACTCCATTGACCACTTGACCTCCATAAGCCCTACTTTAAATGGAGGGCTGCAGTAACATTTCAGGTCTCCTGGAATCAGCATCAGTTCAGAGCCAATGTTCATTAGTCTCTCAAAGGTCTGATTGTTTCCTTTCCCTCAAAGCACAGTTACCATGGTAAAAGGCTCTGGGTCCCTTTGGGGAAGACTGGAGGAAAGATTAACAGTATACATTTTCTTTCTTTTTTTTTTTTTTTTGAGATGGTGTCTTGCTCTGTTGCCCAGGCTGGAGTGCAGTGGCGCGACCTTGGCTCACTGCAACCTCCACCTCCCAGGTTCAAATGATTCTCCTGCCTCAGCCTCCGGAGTATTTGGGATTATAGGCGCCTGTCCCCACACCCAGCTAATTTTTGTATTTTTAGTAGAGACGGAGTTTCACTGTGTTGGCCAGGTTGGTCTTGAACTCCTGAATTCGTGATCTTCCCGCCGTGGCCTCCCAAGGTGCTGGGATTACAAGCGTGAGCCACCGTGCTCAGACAACAGTATACACTTTCGATAGTGTATTAGGGTCCTTCCTGGAGGGGATCTGACGTCCCATTCATTCAAGGGATTCTGGGCCTGTAAACTGGCCCAAGTCTGGGAATTAATTAAGGGGCCCTGTTTCTCTGTTTTTTATGATTTGAGTTAGACTTTTGTTTACTTGACCTGAAGTTTTCTCCTTATGCAGATCAATTAGGAGTTTACTAGGCTATCCCATCTATTTCACGTCTTGAAACACCATGATTAGCCAATGCCATAGATCTACATGAATCAGATTATTCTGATGGTTGCTTTGCCTATGCTGTGCCTCCCAGTAACTCCATCTACTTTTCCTTTGGCCACTGAGTACCGCCATCTGGCTCCTGTCACCCTGGGATCCAATTATGTTATCGCATTAAGTTTTCCGGTTGAGTGTTTGTGGTTCCACACAATCAGGGAGCTCGTCAAAGATGCTGGGGCTCCCCTCATGAGTCTGTTTCACAAGGTATTGGTGAACGGTATGTCTTTTGGACCCTTCCGGGGTGAGTGAGTGAGTCCCAAGTGACAATTCCACTCTTGCATTTCAATCACCCTAAGCCTTTAAATCTCTTCCTCTAAGTTAAGGCAGGAGAAATCAGGGATTTCCAACTAATTCACAGTGGGGCATATTTTGCTCCATGTTTTAGATAACCAACTGACCAACCAACCAACCAACCAACCAACCATTAGAACCCTTTCTAACTCCCCAAGCTACAGCAATAAATGTAGAATCTCTGCTTAGTGGAGCCATGTCAATGAATTCAGTCTGATCCTCTGATCCAACTTTATGTTCCTTCTACCACTATCCCACACCCTTAATATCTAGTCTCACATGTGTTCCCCAGATTTCTGCTTGTACAAATCAGGAAACTCAAGGAGTTCTTTTGCAGAGCAGGCAGCTTCTCTTGGGCCACACATTGTACCTTGTCTTTAGGGGCTGCTGGGATGTGGGTCTGGTTATAAGTCTAGAAGCAAAGAGAAACTGGGGTGGGTCCTGAGGAGCATTAGCTTTGTCTTGCTTGACAACTGTCTCAGGGGAGTAGTGCTGTTTTCTCAGGTACTGCAGGGTTAATCTCCTTAGACATAAGTGGAGAGGCCAATACCACTGCAGGTGGGGAGGCCACTTTCTTTGGCAAAAATAACTCATCAGAATTCAGAGATGCAGTGTCCCCAGCCTCATCAGGGGCTTCTCACATGTCCCCTTCACAACTTGCAAGATCCCATTTTTCCCCAACCAAGGTCTTCACTTTAACAGTAGATAGCTTGCAAGGCTGAGAGTTCAACTTTTGTTGTAATTCAGGCAGAATCACACGATGAGGAGTAGTGTTTGATTTTTGGCCATTTCTGTCCCATAGCTACAGAGAGAAGATTCTCCTTCAAGGCATACCTAGAAATTCTTAGGTTATTTATGTGGAGCGTGATATGGAAATTC
The DNA here is from genome assembly GCF_000001405.40 of Homo sapiens. NCBI lineage: Eukaryota > Metazoa > Chordata > Mammalia > Primates > Hominidae > Homo > Homo sapiens. The sequence goes on along the minus strand of NC_000008.11, from coordinate 6,217,294 downwards.
AAATCCCTGATTGCGTTAGGCCATTCTTGGATTGCTATAAAGAAATAGCTGAGGCTGGGTAATTTATAAAGAAAAGAGGTTTAATTGGCTCACGGTTCTGCAGGCTGTACAGGAAGCATGGTGCTGGCATCTGGTCAGCTTCTGGTGAGGCTTCAGGAAACAATAATTATGGCTAAAGGTGAAGAGGGAATAGGCACGTTACACGGTGAAAGCTGGAACAAGAAAGAAAGGGAGAGGGAGAATGAGGGGAGGGGCCACACACTTTTAAACAACCAGAACTTGTGTGAACTCAGAGCGAGAGCTCACTCATCACCAAGGGGATGGTCCAAGCCATTCATGAGGGGTCTGCCCCACGGTCCAAACACCTCTCCCACCAGGCCCGACCTCCAAGATTGGGGATTACGTTTCAACATGAGATGGGCACGTTGGCAAGTATCCAAGCTACATCATTGACCTAACCCTCTTCTTTCTCCATTCTGTCAGTGACATTAGGAACAGCCAACCATCATATTCTTTAGTTTTCCACAGGTTTGAAAGTATTATATAGAGTCACTACGTTTCTTGCCTATGGGCCAAAAATGACAGGCAGTGGGGAGAGGACCCCCTGTTTTGGTGTATGGTGCTGAGATAACTGGTTAGCCATGTGTGGGGACATTGGGACTGGACCTCTTCCGTTTACCATGTATGGAGATCAACTCAAGATAAAGACTTAAATGTAACACATAAAGCTGTGGAAATCTTGGGAAGTACCATTCTGGACATTGGTGCCAGCAGGGATTTCAGGATGAAGACTCCAGGGGCAACTGCAACAAAGGCAGACATTGACAAGTGGGACTTGGTTGAACTGAGCAGCTTCTGCACAGCAGAAGAAACTGTCAGCAGAGTGAACAACCTATAGGATGGGAGAAAATATTCGCAAACTATGCATTCGACAGAGATCTAGTATCCAGAATCTATAAGGAACTTAAATCAGCCGGAAAGGAACAGACAACTCCATTGAAACAGGGGTAAGGGGCGTGGATGGACACTTCTTGAGGATAGGCACGCATGTGGCCAACACACATATGGAAAAATGCTCCACATCACTATTCATTGGAGAAGTGCAAACCAAAACATGGTGGGATGCCATCTCACACTGGTCAGAATGGCTAGCACTAAAAAGTTAAGAAGCAGGTGCTGGTGAGGTTGCAGGGAAGGTAGAGAGCTTGTACGCCACTAGTGGGAATGTGGATTGGTTCAGCCACTGTGAAAAGCAGTTTGGAGATCTCTCAGGGAATCTGAAACAGAATTACTATTCGACCCAGTGGTCCCATTGCTGGATATGTGCCCAGGGGAGTATTAGTCAACCCTCCATAAAGACACATGGACACACATGTTCATCACAGCACTATTCACAGCAGCAGAGAGAGGGGGTTTATGTGGATGCCCATCAGCAGTGGACTGGTTGGGGAAAGTGTGGTGCATCAACACCATGAAATACTACACAGCCACAGGGAGATGCAAGGTTATGACCTTTGTGGCAGCCTGGATGATCTGGAGGCCATTGTCCTGGGCCAATGAACAGAGAAGTACGGAACCAAATAACCACATGTTCTCACTTCCAGGTGGGAGCTGAACATTGAGTACACATGGACACAAGAAGGGGAGTGGTAGACACCGGGGCCTGCTTGTGGGTGGAGGCAGAAGGAGGGTGAGGATTGGAAAGCTGCCTATGGGGTTCTGTGCTCATTACCTGGGTGAGGAGATGGTCTGTGCAGCAGGCCTGCACATGTGCCCCCTGAACCTAAAATGAGGTTGGAAGGAAAAAAGAAAAAACTTTCTGCCTCCTATAAGGGGTTGATTAGGAGAATCTAATGCAGATGTTTTGTGTGTCTGTATGAAGAGTTACATTACGGATTATCAGTGCTCCCTGTACTACTAGTAATAGAGTCCTTAGCTTTTTTATCGTTTACTTTTTTTTTTAGATGGAGTCTCTCTGTGTTGCCCAGGCTGGAGTCCAGTGGCGCGATCTCGGCTCACTGCAAACTCTGCCTCCCGGGTGCACGCCATTCTCCTGCCTCAGCCTCCTGAGTAGCTGGGACTACAGGCGCCTGCCACCATGCCCGGCTAATTTTTTATATTTTTGGTGGAGACGGGGTTTCGTCGTGTTAGCCAGGATGGTCTCAATCTCCTGACCTCATGATTCGCCCGCCTTGGCCTCTCAAAGCGCTGGGAGTACAGGCGTGAGCCACCGCGCCCGGCCTGCAGTCCTTAGCATTTTAAAGTGCAATCTGATGAGAGAGATAATGCCAGAGCACCTAAAACCAATGCTGGGAACTCATCCTTAAAATTCTCCTTCTCCAGAACCTCTCATGGGACCAACATCTGTATTAGTCTTCCAGAGAGATAGAAACAATAAAAAAGTATATACATACACATATCTATAACAGATAGGTATAGATATATGAGAAGGGATTTATTAGGAAAAACTGGCTCATGTGGTTTTGGAGGATTATAAGTTCCACCATAGATTTGCAAGCTCGGGAATCAGGGAAGCCAGTAGCATGGCTCAGTCCAAGTCTGAAGGCCCAGAACCAAGGAAGCTGGTGGTGTAACTCAGGTAGAGGCTGAAGGCCTGAGAACACGGAGGCACTGCTGCTGCATGTCCTGGAGTCCAAAGGCTGCAGAACTTGAAGTTTTCATGTCCAAGGGCTGGAGAAGACAGGTGTCCCAGCTACAGGAGAGAGAGACAATTCACCTTTTCTCTGCCTTTTTTTTCTATTGGGGACTTCAGCTGATCGATTGGTGCTTGTCTACACTGTGTGAGGGTGGATCTTTCTTACTCAGTCCACTGATTCAAATGCCATTTCTTTTTATTTTTTGGAAACACCTTCCCAGACACACCCAGAAAGGATGCCTTACCAGCTGTCTGGGTATACAGTCGAGTTGACAGCCCAAATTAACTATCACAATTGGCATTTTAAATGGCTTTCTCATTGTTTAGGAATTTTCCCTTGACACATTCTAGTAAAATTTTAAAAGTATGAGCATCAAAACTTGAAGGCAGGATATCAACAGCTTGAAAGAAATTCCTGGAGACAAAAGTTGTGACTGTCCTATAAAGAGAGAGTTTCTGATTGGAATGAGGTCTATGTTATAATGGAAGAGTTCTAAACCATATCTAGGTCTTTTTTAGTGGTGATAATACAGTACCTTATCATGTGTGGGATCTTAGATTCTAATATAAGGTGGTAAGTTTTTTGTTTGTAAATTATTACAATTTTATATTATGTAGATTCCTTACATCATCACCTAGATGCTCAAAATCACTGCTCAGTTGCATTTGCTAATTTCTGTTTACCTGGTATTCAGTAAATTATATTCTCTAAGGAGAGTCATTATCCAAGTAGTGTTACTGAGACTAGCTGATTTAGCTGAAGGATTTTTACAAAAATCATATGGGTAAATTATTCCACTTACGGTAGCAGTAATTTATTCTAAACAAATTGGATCCATGGCCATCTGTTTTAGCTGTTAGGATAGGAAGAACCTCATCTTTTCCATCTCCACAAACTTAGCTCAAATCACAAATGCAGAACTATGCAAATTAGACAATGCATGCCGTTTGAAGTGAAGTGAAGGCCCGGCAGAGCAGCATTTCAGCCAGGAAGTTTTTACTGCCTCTCATCCGAGGGACAGAGCAATTCTAATCCAAAGCCAAATTCGGGGAGTTTTCATCTTGGTTGAGGATTGGAAAATAGCCAAGGATCAGACAGAAACAGAAATACTTATTTGGGCCTGGCTCCTTCTTTCATTTCTATCTCAGTCTTGCTGTCTTTCTTCACGTCTCTTAGCCTCTGTACCTTGAAGTCCTTAATGTCACAGGAATGAAGGCTGCTTGGGGCACCACCACCACCACCACCACCTCTGTCTTGAAATCTCATCATGGATTCTCTTTAAGACACAATGCATTCAAAGCTGAATGTCATCCAAGTCTGGCTGCATGGGAAACTCCTGCTTTCATCTCCTGCCCGATGTCAGGGCACAACCCCAACGTCACAGAGGATGGCATGACTCCAACAAGAACAACTAACTAAGCAAGCAAGCAGCTTGGCTTGAGGTGGCTTCATCAGAGCTGGAAGTAGGCAATGAGATTCCTGTGCACAGCAAGGCTGACAGCATCAGTGTGGTGGCCCCAGTACTCCTGTCTCGAAGTTCCATGAAATGTGATACACCCAGATGGTGACTGTGCACGCAGTGGGTGGTGCCGTAGTTGAGGCACTCATGGCCATGAGCTCGGCAGCCTTTCTAAAGCATGGACAGGCCAGTCCCCACCCCTGCCCCAGCAGGAATGAGTAGTGCTGGCTGTAACTCCCTCAGCCTACCTGATACTATGCAACTCGCTGCAGAGCTAGCTCAGGATCTGAGGACAGTTAAGCCTTGTGAACTGGGACATGAGCACAGGCGTGCGGGGACATCCCTCTCCACAATTCACCCTTTTGTCCCTCCACCTTCTTGGTTGGACTGAAGTTTTCACACAAGTCTGTCACCCTGTCAGCAGCTCAGATTAGACACACTGACAGGGGCTGGGACAAAATGTGTTTAATTTGTCTCATACAACATTAGATTGAGATATTGTCAACAGAATCCTGGTCGGTAGGATGAGGCCGACTGGCAACATTGATCTCAGCTATGCCCCCTGGATCCTGGACATACGTAGCTGAGTAATTCCCAGAGGGGACCAGCAGGTCTTACTCATATAACCACATAGCTTTTGGCCTTGTAGGGTGTATGAACTGTCCCACCTGAGCAGTGACGTTCATCCAAGCACAACAGGAAGTTGTTTCCTTGGATTTCACCTCATCCCACTTCAGCCGCATTCCCACCTGCCCCGTCCGATCATGCACTGCTTGCCCCAGGGCTGCGTCTGTGTTCACATTTGTGCCTGCTGCGTGCCCCGCCTGGAACCCTGTGGCTTTCCCTCCGTCCTGCGTCCTGTACTGATCCTTCAGCTCAGTGTCTCCTCTTCTTGGAGGCTCCTGCCTGACTCAGGTGAGCTCAGATGCCCCGTCCTCTTCAGTGCTCTTGAGTACTTTTCTTACAGCACTTACCACTCTTTGCAGAACCCGTTTCTGTATCAGATGCTGCATCCTTTTCATCTTTGTGTCCAGAGAAACCAACATCTCTTCTGGCACAAAATAAGCATTTGTTATGTTTGTTAAATGGCATGAAACCCTATGGCCTCAGTCCCTAGCACAGATCTTATTAGAACTGGCACTAATAGATATTTATTGAATGAATAAATGTTTGGATGAATACATCATAATTCTTCTGCCAAGGCGTATAGGTATGTACATTTCTTCCTCTATTTCCTTTATGAATTAGCTTTTATGCTGCAAATTCAATTTTTTTCAATAATACGTGAAATAATAATGAAAGGGACTAAATTTAAATATACTCAGTTATATATTAGAGTATATGTAAATATAACTTCAAATATACAAATACAACTATTGATAGGTAGATTTACTATGATAACCAGAAAAATATCAGAGTTATAAGATGAGGATATAGTTCCTTATTGAAACACATATAAAAAGTGTATGTTATGAGTGATTAGGCATGTCATATTTATAAAGTTATGATGCAGACTTTTTTATTGAATTAAGTATTTTTTAACTTAAATCTACTTATGTGTATGTGTCAGATTAAATGAAAAAGTTGGCTGGGCGCGGTGGCTCACGCCTGTAATCCCAGCACTTTGGGAGGCCGAGGCGGGCGGATCACAAGGTCAGGAGATCGAGACCATCCTGGCTAACACGGTGAAACCCCGTCTCTACTGAAAATACAAAAAATTAGCCGGGCGTGGTAGCGGGCGCCTGTAGTCCCAGCTACTCGGGAGGCTGAGGCAGGAGAATGGCGTGAACCCGGGAGGCGGAGCTTGCAGTGAGCCGAGATCCCGCCACTGCACTCCAGCCTGGGCGACAGAGCGAGACTCCGTCTCAAAAAAAAAAAAAAAAAAAAGTTAAAATATAAAATCTTAAATGGTATTTATGGGAAATAATTTAGGGAAAAGCATGGAGAAATTGGAAAAAGAACACTTGTATTTGAGATCTGATATACTGTTAATAGACAACAAGAGTTTCTAAATTAGACTGATATCCAGAATACATAAAGAATTCAAACAATGCCATAGCAAAAACCCAAATAATCCCATAAAAAATGGGCAAAAGATCTAAATAGTTATTTCTCAACAGAAAATAAACAAATGGCCAACAGGTACATGAAAACATGCTCAACATGGCTAATCATCAGGGAAATGCAAATCAAAACCACAATGAGATATCATCTCATCCCAGTTAGAATGGCTGTTATTAAAAAGACCAAAAATAACAAATGCTGGTGACGATGTGGAGAAAAGGGAACTCTCATATACGGCTGGTGAAAATGTAAATTACTACAGCCATTATAGAAAACAGTATGGGTTTCTCGGAAAACTGAAAATAGAACTACCATATGATCCACAGATCCCATTACTTGGGTGTTCATAGGAAAGGAAATTCGTATATCAAAGGGAAACATGAATCCCATATTTATTGCACCATTATTTACAATAACAAACATATGAAATCAACTTAAGTGTCTATCAGCAGATGAATGGAGAAAGAAAATGGGGTATATATATGTATACGTGTGTGGGGGTGTGTGTGTGTGTGTGTATATACATATATATATATATAATGGAATACTATTCAACCATAAAAAAGAATGAAGTAACGTCATTTGCAGCAACATGGATGGAACTGGAAGTCCTTATGATAAGTGAGTTAAGCCAGGCACAGAAAGACAAATATTATATGTTCTCACTCACATGTGGAATCTAAAGCAGTTGGTCTCATGGAAGTAGAGAGTAGAATGACAGCAGAGGCTGGAAAGGATGTAAGGGTGTGTGTGTGTGTAGAGAGGAGTTGGTTGATGGGTACAAACATAGAAGGAATAAGTTCTAATGCTTGATAGCGGAGTAGGATGACTATAGTTAACAACAATGTGTTGTACATTTCAAAATAGCTAGAAGAGAGGTTGAAATGTTCTCAACACACAGAAGTGATAAATGCTTGTGGTGATGGATACCCAAATACCCTGACTTGATTATTACCCTTTCTTTTTTTCTTTCTTTCTTTTTTTTTTTTTGGAGACAGAGTCTCGCTGTATCCCCCAGGCTGGAGTGCAATGGCATGATCTCAGCTCACTGCAACTTCCACCTCCCGGGTTCAAGCAATTCTCCTGCCTCAGCCTCCCAAGTAGCTGGGACTACAGGTGTTCCCACCATGCCCAGCTAATTTTTGTACTTTTTTAGTAGAGAAGGGGTTTTGCCATGTTGGCCAGGCTGGTCTCAAACTCCTGACCTCAGGTGATCTGCCCACCTCAGCCTCCCAAAGTGCTGGGATTACAGGCATGAGCCACCATGCCTGGCCCATCATTATACTTTCTATACCTGTAACACAATATCTCACGTACCCCATAAACATATACAAATATTATGTATGAATAAAAAAGTTTTTTGAAGTCCTGAAATCATTTTGGACTCAGTTTCTTCATCTGAGAGGTAGGATGGGGAACTAAAATAATATCTATTTTATAAGTTCATTGCATAAAATAAGATAACATGTATAATATTTTATACATTATTTTATGAATAGTCAATTCTGTAACACATATTGAAATGCAAATCTATTCTAATGCAATTGATATAGTAGGGAGAAATTTACACATAATGCTAATTTTAAGTTTGCTTATGTATGATTTCATCTCAAGAAATACTAAGTGAACGCAGAAACCTACATCCAGCTTAACCACAGAGTATATACAGGAATACACAAAACACGTGTACCTCAAACTTCAACCAGCAACCTCTGTTCAACCTGCATGTTAGGAGCCCAGACATCTGCACGTGGTGTTACAAGTTTCTGCCCCATTTCAGATGACTCTCCTCTGCCCCTTCACAAAAACTCACCTACTGTGATCCTTCCACAGGCAAACTTCCACAAGCAAGCTTCCAGATAAATTGTCACATTCATTGGACTATTTATGTATTTTTAACCACGTAAAACATGCAAAATTGTGCTACCATTTTTATTTTCTCTCTTTTAAAAAATTTATATGTCACTGGTAAAGCTTTTGAGTGTTATTCTGCTAACCTGATTTTCTCCATAAGCCTCATGGTTTTGTTGTGCAATTTTGTATAATGAGGTGGTTTTTCAGAACACATGTATCATGTTATAGCAGAACTGACTGTGTCTTATGAACTATATATTGCTGTATGAATAAAGGTGCTATCCTTTACTTGGGAATCAAAGCAAGCTCTGTCAAATCGATTGCATAATATACGGATCATTGAAATATATCAGTGATAATATAATTAATAAATAGTGAGATGTGTTAAATTGGCAAGTCACAGCCCAAGTGTTAAAAAGGGATAAAATGGCCGGGCGCGGTGGCTCATGCCTGTAATCCCAGCACTTTGGGAGGCTGAGGTGGGCGGATCATCTGAGGTCAGGAGTTTGAGACCAGCCTGGCCAACATGGTGAAACCCTGTCTCTACTAAAAAAGTACAAAAATTAGCTGGGCTTGGTAGGGGACGCCTGTAGTCCCAGCTACTCAGAAGGCTGAGGCAGGAGAATTGCTTGAACCCAAGAGGTGGAGGTTGCAATGAGTTGAGACTGTGCCACTGAATTCTAGCCTGGGCAACAACAGTGAGACTCCATCTCAAAAAAAAAAAAAGAAAAAAAAAGGATAAAATATGAGTGTGCTTGTTGTAATGCAAAACGTCTTTCTCACTGTGGTTAGCAAGCACAAAAGTCAGAAAGTCATGAGCTAGGAAATGAACTGAGGTTAAGTTGCAGAGTTCCGGGTAAAACGAAATGACCCAGAAACCAAAACATAGGGCTTTCTTTGACTCCAGAACTTGCTACCTTAATAGGAACTATGGCATATACAATATCACTCCTGGCTTTATTTTTCATAATTTGATTTTTCTTTTACCGTGACTTTTCCACTTTATTTTCCTAGTGTCTGCATTTTGGCAGGCTGTTTTTAGTTCTTTGGAACAAAGTGCTTTGGGATGAGACAGAATGAAATTCCTATCCTGGAATAACTTACCAGCCTATAATGCCAGCAAGTGCCTTGAACTCTCTAAGACTGATTACTCAATTGTGAGATGGCAATCATGACAAAGCCCAGGGCCCAGGGTTGTCACAGAGTGCCCAGCATGTAGCAAGTGCTCAATATACCATCGTGAGTAACGGAATACCTTGGTGCTCTAACCCAAGATCTCAACATCAGGTCAGGTCACAGCAACATCTCTGCTGTCTCCAATGGCAGCCTCCTCCATGATTTCCATTTTCTCACTTCACGTTAATTTTTAATTTCTTTTCTTGCCTTTTCTTCTCACTTTCAGCCAATTGTTAGATTATCTGCAGTCATTTGTACTTTTCTAAGCTGAAACGTGGGCCTCTTGTACCTATTCAACTGCATTTACTCAGTTTCATGATGTGCAAATAATGCATTAGGTGCTCAGGACATGAGAAGAATGACAGTTTTTTTCCTGCTCTCTACAGTTTGTTTGGGGAGGCAACCAGGAAAGCCCGTGATGAAAATGTACTGCAAAGTGATCTAATAAGAATATACAGCGAGCATTCATAGAGCATAGGGAAGAAGAAAGAATCTTAAATTACAGTGGTGAGGGCAGGTTAGTAATTCTCCCTAGACATGAGGAAGGCCCAGCCAGATGGAGAAACAGAGGAAGTGCTTTCCTTTCCAGGCCCATGTAGTTTACTTCATGCGTCAGATCATTCCACTTTTGAAATGTTCTAATCAATAGAAATTTCTTCCTTATTATAAACCCCAAATCCACTTTTTTTTTTCTATTTTCTTTTCTTTTTTTTTTGAGATGGAGTTTCCCTCTTGTTGCCCAGACTGGAGTGCAATGGTGCTATCTCAGCTCACCACAACCTCTGCCTCCTGGGTTCAAGTGATTCTCCTGCCTCAGCCTCCCGAGTACCTGGGATTACAGGCATGCGCCAACACGCCTGGCTAATTTTGTATTTTTAGTAGACACAGGGTTTCTCCATGTTGTTCAGGCTGGTCTCGAACACCTGACCTCAGGTGATCTGCCCACTTTGGCCTCCCCAAGTGCTGGGATTACAGGCATGAGCCACCATGCGCAGCCTTTATTTTTATTTATTTACTTATTTTGAAACAGGGTCTTGCTCTATTGCCAGGCTGGAGTGCAGTGGCACGATCTCAGCTCACTGCAATCTCCGCCTCCCAGGCTCAGGTGATTCTCCCACCCCAGTCTCCCTAGAATGTGGGACTACAGGTGCAGGCCACCACACCCAGCTAAGTGTTTTTTTTTTTGTTTGTTTTTTTTTTTTTTTTTAATAGAGACGGGGTTTTGCCATGTTGCTCAGGCTGGTCTCGAACTCCTGAGCTTGAGCGATCTGCCTACCTTGGCCTCCCAAACCCAAATCCACTTCTTTGCAACCTGTGTCTGTGAGGCATACGTGATCTTCCGTTTTTCAACATCATTTGTGTGTGTTGGTGGTGTGCATCTCTGCAGCGTGTCCACCGCTTGTCACAGGCATGGCTCTGTGCCCTCTTGACTGTGGCCCTCATGCTTCTTGACTGCCTCAACTTGGTCAAAGCCCCACTTAAATTATGACGCCAGGACTGGAAACAATGCACTCAGGATCTCGGCTGGCCAGAAACACCTGGCTACCATCAGCAGTCCCTGTTCTGGCTCCCGTATTTCTGTTCACGTCACCTGAAATGATGTGGGTTTTAAATTTTGGAGTAGGGAGCTATTGCCATTATGCATTCTGATGCCATTTTCTTTCCGACAGCAGTGCAGTCGCTATTACTATAAATAATAAGCTATCCTTAAATTGTCTATTCCGAGATCCCGGATTGCTAAGTCAGATGAGACATAGTAACATCTTGGTTGTTAGGCTGTCATTTATCTCCATTGACTCTTTTTTTCTTCATTTTGCCTCATCTCTGCCACTTGCCAGGGGACTTGTGAGGACTGAACGAGCCAACCATTGCATGTGCTGCTCCTCCTGACTTGTGTCTCCACAATAAGATGCAAGCCTGTTCTGGCCTTATGAAAATTGATGATTAAATTTGCATAGGATGGGAAGGAGAGCTTACTCAGGTGGCATGCCACTTGAAACTGCCCTTCAGGGTTTCACTCCTCTTGCTGACATTTTCGGGGGAGTCATGACTACTCAGCCCCCTGGGACTCCCCCAGTTCCTCTTCCATTTGGTTCAGTACTTTCTATCTTATGGTGATGTCAAGGGAGACTCGGCCACACACTGCTGAAACCCAGCTCTGCTGTGCTGATGAAATGCTCCATCTTTTCTATCATGAATAGCAGACACATGATTCTGGTTTCACCTTTTTTCGTGAAACCATGTTGCTTCCTAGTGATCATTACAACCTAGTGTGTTAGGTTAAAACCAGTCATACACTTAATAATCAGTTCCTATGTTTGGAAACTCTTCATACTCTTAAGGAGTATGAAACTCTGCACCCTCCATACTATTAACCAGTAAAGGAACAGAATATAACAGATCCTTGTTCATCGTCTTATTTTTTTTTTTTTTTTTTTTTTTTTGAGACGGAGTCTCGCTGTCGCCCAGGCTGGAGTGCAGTGGCGCAATCTCGGCTCACTGCAGGCTCCGCCCCCTGGGGTTCACGCCATTCTCCTGCCTCAGCCTCCCGAGTAGCTGGGACTACAGGCGCCCGCCACCTCGCCCGGCTAATTTTTTGTATTTTTAGTAGAGACGGGGTTTCACCGTGTTAGCCAGGATGGTCTCGAACTCCTGACCTCGTGATCCACCCGCCTCGGCCTCCCAAAGTGCTGGGATTACAGGCGTGAGCCACCGCGCCCGGCCCATCATCTTATTTTCTTAGACAACATTATCTCACTTTTTTTTTTTTTTGCTTCATTCCTTGCTGTTTTCTTGATGTTTTCAATTTCAATTCCAAGACTGTATTCTGTTAAGCCCTTGTCTTACACCCTCACCCCACAAACCACACATTCTTTCCAGGATGTTATAAACTCTCCACCTTCATACTTCTACAGCCCATGGGAGCCTTACATTTGGGTTCTGCCATGGCAAATAACCTATTACTATTCAGTCTAACATAACTCTAATTTTATGGGCATGTATGCACAAATATTTGCCTATAGATTAAAGACTAGGATAGAATATTCGGAACGTAATTTGTGAAATAAAGTCTTGTAATGATGAGAAAATATTTGTTTTGGTATTAAAGTTTATTTATTTATTCATTTATTTTGAGACAGGATCTAGCTCTGTTGCCCAGGCTAGAGTGCAGTAGCGTAATCATAGCTCACTGCAGCCTTGAACTCCTGGGCTTAAGGGATCATTCTGCCTCAGCCTCATGAGTAGCTGGGACCACAGATGCATGTCGTCACGCCCAGCTAATGTTTTAATTTTCTGTAGAAACAGGGTCTTGTCATGTTGCCCAGGCTGGTCTCACACTCAAGCACTCCTCCCACCTCAGCCTCCCAAAGTGCTGGGATTATAGGCATGAGCCACTGCACCCAGCTGTTTTAGTAAAGTTTAAATAAAAAAGAAAGTAAGAAAGTGCTAGCCAGTTTAAGGCAAGTCCATCTCTGGAAGGTAATAGCTATATAATCTGAGACATTGAACCCCTAAAATACACTTGCTATAAGTCAGTTAGAGTATACGTGATTGTATACAATGATTGTTGCATTGTTGAATGAACAAATAATTTAGCTTTTGTTAATATGATACATTCACACACATATATTTGTATGTACGTACATAAGTATGAAATCCTTTTCGGGAGCATGCTTAAAATAATTCTGTTTTCTCCTTGCAAAATTCACTAGAATGTGAAAGCACACAAGAGGCATTTGATTGTCTTATGAAAGTCTGGAATTTAAAGAGAATTGGGTAAATAAGATCACCATTCATCCAGCTGTTCAATGGATTTCATGTTCATCTCAGAATGTAATTGAATTTGAAGCTCCTGAAAAAGCCAACTGAAGCTCACAATAACTGAACACATTACTTTTGTTCCTAATACCATGATTGAAATGAGCTCTATATCAAGATGGGAACACGGTAATACCAGTTATTTGCACAGCACCTTTCTGCAAAGACCTCAATTCATTTTACACATGGCGCGCTTGATCCTACCCCTGAGAAGAAAGTACTTACTTCATTGGAGGGGCTGCCGGGTCAGATGTGAAGTCCCCTGTACCACTTGAATAACTTGGGCAAAAATCTCACATTATTTCAGAAAACGTATGTGTCGATTATGACCGTAGCCACATTCACTGTCCTTTCTCGGTGGTACAATCAGAGTAGAAGAGGACATTCGTTTTAGTGGTGAATTCTTGAAATTCCAAAGGAGAGCGTTTTCCTCCTGTTGAGATCCAGGGTTTCTTCCTACGGGGAACCTGGAAAGGTCACAGTAGGTTCATAGGCAAATTTATCTGGACTTGCACGCTGCCTTCTGCAGAGGAAGCCTCAGTCATGTTCCACAGAGTAAGCAAAAAAGAGCAGAAGACAGGCTGCTGTCCTCATGTGTGGTGTTTTGGGATCTTCACGGAGCTCTTCCCCTGCCTTTGCCATACTTCTATCCCTTTGCTTTCTTACAAGTCGAGTGATCTATCACTCCCATTATGCCGAGGAAGGCTCCTTCTGTAATGGGATCTCATGGTGAATTTATATAATAAATACAAAATTACACAACATGTGTTAGCTTATATTGGGCTTTACATTTCATATATAATACATGTAATACTGTTGTATATATGATGCATTATTTACTGTTATATATTATACATTACACACACATATATATATAATCCTTAGCTTTTATTATTTCAACAAAATATTCTATTTAAGTAGTTAAAATGAAGCATCTTTAGAGAGACTGCCCGCTTTTAGTTCATTTTAACACAGTTTAACATAATAGGTGCTACTGGGCATCTGTAATGTCAAGGTTCTGGTCTACCTGCTGGAGATACACAGATAAATAAGACACACAGCTGCCCTCAAGAAGCTGACAGTATGTTGTAAAAGAGAGAAACAGACTCCTTTGAAGACACATTACTTTACTGGATACAATATTTAATTCAAAAAGGAAAATTGACAAAAAAGTTAATTGGTCGAGAATAGATCCCATGATTTCTGCTTCCATGAATTCAGTCAACAGATATTAATATATAGCAAACAATCTCTGTGTGTCAGGCAGTAGGGTTGTATCTGCACATGAATGGTTCCATGAAGGAACTCACAGGGAAGACACACACCAGCTAATGGCTAATGAGCAGCCTCACTATTATTGTTTTAACACCTCCAGACCTCTTTAGGGCATGGCTTTTTGGGAAAAATCCCTGAACCTCAGGCTGTAGGTTGGGTATGAATCATCTACGCTGTCTGGGATCCTACAAAAATCTCTTCACTGACATTCACCAATGTTACTGGTTTAGCATCTGTGTCTACCACTGGAAGATACAACTTTTATAGCACACTGCTCTGAATCTACAGCCCCTATCACCATACCTGAAAATATTTCGGTACTCAGTAAACATGTGCTTGAGCCAAGATGCAACTCTTGTTTCCAAAAAGACCAACTTAGCTTAGTTACTAGAGAAATTTACCATGAAGCCCTCTGCTTACAACCCTGTCTGCCTTGTTGTTTCAAGAAAATTGTTTACTTTTGTGAGTAATGGTAATTTTGTCGAATTACCATAAGCTGTGGCTTAGCCACAGCTGTCTACAGATGGGAGGCCTACCTATTGGCAAGTATTACAGAATCTACACGACGTTGTTTCTCCTAGTAGGAGGCTTTTCCACGTTCATGCAGAAATAAAAGCAGTGGAAGTTCTAGATTTAAAAAAATTGTTATTCCTTCATTTGCTGTCTATCTCCAGCCTTCATGGCACCCCCAGAGCCCAGGAGGGGAAAAAAGCACTATTAGGTATGTCAGCACCTTGTGAAAAGGAGCACGAGATGTAGGTATTCGTCGGGAATGCTGTCTGAGTTGTGTACGAGGGCTAAATAATGGGACTAAATTTTGAGTAAGAAGAAATGCGTTCTTACCCACCGGATCAGGGTGACCTCTAAATTAGCTGTGTTGCAGGTTATCATCTCCCTACTGTTTTAGAGGCTGAGAGTAGAATCAGCTCATGCATTCTGCATGACGCGAAGATGGGGCTGAGCTGTCCCTTTGAACTCCGGGAAGCCACTTTGCTTCCTTAATTTTGGTGGAGTGAAAATTCAGTCTTCATGAGGGCATAAGGACTTGAAAGGGAAAAACGGAACCCCACTTTCTTACCTTCTCCATCCATAGTTCACACAGATCAGGACATGCTGAAGTTTGCTGTGTTCTACTTAATAAATGCTGAAGTTCTTAGTGCTTATTAGTTAAAATAAATGTTACCTGATGAAATACATACTTTCCTGCATGTATCAATAATGATCTCATGCGCTTGCCTTTTGCCTCAGCCGGTGGGGGGAAAGAGAGGTTAAGCCATGAGCTCTGCCCTCACGGAGTCTTGGGAATCCAAGGTCTTCCCCATCTTTTCAGTTGACAACTGGGTTGAACTTTGCTGGGCTGGATTCACATCCCTGTGACAGAAAATGTACTGAGAGCTGCATCCTGGCCCATGCCTTTCTTCACTGCCTTGGGACGAGTGTAGGAAGCCCATATCCTGCTTCCTGCCATGGAGGTGCTCACAATCGTTGTTGCCAAATCTCGGATCACCTTCATCCTTAGGCGATAGTGCTATGTCCTCAGACCCAGGGACAGAGACCCAGGACAGGCCACCCTCATTCCTCCAGGAGCAACTTCTGGGCATCCTCTCACCACTCGTGCTTCCAGCAGGCCTTCGGGAAGGCGGCACTATTCAAAATGAGTTTTTCCTCGAAGTCCCAGCAGTTATTGTGGGCTAGTTATCGAGAGTGATCCAGGCCTGGCTGTGGCAACCAAGGGAACCTTCTCCTGGCCTATTAGTTTTCCGTATATGCAGGGCTTAGGCACACGGTAGGCATCAGATAGATATGTGTGAATGACTAAACAAACAAAAAGCAAAATGTAGTCAAGCGTTTTTAATTCTGGCTTTAAAAAATTCTTATGTAATTTTGAAAGTTCAATGCCTATTCTTTAATGCTGATGGAATTCGACAATTCATTTTATAAAGGCTTCTACTGAGTAAGGCTTTTAATTACTGACAATCCCACCTGGCTCTGTGTTGGCTATGGAGCTGGCGAGAGGCTTTCCGTCTCTGCTATTAACTCCCCAGGGCACCTGCTTGTTAGCCTTCCTGAATATTTCAGTGGCTGTGGTGCTGTGGATGATGAGGGCCTTGCCGAGAGCCATGTTCTAATATTAATCAGACTCTGGGTTTTCTGTGAGACTTGAACTGGGCCGCCTCTCTGGATTCCTGTCGCTGTGCCCCGGGAGGATGTGTGATGGCACCCCCAGGGCTCTGCCAGGGGTCTTCAGCTTCCTCCGGCCTCTGCACTCCATTTGTCACCTCTGCACTCCATTTGTCACAGAGTCCCAGTGGTGGGCTGATGGCACTGAGCTCAGCTTCTCCAGTTCTCCAGTTCTGCTGGGGAGGAATTTGCAGCCCAAATCTTGGTTGGAAGATCAGGAGGTTCAGCATGAATTGCTCAGACTGAAGGAAACGTGCAGGAGAGACTAAAGAGAAGCTGATGAAATCATGGCGACGACATGGAGAACTTCTCTGCTGCTGTAAGATTCGATTCACTTGTACTCTCTTCTACAGACAATTATGTGTCCATGGGTGTGATTTGAATGCCACGTCTGACTTCAACGACCGAACCCTGCCTCATTTTAATAGACGCATTAGTTAAAATAAAAGTCACAGTTTCCATCAGTGATGTTTCTGGCTGGAGCCTGTTTTATCACTTTGAGTAAGCTAGGGAGATGAAACAGACAGTGTGTGTGTGTGTGTGTTTGGACATACATACAAAATAATGTTGATTTAATCACCAGAAAACAGCATGGAAGAAGCTATTTCTTTTTCCTGGTATTAAGTATTTAAAAAGTTGAAATGACTTGCTTCCAGCCTGGGCATTATGGAAAAACCCAGTCTCTACAAAAAAAAAAAAAAAAAAATTGAAAATTAGCTGAGTGTGGTGGTGTATGCCTATAGTCCCAGCTACTTGGGGAGGCTGAGGTGGGAGGCTCACTTGAGCCTGGGAGGTTGGGGCTGCAGTGAGCCGTGATTGTGCCACTGTATTCCAGTCTGGGTGACACAGTGAGACCCCCTCTCATTAAAAAAAAGAAAAAAAGACTCCCTCATTTGTCTTGAATGATTATATCACTTGCTTTATGACTCTAGCATTTGTTTCCTGTCAAATTTCAGAGCTCGTTGGTGGCTTCTACAGCATGAGAATTTCAGGACTCTGTAAACGTCACATTTTGTTTGGTCAGTGGCAGCTAAGGCCAACTGGGTTATTTTGATGGGTTTGTTTGCAATCTGCAAAGTTCCTCTGAAAATTTTGGTCTAAGAATGTTTTAGAAACTTGTTAAACGAGTACTAGTTGACCTGAAATTGGGAAATACACAAACTGATTACTTGCAGAAGCAGCTTCAAGAGTTCATCAATATTGTATGCCCTTTTCTTTCTTTCTTTTTTTTTTTTTTTTGAGATGGAGTCTTGCTCTGATACCCAGGCTGGAGTGCAATGGTCCAATTTCAGCTCACTGCAACCTCTGCCTCCTGGATTTAGGCAATTCTCCTGCCTCAGCCTCCTGAGTAGCTGGGATTATAGGTGCCTTCCACCATGCCCGGCTAATTTTTGTATTTTTAGTAGAGACGGTTTCACTATTTTGGCCAGGCTGGTCTCGAACTCCTTACCTCAGGTGATCTGCCCGCCTCAGCCTCCTAAAGTGCTGGGATTACAGGCGTGAGCCACCACGCCCGGCCTTACGCCCTTTTCTAAACAGCAAAGATGTTCTTTTTCCTCATTAAAGAACAAGGGATTTTTTTTGGAAGAAATTGTTGGGCACAAATGATAAAACGTAACTTGATATATGCAAAGAGACTTTCAGGCAGGGAACCAATCTAAGCATTTGATTACATGTTGTAAAATAGGGACCCATCACATCATTTTTTTTACCTTGGATTTAAAAGTTTACATCTTCTGGCCAGGCGGGGTGGCTCACGCCTGTAATCCCAGCACTTTGGGAGGCCGAGGTGGGCGGATCACGAGATCAACAGATCAAGACCATCCTGGCCAACATGGTGAAACTCCGTCTCTGCTAAAAATACAAAAATTAGCTGGGTGTGGTGGTGCATGCCTGTAGTCCCAGCTACTCGGGAGGCTGAGGCAGGAGACTCACTTGAACCCAGGAGGTGGAGGTTGCAGTGAGCCGAGATTGCGCCACTGCATTCCAGCCTAGTGGCAGAGCAAGACTCTGTCTCAAAAAAAAAAAAAGGAAAAAAGTTTACATCCTCTTCCTTGGATTTAAATCTTCAAGGAAGTTTGTTGATGAAAGAGCAATGCCACTTCTTTGTTTTGATAACGTTCTTACCTGTTCTGTAGAGACAAATCATGAAAACTGCCCATTTTGGATGTGAGTCTCAATAGTTTAGAGTATATTACTTTGTAAAGATCACAGATACGTCCCAAAGAACTGTAGATTCGGACTTGGACTCCGTCTAAAATTCCAGACTACAAGTGGCCAGATGTGTAAAATATCTTTCTGGGGCCCTGGAACTGCACTCCTCATATGTGCCCTCCGTCTCCTGCCACTGCCCTGTACCGGGAGCCTCACCTCTTAACTTTCACAGAAGCACCCCAAATGGTGGTCTCACTACCTCTGTGTCCTCTATCTGGCCCAAGGACCCTTATATTTTTTCTAACTGCTTAGTCAGGGCAAAGCACCATAATAAAGGTACTCTTCCCTTCCACAGTTGCCAGTGGAAAAGAATTCAGTGATAGCAATGAAGTTTCATGGTACGACTGCATTCAGTGAAGCAGGGTTAAGTGTAGATTTGCTTTAACTATGGGAGTGGGAGTGGCTCCTATTTCAACTGCAGTTCAGGCAGTTCTTAAAGTCTTGGCCCAAAGCATTAATGAGCTAACAAACAGGCATTATAACACTGAGGGGTAAACAAGCAATCCTACAGACCATCCAACAGGCATAGTTTTTCATCAGAAGCTAAGTGAATAATGATTTATATTTGAAATACAAGAGATGGCAGCCATTGAACATCACAGACAGCTCAAAAGGTTGTTGATAACTAAAAATATGATCAAGTGTTTTCCAAAATGCTGGCTCTCTGTGGATGCCTGTGCAATGGAGGCTTTACTTTGTTGCTTGACATTTTAGGGGCAGCAAGAGCTCTCACTAAAATACTGAGTTAGGATCTTCAGTCCTCTCCTCAAATGTGCTACCTTTAGTTTATAAATATCATAGTTTAATAACATTGAAAAATAGCTTTGTAGATCACTGTTCAAAATCCCATATCTTAGGTGACCATATAATATGTCACCCAAACTGGACAATTGTGAGAGTGAAAGGGGCCTTGTTGACAGTTACACCAGGACAAGAGTAGCATAGGCTGTCCTGTCCCAGCAGCGACAGACACAGAGTTGTCGCATCCCAAGATGAATGCAAACGTCTGTGCAATGAGTCACCACGTACACATAACACAAGACAATGCAGCTTAATTTTGGGGTCAGCTTCATGACCCCAGGAGAACCTCACAGCACTCTGCTGGGCCACGTGCTGGACTCTGGGAATTGGAGATTCCATCCAGTCTCCATAACTTACCAAACTTATCTTTCATTTTGGGGTTCCCCTGCTCAAAACCATCAGTAGTGAAAGCCAGACTCAAGAGCTCTCGAGGTGAGAGACCCCTACATTTGGAATCAAACTGCATTTCCTCTCCTTTTTCCGCAAGAGTTTCTGTGGACACTAAACAGATGAAGTGCATTCATCATAGCCTCCTGTCACATGGTTTCCCAACCTAGCTTGTCACCACTTCCTTACCCCTACTTAAACCTTTTTTTTTTTTTTTTTGGTGGACATTTTTGTGTATTTCCTTCTTTTTTTTAATTCTTTTTTATTTTTATTATATTTTAAGTTTTAGGGTACATGTGCACAACGTGCAGGTTTGTTACATATGTACACATGTGCCATGTTGGTGGGCTGCACCCATTAACTTGTCATTTAACATTAGGTATATCTCCTAATGCTATCCCTCCTGCCTCCCCCCACCCCACAATAGTCCCTGGTGTGTCATGTTCCCATTCCTGTGTCCATGTGTTTTCATTGTTCAGTTCCCACCTATGAGTGAAAACATGCAGTGTTTGGTTTTTTTGTCCTTGTGATAGTTTGCTGAGAATGATGGTTTCCAACTTCATCCATGTCCCTACAAAGGACATGAACTCTTCCTTTTTTATGGCTGCATAGTGCCGCAGTAAACATACGTGTGCATGTGTCTTTATAGCAGCATGATTTATAATCCTTTGGGTATATACCCAGTAATGGGATGG
Source organism: Homo sapiens (assembly GCF_000001405.40). Classification (NCBI taxonomy): domain Eukaryota; kingdom Metazoa; phylum Chordata; class Mammalia; order Primates; family Hominidae; genus Homo; species Homo sapiens. The sequence goes on along the minus strand of NC_000008.11, from coordinate 6,196,712 downwards.
CTGGGTCAAATGGTATTTCTAGTTCTAGATCCCTGAGGAATCGCCACACTGACTTCCACAATGGTTGAACTAGTTTACAGTCCCACCAACAGTGTAAAAGTGTTCCTATTTCTCCACATCCTCTCCAGCACCTGTTGTTTCCTGACTTTTTAATGATCGCTATTCTAAATGGTGTGAGATGGTATCTCAATGTGGTTTTGATTTGCATTTCTCTGATGGCCAGTGATGGTGAGCATTTTTTCATGTGTTTTTTGGCTGCATAAATGTCTTCTTTTGAGAAGTGTCTGTTCGTATCCTTCGCCCACTTTTGGATGGGGTTGTTTGTTTGTTTTTTTTTGTAAATTTGAGTTCATTGTAGATTCTGGATATTAGCCCTTTGTCAGATGAGTAGGTTGCAAAAATTTTCTCCCATTCTGTAGGTTGCCTGTTCACTCTGATGGTAGTTTCTTTTGCTGTGCAGATGCTCTTTAGTTTAATTAGGTCCCATTTGTCAATTTTGGCTTTTGTTGCCATTGCTTTTGGTGTTTTAGGCATGAAGTCCTTGCCCATGCCTATGTCCTGAATGGTATTACCTAGGTTTTCTTCTAGGGTTTTTATGGTTTTAGGTCTAACTTGTAAGTCTTTAATCCATCTTGAATTAATTTTTGTATAAGGTGTAAGGAAGGGATCCAGTTTCAGCTTTCCACTTGTGGCTAGGCAGTTTTCCCAGCACCATTTATTAAATAGGGAATCCTTTCTCCATTGCTTGTTTTTGGTCAGGTTTGTCAAAGATCAGATAGTTGTAGATATGCAGCATTATTTCTGAGGGCTCTGTTCTGTTCCATTGATCTATATCTCTGTTTTGGCACCAGTACCATGCTGTTTTGGTTACTGTAGCCTTGTAGTATAGTTTCAAGTCAGGTAGCATGATGCCTCCAGCTTTGTTCTTTTAGCTTAGGATTGACTTGGTGATGTGGGCTCTTTTTTGGTTCCATATGAAATTTAAAGTAGTTTTTTCCAATTCTGTGAAGAAAGTCATTGGTAGCTTGATGGGGATGGCATTGAATGTATAAATTACCTTGGGCAGTATGGCCATTTTCACAATATTGATTCTTCCCACCCATGAGCATGGAATGTTCTTCCATTTGTTTGTATCCTCTTTTATTTCATTGAGCAGTGGTTTGTAGTTCTCCTTGAAGAGGTCCTTCATATCCCTTGTAAGTTGGATTCCTAGGTATTTTATTCTCTTTGAAGCAATTGTGAATGGGAGTTCACTCATGATTTGGCTCTCTGTTTGTCTGTTATTGGTTTAGAAGAATGCTTGTGATTTTTGCACATTGATTTTGTATCCTGAAACTTTGCTGAATTTGCTTATCAGCTTAAGGAGATTTTGGGCTGAGACAATGGGGTTTTCTAGATATACAATCATGTCATCTGCAAACAGGGACAATTTGACCTCCTCTTTTCCTAATTGAATTCCCTTTATTTCCTTCTCCTACCTAGTTGCCCTGGCCAGAACTTCCAACACTATGTTGAATAGGAGTGGTGAGAGAGGGCATCCCTGTCTTGTGCCAGTTTTCAAAGGGAATGCTTCCAGTTTTTGTCCATTCAGTGTGATATTGGCTGTGGGTTTGTCATAGATAGCTCTTATTATTTTGAGATACGTCCCATCAATACCTAATTTATTGAGAGTTTTTAGCATGAAGGGTTGTTGAATTTTGTCAAAGGCCGGCCTTTTCTGCATCTATTGAGATAATCATGTGGTTTTTGTCTTTGGTTCTGTTTATATGCTGGATTACGTTTACTGATTTGAATATGTTGAACCAGCCTTGCATCCGAGGGATGAAGGCCACTTGATCATGGTGGATAAGCTTTTTGATGTGCTGCTGGATTCAGTTTGCCAGTATTTTATTGAGGGTTTTTGCATCAATGTTCATCAGGGATATTGGTCTAAAATTCTCTTTTTTTGTTGTGTCTCTGCCTGGCTTTGGTATCAGGATGATGCTGGCCTCATAAAATGAGTTAGGGAGGATTCCTTCTTTTTCTATTGATTGGAATAGTTTCAGAAGGAATGGTACCAGCTCCTTGTTGTACCTCTGGTAAAATTCGGCTGTGAATCCATCTGGTCCTGGACTTTTTTTTTGGTTGGTAAGCTATTAATTATTGCCTCAATTTCCGAGCCTGTTATTCATCTATTCAGAGATTCAACTTCTTCCTAGTTTTGTCTTGGGAGGGTGTACGTGTCGAGGAATTTATCCATTTCTTCTAGATTTTCTAGTTTATTTGCGTAGAGGTGTTTGTAGTATTCTCTGATGGTAGTTTGTTTTTCTGTGGGATCGGTGGTGATATCCCCTTTGTCACTTTTTATTGCATCTATTTGATTCTTCTGTCTTTTCTTCTTTATTAGTCTTGTTAGCAGTCTATCAATTTTGTTGATCTTTTCAAAAAACCAGCTCCTGGATTCATTGATTTTTTTAGGGGTTTTTTGTGTGTCTATTTCCTTCAGTTCTGCTCTGATCTTAGTTATGTCTTGCCTTCTGCTAGCTTTGGAATGTGTTTGCTCTTGCATCTCTAGTTCCTTTAATTGTGATGTTAGTGTGTCAATTTTAGATCTTTCCTGCTTTCTCTTGTGGACATTTAGTGCTATAAATTTCCCTCTATACATTGCTTTGAATGTGTCCCAGAGATTCTGGTATGTTGTGTGTTTGTTCTCGTTGGTTTCAAAGAACATCTTTATTTCTGCCTTCATTTCGTTATGTACCCAGTAGTCATTCAGGAGCAGGTTGTTCAATTTCCATGTAGTTGAGCGGTTTTGAGTGAGTTTCTTAATCCTGAGTTCTAGTTTGATTGCACTGTGGTCTGAGAGACAGTTTGTTATAATTTCTGTTCTCTTACATTTGCTAAGGAGTGTTTTACTTCCAACTATGTGGTCATTTTTGGAATAGTTGTGGTGTGGTGCTGAAAAGAATGTATATACTGTTGATTTGGGGTGGACAGTTCTGTAGATGTCTATTAGGTCCGCTTGGTGCAGAGCTGAGTTCAATTCCTGGATATCCTTGCTAACTTTCTGTCTCATTGATCTGTCTAATGTTGACAGTGGGGTGTTAAAGACTCCTATTATTATTGTGTGGGAGTCTAAGTCTCTTTGTAGGTCACTAAGGACTTGCTTTATGAATCTTGGTGCTCCTGTATTGGGTGCATATATATTTAGGATAGTTAGTTCTTCTTGTTGAATTGATCTCTTTACCATGATGTAATGGTCTTCTTTGTCACTTTTGATCTTTGTTGGTTTAAAGTCGGTTTTATCAGAGACTAGGATTGCAAGCCCTGCCTTTTTTTTGTTTTCCATTTGCTTGGTAGCTCTTCCTCCATCCCTTTATTTTGAGCCTATGTGTGTCTCTGCACGTGAGATGGGTTTCCTGAATACAGCACACTGAAGGGTCTTGAGTCTTTATCCAATTTGCCAGTCTGTGTCTTTTAATTGGAGCATTTAGCCCATTTACATTTAAGGTTAGTATTGTTTTTGTGAATTTGATCCTGTCATTGTGATGTTAGCTGGTTATTTTGCTCGTTAGTTGATGCAGTTTCTTCCTAGTCTCGATGGTCATTACATTTTGGCATGATTTTGCAGCGGCTGGTACTGGTTGTTCCTTTCCATGTTTAGTGCTTCCTTCAGGAGCTCTTTTAGGGCAGGCCTGGTGGTGACAAAATCTCTCAGCATTTTCTTGTCTGTAAAGGATTTTATTTCTCCTTCACTTATGAAGCTTAGTTTGGCTGGATATGAAATTCTGGGTTGAAAATTCTTTTCTTTAAGAATGTTGAATATTGGCCCCCACTCTCTTCTGGCTTGTAGAGTTTCTGCTGAGAGATCCGCTGTTAGTCTGATGGACTTCCCTTTGTGAGTAACCCGACCTTTCTCTCTGGCTGCCCTGAACACTTTTTCCTTCATTTCAACTTTGGTGAATCTGACAATTATGTGTCTTTGAGTTGCTCTTCTCGAGGAGTATCTTTGTGGCATTCTCTGTATTTCCTGAAATTTAATGTTGGCCTGCCTTGCTAGATTGGGGAAGTTCTCCTGGATAATATACTGCAGAGTGTTTTCCAACTTGGTTCCATTCTCCCCATCACTTTCAGGTACACCAATGAGATGTAGATTTGGTCTTTTCACATAGCCCCATATTTCTTGGAGGCTTTGTTCATTTCTTTTTATTCTTTTTTCTCTAAACTTCTCTTCATGCTTCATTTCATTCATTTCATCTTCCATCGCTGATAACCTTTCTTCCAGTTGATTGCATCAGTTACTGAGGCTTGTGCATACGTCACGTAGTTCTCGTGCCTTGGTTTTCGGCTCCATCACTTCCTTTAAGGACTTCTCTGCATTGGTTATTCTAGTTATCCATTCGTCTAATTTTTTTTCAAAGTTTTTAACTTCTTTGCCATTGGTTCGAACTTCCTGCTTTAACTCGGAATAGTTTGATCTTCTGAAGCCTTCCTCTCTCAACTTGTCAAAGTCATTGTCCATCCAGCTTTGTTCCGTTGCTGGTGAGGAGGTGTGTTCCTTTGGAGGAGGAGAGGCGCTCTGATTTTTAGAGTTTCCAGTTTTTTTGCTCTGTTTTTTCTCCATCTTTGTGGTTTTATCTACCTTTGGTCTTTGATGATGATGATGTACAGATGGGTGTTTGGTGTGGATGTCCTTTCTGTTTTTTAGTTTTCTTTCTAACATTCAGGACCCTGAGCTGCAGGTCTGTTGGAGTTTACTGGAGGTCCACTCCAGACCCTGTTTGCCTGGGTATCAGTAGCCGTGGCTGCAGAACAGCGGATATTGGTGAACCGCAAATGCTGCTGCCTGGTCATTCCTCTGGAATTTTTGTCTCAGAGGAGTACCCGGCCTTGTGAGATGTCAGTCCGCCCCTACTGGGGGGTGCCTCCCAGTTAGGCCACTCGGGGGTCAGGGACCCACTTGAGGAGGCAGTCTCCCCGTTCTCAGATCTCAAGCTGCGTGCTGGGAGAACCACTACTCTCTTCAAAGCTGTCATACAGGGACATTTAAGACTGCAGAGGTTATTGCTGTCTTTTGTTTGTCTGTGCCCTGCCCCCAGAGGTGGAGCCTATAGAGGCAGGCAGGCCTCCTTGAGCTGTGGTGGCCTCCACCCAGTTCGAGCTTCCTGGCTGCTTTGTTTACCTACTGAAGCCTGAGCAATGGCAGGCGCCCCTCCCCTAGCCTCGCTGCAACCTTGCAGTTTGATCTCAGAGTGCTGTGCTAGCAATGAGTGAGGTTCCATGGGCGTAGGACCCTCCGAGGCACGTGCGGGATGTAATCTCCTGGTGTGCTGTTTGTTAAGCCCATTGGAAGAGCGCAGTATTAGGGTGGGAGTGACCTGATTTTTCAGGTGCCCTCTGTCTCCCCTTTCTTTGACTAGGAAAGGGAATTCCCTGACCCCTTGCACTTCCCGGGTGAGGCGATGCCTCTCCCTGCTTTGGCTCATGCGTGGTGCACTGCACCCACTGTCCTGCCCCCACTGTCTGGCACTCCCCCATGAGATGAACCTGGTACCTCAGTTGGAAATGCAGAAATCACCCGTCTTCTGCGTTGCTCATGCTGGGAGCTGTAGACTGGAGCTGTTCCTATTTGGCCATCTTGGCTCCACCACCCCTACTTAAATCTCATCTGTTTTTCAAGTTATAATCTCTTTCAGAAAACTTTACCAACAAGTCTAATTTATATTAATCAGCTCTTTTGGTGAACTTGAATAATGATAACCTATATGATAAATTTTGAGAGTCATTTGGTAATTTAGCATGTTCACCCTGAGACTATGGTGAGATTTATTTATCTATCTATCTATCTATCTATCTATCTATCTATCTATCTATTTTTTTTTTGAGATGGAGTCTTGTTCTGTCTCCCAGGCTGGAGTGCAATGGTACAATCTCTGCTCACTGCAATCTGCACTTCCTGGGCTCAAGCAATTCCTGCCTCAGCCTCCTGAGTTGCTGGGACTACAGGTGCCTGCCACCACACCCCGATAATTTTTGTAATTTTTTAGTAGAGATGGGGGTTTCACCATGTTGGCTAGGCTGGTCTCGAAGTCCTGACCTCAGGTGATCCTCCTGCCTCAGCCTCCCAAAGTGCTGGGATTACAGGCATGAGCCACCGCTCCCAGCCAGAATGGTAAGGTGTTACAGGGAAGCCTCTTTTGATCTTGCTTTTCTTCTTCTGCTGTCCTGTTCCAGCTCTCAGAACACAGAGAATATTCACGGAACACTGGTCAAATCAGTGACTGTTAAAATTTTAGATGAGTTGGAACATTTTGGAGATCAGATTATCTAACTGCTAATTATTTTCACTTATGTTTTTTTACGTGAATTTCTTTGTTTGGTTCCCTATGTCTTATTTAGCTTGTGGAATTTGCATTTATGACTCTTTTGCCTCTGCTGGATCCTTAGACACTTATGTTCAAAATCCGGATAGAATTCTCAATAACTTTAAATCTTTACTTGGTCTCTTAAAAAAGGCTAAATATGTTCAATTTATAAATAGGAACAAAACTTTAAAATCTTTTCTTTTGTCTTCCCCCAGCCCTGTTCAGCACAGACTGACAAATGCCTTCAGTTTCTGTCTCCCTCTGTGTCACAACTCCCTCAACCTTCTCAGACTCAGCCCTGAGTGGCCTTGGATTTCTTGGTTGTTCTGTTGATCTCCCTTGAGAGATGTTTTGCTTTTCTGAGATAGTACAAGCAAGGCAGATTTTAAGACTCAAGAATGGAGCTGGCTGAGACAGAAGGCCTTTCACTGTGTGCAGCATTTTGGAAATTGAAATGGGATGAAGGGGGCCAAGTTGGAGGAAGCAGGAGGGAAGATGCTCTGAAAACTAGTGAAAAAAAATGAATACATTTTTTCCTGTCACAGTTATTTTCTTACGTTAATTTCCCTTTTAATAAAGTGATTGGTAGTTGTAAATATTCAGTGAATGACCAGAGAGATATGATGTTTTATAAATGAATTTCTCTTTGAAGTGATCGAACTCAAAATGAAGTCAGAGGTTGATTTGGATACTGTATCATTTAAAATTTCACAAAATTCAAATGTTACCAAAAGGTTTCTTATTTTTTTCTTCTTTTTCTCCCCCTAGCTTTGAGAGAAAAGTCTTTGGGTGGAATCTAGCCATGAAGAATTAAAATCTAAATGCAAAAATCAGCGAAACATTATAAATGATTAAAAAGAGCTCTTTAAAATGAAGATCCATTTTTAAAAATTTATTTATTTTTATTTTACTTTAAGTTCTGGGATACATGTGCAGAACGTGCAGGTTTGTTACGTAGGTATACATGTGCCATGACGGTTTCCTGCACCTATCAACCATCATCTAAGTTTTAAGCCCCGCATGCATTAGATATTTGTCCTAATACTTTCCCTCTCCTCACCCCATACCCTCAAACAGGTCCTGGTGTGTGATATTCCCCTCCCTGTGTCCATGTGTTCTCATTGTTCAACTCCCACTTATGAGACAGAACAGGCAGTGTTTGGTTTTCTGGTCTTGTGTTAGTTTGCTAAAAATTTTTTCCGCCTTCCTATCATCCGTGTTAGAACAGGTTAACATTTTGATTCAGAAACAAGAAGTATTTATTGAGCACCTACTGCATACTAGGCCCTGGGCAATTCACTGGGTATGAAGTGGTCCACAGCACAGATTTAAAGCATGCGTGTGAGGGATATAAACAAAGTCATACAAACACTTCTGTGTGTATATATGTGTTTGTGTGACTGTATTTACACAGCGGTAAGTACTGTGAAGAAAAAGTGTATAATAATATGGAAAGCCAAAAAAGTGAAATGTAAAGGAAGGCATCTCTGGGGGAGGGACATCTGTGGGTGTCACAGAACTAAGTGATGATGAGCAGGAGCTGATGCAGGCCAGATGGCGGCCCTGGTGTGTGGCTGGAGCTGTGTACCTCACTCAGGTGGGGTGAAGTGAGAGGTTGAGGCAGGAGGGGCAGGAAGGGCAGGCAGGGCTCAGAACACATGGGGTCTTGGGGGCCATTTAATAATTTTCGAATTAATCATGTCAAAAGGTTTAAATGAATTAAATTTAGCAGAGTTTATGTGAGCAATAAAGGATTCAGGAATCGGACAGCCCTCAGAAACCAAGCAGGTTCAGAGAGCTCCACTCAGCAGTATGAGCAGCCAGCTTTTATAGGCCAAACATGGAAGCAATATAGAGAGGTCAGATGATTGGGTACAGCTCTGCATCTGCCTCATCTGGGCAAGGGATGAAGAGTTGGCTGCCTGTGATTGGCTGAAATGTGGCTGTTTGTGATTGGCTGAAATGCAGCTGTTCATTATATTCCTAAATTGGGTTGTGGTTTGCTCCTGGAAACTCAAAGTATGGAGACAGCCTCCTGCTGATTTGAGAATCTTAATGGCTGTGGAAAGCCACAGGATATAATCACCTTGTGTGACAGCCTTCGAGGTGGACTCTTAGCCCAAAGATGAGGAATTGCACCATCTGGGTTCTGTCCTTAGCTGTGCCCCAGACTATGTCAGTGGTTTACAAGTATCCATTAACACTTTGGACATTCCTTTTCTCCTTTACACTTCTCTTTGCTTATTTGTAAACTGTGGACAATAACAATTGCCTGGTAATAATAGCAGTATAAGAAGTAATGATAAAATAATGAGAGATTTTCACATATGGAGTCAGGCTATGTTTTACACTTATCTGCTTGGTACCATGGCATGCAAGGTTAATGCAGCTATAGAGTAATACGACAATGAACATATTGGTAAGGCATGCACCATGATTCTCATGAAATGCAGTACTTGGTGAGAACAACCAGGATCATTTTGCTTAGCGGGCAGTTGATTACAGTGTTTTCTCATATGTTCTAAAGGGAAACGGTTGGGTTCGCAGCATTTTATTTATGGGTAGTGTTCCCTGCAGGGAAAAGGCAAATTTAATTTAATTTTCATTTTACTTCTTATGTCAGTTCATTTAACATATCTGTACTGAGACTGAATAAGTTCAGAGCAGAGAGAAATGCTTTAATTTGTGCAGTTTGGGGCTGAAAATTGCTTGCTGTTTTGAAATTTTTTTCCCAGACTTGTGAGGTGCTTTGGGATATTGCTGAGATAATAAGGCTCATGTCCTTTGACAGGGAAAGGCAGCATGCTGTGCTCCCCCTGTTGTTATGGCTTCAGGCAACCTTTGAAAAGTTACCATTTACCAAGGCCCACCTTGAGATACCTTCAAAAATTGCATTTAAGTGTTGTTTGAAACCTTAAGTGTTGCATATTGATCAATACTTCTGAAGAACTAATGGACGGCTGGTGAGTGGATGGCAGTATCCAAGGGGGACACATTCATTCATGGGAAGGTCATCGAGGAGGAAACACAGCCATTGGTGCAGCTCCTGGTCCTCTTCCTACAAGGGGACCCGTATCCGTTTATGCCTCCACTGTAGGAAGGCAGATAAATTTTGTGATTCTCCAAGATAGCTATTGATGGCAATGATTGAAGGCATTAATACTGATTAGTGCTAGCTGAAGTCAATGACTTTATTATGTGTATACTCTCCAGTGGGAAATTACATTGAAAAGTTTATTTCCTGAGCATTTCCAAGTCGAGACCATCTCCTTGTCTAATGTAATTAAATGAAATGTCTCTTCACAAATATTGCATCTGCGAACAGTCTCTTAAGAGATTCTATACTGAAATTGTGTTGATAATTACTTTGTTAGAAAGCCTAATTAATCAAAGTCAGTTAGGTAAGAGTGGATTTTTATTCTTCTTTCCAGGTCTTATAGCCTGGGGCTGGTGGGGAACGCATGAATCTGGTGTTTGAAAGTCCCGGTTCTAGTCCCTGCTTAGCCACACACTTGCAATTTCATAGCTGTAACGGGTTGAACCAGATGGTCTCCAAGCTTCCTTAAGCTCTGAAATTCACTCATTTTTATTCATATTTCATGTGACTGAACTGTACTCCTCCATTGTATAAAGTCAAGCATTCTCCTACCATGTCTTCTCTCTGCAAAGTACTCTTCCATTTCTACTTTATTTATAAAAGTTAAGCTAGATCTGAGCTCTCATGATACAAGGCTTAATTCAGTTAATTAACATTATTTCAGTCAAGTCTTTCCTTTTTTTTTTTTTTTTTTTTTTGGAGATGGAGCCTCACTGTGTCACGCAGGCTGGAGTGCTGTGGTGTGATCTCGGCCCACTGCAACCTCCACCTCCTGGGTTCAAGTGATTCTCCTGCCTCAGCCTCCTGAGTAGCTGGGATTACAGGTGCCCCCCACCACACCAGGCTAATTTTTGTATTTTTTAGTAGAGACGGGATTTTGCCATGTTGGCCAGGATGGTCTGGAACTCCTGACCTCAGGTGATCTGCCGGTTTCGGCCTCCCAACGCGCTGGGATTACAGGCGTGAGTCACCTCGCTTGACCCAGTCTTGTTGTATAGACCTTTGCCATCAATCTCTACATGTGCAGGGTAATGTCCTAGGCTCTTTTTGGTCCTCTCTCATGTCATTGCTCCATTCTTTCTCAGAATTTTTCTTCTTCCTTTCTTTTGTTCCCCTCTGATCATTTTTCATTTTATCTTGATACTTATGCATACTTGTAATTCTACTTCTTGATTGCCAGTTTCATTAGTTAGGGTAGGCTTAGGCTATGAGGTGATAGAAATAAACGTTGAAATTTAAATGTATCAGTATAATAAATGTTTATTTCTAGCCCATATCAAAATGTAGTACAGTTTGGATAGGTCTCCTGGGAGGCTCTCCTCCAGGCTGTGACTCGGGGATCCAAGCGTTTCTATCTTGTGATGTCGTCTTACTCCACATATGCCTCAAACACACAAGAGGATTCCCTGGTGGAAGGGTTTAAGATTGGTCTGGAGATGATGTACATCACTTTGTTCTAATTCCTATTAGTCTTAACCCAGGGACATGACCTCAGTCTAACTATAAGGGAGGCCTATAAATTCTTCATGAATGGCCAGGCTAATATCAACCAAGTCATGTTAAAGTCTAGGCATCTAGAAAGGAGAGAATTTTAGCATTGGGGGAATTGAAAAAGTGACAAAGTGAAAAATGGGAAGAAATACATGAGATGTAGTATTCATAATAAATTGAAAAGTAAAGAACTTTTGCTAATTTGTGAATATAAAATCAATAATTATGGTGTTAATGGCAATGATAATATGAGCTAATATATATTGAACACTTTCTTTCTTGAAGGCACTATGCTAATGTACTTTAAATGCATTGGTTTTTATAATCCTTATAATAACTTTATAAAGATTATTGTTATTCCATTTATGGATGAAGAAGCTGAGGCTTGGAGATGAACTTAAGGTCTTTCAAAGAGAAAGTGGCAGACTGAGGTTTCACAGCCAGACTCTAAAGCCCATTCTCTTAACATCACCTTTGTCTGTATCCCCTAAAATAATAATGATGCTTTACCTCATTGACTTTCATCCTCACTACAGACATATGACATTGGGGCTTTTACAACTTTATAGATGAAGAAACTGAAATTTGGAGAGGTTCAATTACTTGCAGCAAAACCATAGTTCCTAAAAATAATAAGACAAATAATTGAAGCCAAATAAATCTAATTGAGTTAACTGAAGTTTTACAGCATGATCTTTAAATCGAAAACATCCTGCACAACTTTTAGGGCTTCCAGCTAAAAAACCCCTTCTTTCCTGCTATCGCCTTCTCAGGAAGTATCTATCACTGCTATTTAGCACTGGCCGAGTATACAAGGTTACTGGAAAATAATTATTGGTCCCTTTTTGAGTCTAACTGGACTATTTTGATGACTCCTGCGGCTTTAAGATAACACCATACTATGTTTCCTCTCTGTTTTGATGTTTTTATGCAAACAATTGTGGAGTTTTAAATTTCACTGAAGTGTACCACAAGTCATCTGTTATTTTACAATATTCTATATCTTTCAATACATCACAGAATTGAGTAAAGATTTCTTAAAAGACCAGAACATAAAATATTGCATTACTTATTTGAGAACAATTTATTCTGAAGGTCTTGCTCTATTCATGGGGATAAAAAAGCAACTATGATAAAACCATAAAGCAAAATATTCTGAAAGGTTACATGTCATTGAACTATTCAAGTTGCTTTTCTGTGTTGCCTAAGAAACTGGATAACTTCAAACATCCAATTCAAACTCATAACCTCTAAATTGCATTCTTAATAGTTAGCACATTTTCCCTTTAGTGACAATGAATTAATATCAATAAAATCTGCAGTTTATATAACATTTTTTGCTTTTTTAAAAATACCGCTCACTCCATACTCACATGCAGCATGGCTGTAATTGAGGGCATGGACTGGACCCAACCTGTCTGCCGTTGACTGACTGTTGAGTTGACTGGCCATTGACTGGCTGTTGACTGGCTGTTGATGACCTTGCACAGCTTACTTCACTCTCTGGCTGTGGTTTCTGCAAATAGGGGTAATAGTGCCCAGCTTGTAGTGTGGTTATGAAGTTAAATAAGCAAGGTTTGTAAAATACTTAGAGCCATTTCTGGCACAATGAAAATTATATAAGTATTTGATATTTTAAAAACCTCATTTTTATGCTATTAATCGGCAGTGCACCCTTGCATAAAGCCAGTATCATTTACATTTCACTTAGAAGTAGTTTTTCTTTTGAGACAGGTTGGTCCACTAAGATTAAAGGTAGAATGGCTGATTCATGACCAGGACCTGCCAAGTCACTGGGAACAGGATACACTGTTCACTCTTCCTTTTGCAGAGAAAAGACCCTGGAGAAATAGATTAAAGGATAGCAAATCAGATAGGGTAATGCATTACTTATCTCAAATCTTCTTATATAACAACCTCACATTCAAGAGAAGGGGAGACATAAAGTGCACATAAGTGACCATGTTGGAACAGAGTATGAGAGAGGACTGTGAAGATGCTTAAGAGAAGAGAACACGTTGTGGATAATTTTGCACAAAGGGTGTCCATCAGGAGAGACTATGCGGAGGTGGCAGAAAAAGGCCTCTACAGGCTGGGCATGGTGGCTTACACCTGTAATCCCAGCACTTTGGGAGGCCGAGGCGGGCAGATCACAAGGTCCGGAGTTTGAGACCAGCTGGGCCAACATGGTGAAACACCATCTCTCCTAAAAATACAAAAAATTAGCTGGACGTAGTGGGGTGTGCCTGTAATCCCAGCTACTTGGGAGGCTGAGGCACGAGAATAGCTTGAACCAGGGAGATGGAGGTGGCAGTGAGCCGAGATCATGCTACTGAACTCCAACCAGGGCAACAAGAGTGAAACTTTGTCTCAAAAAAATTCATAGTTTCTTAGTATTTGTAGATGAGATATTATTATTTTATATACGGGAAATACAAAACAGATGACTTAGGTCAGACAAAGCTGGTTTCTAAACTACCTTGGCCATTGGATCATTATGCATTTTCATCAAAGAGTTTCCAGGAATGGAATAGTCTCAGAATGAAAAATTTGCCCATTGTCAAATTATACCATTGAATAATTTTAATTTATTGGAATTCCAGGAAAGAATAGTTAACTTTTATTTTTAATATTATGAAAATAAGAGAAAAAAGCAGATGACATTCAAATAAATGCTCTTTCTTTATATATTTTGGTTTATAACCTGTATCTTTTCATGCATCATAATATTCCTCTGAGAAACATATATATGTGTATATATATGTATGTATATACTTGAATTTTTTTTAACTTTAGAATTGAGGCTATAAACCTTGGCACACTATTTAGGGTTAAGGTTAACCTGGGGTTTGTTCTGAGGCTATGATCCTTGGGGGGTTGACCTGGGTTCAACTGGGCATTGATTGTTGAGTGACTACAAGGCACATGTGAGACACAAAGTGGATGGAGGCATCACAAGGGTGAAGAGGAAAGAAACAGATTTGGAACAGGGCCCAAGCAAGCTGGAGGGGAAGTGGCCAAGGGCACTGTGGAAATCAGGCAGGGGGGCCAGGGACCCCTTTCACTGGGTGCTGGCTTCAGGGGTCATTGTCTAATTTAAGGTCACAGAGCCAGCCTGGATGTTTGACCCTTCCTCCAACAATGTGATGGGTGTGCCTATGACCCATCTCACCCAAAAGCCACGTGTGTGCAACATCTAGCTCAGGTGTTTCCAACACTTGGTACATGTGTGAATCACACGTGTCCATCACGGGCTGTAAGGAATGTGTGTTTGGGGATGGGGAAGGAGCAGTATTTCTCCTAGCCCTCCTCATAGGTGGTGATCAACATTGCCCTTGGACTATGCTGAGGGACAGGGAACAAGTGGATAAGGGCGGGTAGGAGAGACGGATTTGCTTCCATAGTGATTACACCCTGTGTCAGCCTGACTAGCGAGACTGGGCCTGGACCACGGCATCACAGACTACATATGTAGTTCTGCCATTTTAGTAACTGATCTCTTGTTTGACAGTTTCACTTTGCCTTTTTGACCCTTTCTCTGGTATAAATAAGAAATCCCATGAATTCACTTGTCAGGTGAGTGAATCCAGATCCAAAATGTGAAACACAAAGTCCAATAACTTTGTTGGAAATAAGGCCTGCTGCTTCTCTCACTTTATATGGAGTTAAAGATTCTGAGAAGTATGGACATCTCCAAAATTCTTTAGACTTCCATTTAAGAAACATTGAGTTAGTAATCTACCCCTTCACGCCTGTAATCCCAGCACTTTGGGAGGCCGAGGCAGGTGGATCATAAGGTCAGGAGTTCAAGACCAGCCTGGCCAATATGGTGAAACCCCATCTCTACTAAAAATACAAAAATTAGCCAGGCATGGTGGCGGGCGCCTGTAATCCCAGCTACTTGGGAGGCTGCGGCAGGAGAATCACTTGAACCTGGGAGGCAGAGGTTGCAGTGAGCCGAGATGGCGCCACTGTACTCCAGCCTGGGCAACAGAGCAACACTCCATCTCAAAAAAAAACAAAAACAAAACAAAAAAAAACTACCTTTGGTTTATAAACCAAATGTTCTTGCTTCATTGTGCATGAGTCAGGTAACATTAGTATTTATTGTAGACATTTGTTGATTATCTCCTCAGTATTGTCGCTGATAATTTCTGATAGGGACCAATGAGACTGAAGAAAAATGGATTCTAACATCATTTTATAGAACATGATTGCAGACTAACAAACTGGCTCATTCCAGTTCCCTGACCATGTGTGAATTGGGGGTGAAAAGTGACTGAAACCTGGATAATAAGAAAAATCTCAGGGAATATTCCAATATTTCCTGAGAATTTCCAATATTCCTGGGAATACTGGAAAAATGCTTTCCTTGGATGGATGAGAATAAATAGGGAAGGAAGTAACCCTGTGTTGGGTCCCCCAGGACCCCCGCTTTCTTTCTGTGTCCTGTTGACTCTATAATCCAGCCAGTGGCAGGTTTTCCCCAGCAGACTTGACCCCCAGACTGGGTCCTTGAACATTCCTGGACACTGATAAAATGATCTAGGTTGTTGCCCAAAGCAATGAAAGAAATAGCCTTGGGCCTGACCCAAACTTTTTAAACTCTCATATGAACGTCATGGCCTGAACCCCTCACTGCAGACATGCGTGGGTAGAACACCCTTTTTCCTCGCTGTCTGCGGGAAGGATTGCTGCAGCCTCTGTAAGTTCCCCTCGTCAATGCTCTGGGCTGATCACCCTGTGCTTAGTGCTCCTTTCTTTGGAATCCTAACCAGACCCATCTAGGGATGGTTTGGGGCACTTTCTTGTGGGAACTCCCCCTGCTGCCACTTATGGGGTGATTCCAGTTTCTGGTTCTCCTGGATGGAACAGGCTGGGACCTGCTGGAGACATCCTGAGGCCATCGGAACCCAAGCGACGCTGTGGATGGCAATGCTGAGAGGCAGGCAGGAAGAAGCCTCCTGCTGCCATTGCTGACTTCATGGAAGGGCTGGACCCATCCTCGCCGAGGCTCCAGGGCTTCTTTTGGATGCTTCATTACTTGCGTCAATGCAATTTCTCTATTGTGCAATCCAATTTGTGTAGGGTTTCCTGTTACTCACAGTGGAAAAATTCCTTACTGTTACAGGATTTCTACTCTAGTGCCTCTGATTGCAGCTCTCGTGGGAGGACATTGCTCTTCCTGGGATGCTGTCACCAGAGCTCCCCAAAATTGCAAAATTTAGGTGCTACCTGGGTGTTCCATTCCCTCTAGCCTTGTCCTTGGATGGCATCTTGCACTCCCCCTGCTGTCTTCTCCACCTTCTGAGAATCCACGCACTAAGGGGTTTTCTCCTTGAATATTCTCTTGGCCATATGCAAAATGACCTTGAGAATTGATGTTGGGCAGGGCAAGGCAGTGGAGTTGGATTGTGGCTGATTTGAAAGCAACACAAGGGAAGTTAGACTTGGGCCATGTGTGGTTGAGAGGACAATTTCTGGGCGATGCCTGGGCCAGTCCCTGGTTCACCTCTTCGAGTGTAAGTTATTCAGTTCCTCCAAGCCTCTTTTACTGATTTGTAAAGAGGAGATGATCAATATTCTTTCCTCAGAGGATTGTTGAGAAAGCAATAAGATGCTGTGTGTGATGGGTCTGGTATATAATGAGGTTCTCTGAAAATAGAACTCTTAATTGATCAAGGGTTGCAACTCGGATTCTGTAGTTGGTAGACTAGTATTCTTTCTACTATACCTTGTTTGAAAGCCTAAGGTGCTCTAATGATGCAGAAAAATATGCGATAAGACAGCAAGCCAACGTACAGAAAGAGCCACACTGCCGGTGAACCATCACCTATCATCAGTGGTTACTGCTCTGTAAACTGACAGTACAAGACCTATCTTCTCCATTGCGCTCCACCTGATTTTTCTGCAGCAATTGCAGACCAAGCCCCAAGCAAGAATGTGGAGGCCTCAGAAGGCAGCTTGCTCAGAAGCAGATCCTTGAGGGTTCACCATGAGCTGGAGACCCCAGAGCAGTGTCTCCCATCGTACTGCACAAAGAGAGGAAGAATTGTCCATTGCTTATTCTTGCTCACAGATCCATGGGATCCTAAGACTCAGAAATGCCTGGGGCTGGGGAAACAGCCTAGTGCCAATCAAGGCGTGATGCTCCTTTCTGTGTCTCTGAGGTCACCAGTACCCTAACCTATTCCTCAGATATTCTGGAGGGTGAATGCACTCAATCTTACCTGTGCATCAGCAGTTTTCTTAAGAAAACAAAACTCTTGGCTGGGCGCGGTGGCTCATGCCTGTAATCCCAGCACTTTGGGAGGTCAAGACGGGCGGATAACGAGGTCAGGAGATCGAGACCATCCTGGCTAACACCGTGAAACCCCGTCTCTAGTAAAAATACAAAAAAAAAAATGGCCGGGTGTGGTGGCAGGCGCCTATAGTCCCAGCTACTCGGGAGGCTCCGGCAGGAGAATGGCGTCAACTCGGGAGGCGGAGCTTGCAGTGAGCTGAGATTGCACCACTGCAGTCCAGCCTGGGCAACAGAGCAAGACTCCATCTCAAAAAAAGGAAAACAACAACAAAAAAAGAGAAAACTCTTGAATGTGCCGCTCAGAGCTGCTTCTCTAGTTACCTGGTGGGATCTTGGAAAGAGATGCTCAGAGTCATGAGTCAGAATGAATTTCAACCACTTCAGCAAACAGAAGGGGTTGAAGGAAACCACAGCAACCTTCATAAATGACACCATTTCTAACTTCCAAACTGAGGTAGAGGTTGCCTTTTATTTATTTTTTTCATCACAGTCTAAAGTATCAATAACTGCATTTGCATTCGTTTCATTTACCAATAATTTATTTTTTTATTTTTATTGTTTTTTTTTTGTTTTTTTTTGAGATGGAGTCTTTCTCTGTCACTCAGGCTGGAGTGCAGTGGCATGATCTAGGCACACTGCAGCCTCTGCCTCCTGGGTTCAAGCAATTCTCGTGCCTCAGGTTCCCGAGT
Organism: Homo sapiens; assembly: GCF_000001405.40. Taxonomy (NCBI): domain Eukaryota; kingdom Metazoa; phylum Chordata; class Mammalia; order Primates; family Hominidae; genus Homo; species Homo sapiens. The sequence continues at coordinate 6,178,787 of NC_000008.11, read as the reverse complement.
AGCTGCGACTACAGGCATGCACCACCATGCCCGACTAATTTTTGTATTTTTAGTAGAGTTGGGGTTTCACCATGTTGGCCAGGCTGGTCTCAAACTTCTGACCTCAAGTGATTCACGCATCTTGGCCTCCCAAAGTGCTGGGATTACAGGCGTGAGCCACCACATCCAGCCCCAAGAATAATTTTATTGTTCAGTTGAGAAATTATCCCTCATCTTTCCATGAGCTTTGTAATTCAGGATTTGAAAAGCCTCTGTTGAATTCATCCCGTGGAGTCCAGCCTGTGCTGTGATGCAGGTAGCGCTTGTCTGATGACGAAAAAGAGAGAAACTCAGGTATTAGGCATCTTAGATTTGCAAAATGTTATGGCTCCTTGTCCTGGCTACTGAGTAGTGGAAACCAGTATTTTCTATTTTCTGTTGTTATCAAGCAAATAAGCGGAAAGAGGGCTCTCATCAAAAGCAACACTCACATGTGTGGCTATTCAGATTTGTTGTGGTGATAAATCAGAGGCCGCAAGAAACTTGTGTGTTCTCTGAGGTTGGAACTGGAGTGCGGGCGGTGCTAAGACCAGCACGACGTCAGGTAGTTGGCATCTGTGGAAACAGCAGGTAAGTCTGAGTAGCCCCAGTGTGGCCACTTCATGACAGCTAGAACATTCGGTAAAGAGGGTTTTTTGAAAGAGTACGTTAACCCTTGGGCAGCACATCTGAAATACCTGCATGCATTTCAGTACAAGATACCTGCAGGAATTCCAGGCAGCCTGTGTTCAGTCCTTGAGGGTGGGTTCTGCGTCTTACCCCTCTCTCATTCCTCCACCCATAACATACTCAGAACATGTGGTAGAAAGTCATGTGTTCTGAGTATGTTAAAATATATATTTTACATATCTAGTTTACATATCTATTTTACATATCTATTTTACATATCTATTTCACATATCTATTTTACATATAAATTTTATATATTTTTAAAATATATTTTGTATATTTTAAAAATATATATATTTTTGTAATATATATTTTATTTTACAAAATATATTTTAAATATATTTTATATATTTTAAAAATATATATTTTAAATATACACTTTATATATTTTAAAAATCTATATTTTAAACATACACTTTATGTATTTTAAAAATCTATATTTTAAATATACACTTTATGTATTTTAAAAATCTATATTTTAAATATACACTTTATTTTAAAAATCTATATTTTAAATATACACTTTATGTATTTTAAAAATCTATATTTTAAATATACACTTTATGTATTTTAAAAATCTATATTTTAAATATACACTTTATGTATTTTAAAAATCTATATTTTAAATATACACTTTATGTATTTTAAAATTATATTTTTAAATATATATTTTATGTATTTTAAAAATATATATTTTAAATATATATTTATGTATTTTAAAAATCTATATGTTAAAAATAAAATACATATTTTAAAAATTATGATGAAATACATGTGACATACAATTTACAATGTTAACCTTTTTTTTTTTTTTTTTTTAAATGGAGTCTCACTCTGTTGCCAGGCTGGAGTGCAGTGGTGCGATGTTGACTCACTGCAACCTCTGCCTCCCAGGTTCAAGCGATTCTCCTGCCTCGGCCTCCTGAGTAGCTGGGACTACAGGTGCACGCCACCATGCCGAGCTAATTTTTGTATTTTTAGTAGAGACGGGGTTTCAGCAGGTCGGCCAGGATGGTCTCAATCTCTTGACCTGGTGATCTGCCTGCCTCGGCCTCTCAAAGTGTTGGGATCACAGGCGTGAGCCACCCCGCCCAGCCAATGTTAACCATTTTTAAGTGCACAGTTGTCTGGCATTAAGCCTATTCACACTGGTGTGCAAGCATCACCACCATCCGTTCCCAGAGCTCTCTCATCTTCCCCAGCTGAAACTCTGCACCCATTAAACACCAACTCCTCATTTCCGTTCCCCCAGCCCCTGGCAGCCCCCATTCTACTTCCTGTCTCTGTGGATTTGACTGCTTCAGATACTGCATATAAGTGTAATGATTTGATATTTGTTTTTTTGTAACTGGCTTTCTCATTCGGTGTAATGTCCTTGAGGTTCATCTGTGCTGCAGACTGGGTCAGCATTTCCTTCCTCTTCATGGCTGCATGATATTCCATTGTGTATCCAGTTCACATTCTGTTCATCTGTTCATTTGTTGCTGGGTACTTGGGTTGCTTCTCCCTTTTGGCCATTGTGAGTTCTGCTGCAAGGAACGTGGGTGTACAGAGATACCTGCTAGACTCCCTGCTTCCCATTCTTGTGGGTATGTACAGCAAATGTTTACTGAACTGACATTTGAAGTGGGAAAAGGCGCCAAGTCTGCAGGGCTTACGCTGGTGTTCCAGGCTGTTTCTGATCTGAGCTACATCACCTGCAGGGGTTTACCTGCCGGAGCTCCGTGCATCCCCCAACACCTGTGCCCAGAGTCTCCCACCTTCTACTCTCGTGCCTGCTCTCGCCCTGCCCAGACTCCACCTCTGCTGTAGGTCTGTCTGTTGTCATTCTGAGATCCTGCAAGGACCCCTTCAGGCCATGTCTCCACAGGCCTTGGCGGTCGTTAATTCAGCAAGATTGCAGCCTCTGCTGGAGCCGGGACCATGTCTGCTGTTGTTCCCTCTGTCCTAGCCTAGGACAGACCTCAGGCTCTCCTCCAACCCCCCATGGCTTGTTCAGGGGTGAGAGAACAGTCTCGGGAATGTGCCTATGGTGGCTGTCCAGTAGGTAGCTGACGGGAGGTGGAGCCAGGCTGTTAAATGGAGCTAAAAAGAAGAGGTTCAGCATCCAGAGGTAAGAGCTTCAGTAGAAAGGAAATGAGTTCGGACACTGGAAAGCTTAGTACAGCTAATGATCTCAGAGAGGGCAGGGCAGGAAGAGGGCCAGCCAGCACTCCCTGTATGCTCCCTGCACATCAGTGAACGCCGATGTTCACGTGTGAGAGGCAATTTGAAAATGAAAAACACCTGCAGTCGGAGATGGCTGTCAATATGAATACAACTTTCTTTAGAAGGGGGACAGAATTCAAAGGCAAGTTTCCCTGACCCCAAGACTATTGTCTTCTTTCTGTAACCTATTGATTTTCTGTCTCTTCCAAGAAAAGTTATTTCCCACCCTAAATTATTCCCGTGTTCCTCTCCTTTTCCTGGTACTCTTCCTTTCCTTCCAGCCTAGCTAGACTCACCTTGTTCTACCCAGAAATCAGAGAAGGCTAGATTCCAATTCTGACATTAGTGGGTGACAGGATCCCAGCAGTCTAATCTCAGTCTTCATCTATCACATCCTAGGACCCGGTGGAGTCATGGTAGGGTATGCGTCCCAAGAATATGTGAACTTCTGTGTTTCTTTCACTCTGTGTTCCTAGCACCCAGGATGCTGCCTGCCATATTGCAGGGGAGATATAGGTATATATTTTTATATATATTTGGTGAATTGAATGATTGAAAAAAAGTCTATGGGATCCTTTGTATAAGTAAGCTCTTGAGTGGAACCCTAATATAAAAGGCAGAAAAACCCTGGGTACTCCGGGTGGCAGTCAGGGAATCCCATCAACCCAGCCTCCTCCTGTCCTCCGAGGCTCTTCCTGGGGACTCCAGAGCTCCAAGGACAACTTCAGGATTGTTTCTGAACCTCCTCCAAGCCCTGACATTTGATTATGTTGTTAAGCCAAGGCCAGGGTCCCCACGTGTGGGACTCCTATAAGCAACCAAAATGCTGCCGTAGGACACAGCCACAGTGCACCGTCTAGAAGAATTTTGGAGAAGCTGGACCTTGAACTGGGCTTCCAAAACAGAAGAACATGGATGGGCAGGATGGGGAAGGGCAGGCTTTCCAGGCTGAGTGCCACACAATATTTATTCACTCAAGGATTGGATTTATGCTCAGGACGGAACTCCTGAGAGGTGCCTTGAGAAAGAGACACAATGGAGCTTCTCTGTTCCATTAGCTCCAAGTCAGGGCCAGCGCTCTTCTCTGGGGCAGAGCCCTCTCCTCCCTCCCCCTCTCCTAGCTGGGTATGGTGGTACATGTCTGTGGTCCCAGCTACTCAGGAGGCTGAGATGGGAGGATTGCTCGAGCCCAGGAGTTTCAGACTACGGTGAGCTATGATTGCACCACTGTACTCCAGCCTGGGTGACAAAGTGAGACACTGTCTCTAAAACAAACAAACAAAGAAAACCCAAAAAACGAAAAGGAGAAGAAGTTGAAAGAGTTGTTGAGAGCAATCCTCTCTCATCAGGAAAGTGAAAACAAAACAAAACAAAAAGTGTTTTGACTGCCTGGGAGAAAGGATATATCCTCCTATGTGGAAGCGAAAGACAGCCCCATGCTGCCTGTTGGATCCAGAGGACAGGGGCACGTTGCTACAAGGTGGAGCTGTGTCATTTGGGTGTGTGACAGGAGCAACTGCCTTTTTTTGTCACAGATTTCAGATCAAGAAGAGTTGTCCCTGATGCAGATCATGAGATTATGGACTTCAAGCCTGACGCCTTGTTTAGATGGGAATTGGGAGTCCTAGATGCTGGAGGGATTGTTTTACATGTGGGGGAGACATTCCACGGGGGCCTGAAGATGGACTGTGGGAGATTGTCATAGTCCTACTTCTAGGGGCCACACTCTTGGGAGTGCCCACCAACACTGAGTTTCAATTGGGCCATGTCATTGACCTTGTTCACTGAGACATCAGTAAATGTGCCAAAAACAGGATTGATGAATATTTGCAAAGTGAGACTGGCCCTCTTGAAACCCAATGACCACATAAAGAAGTCTGGACTGTCTTGCTGGAAAAGAGGAGAGTTGAAGTGATGCATGTCAGGTGAGCCCCAAAGTGGGGCTTAGCTCATGAGGGTTCCTGTCTTTGCCCAGAAAAGAATTCAAGGGCAAACTGGAGGTAGAAGGCAACAACTTTACTGAAGCAGCATTGTTACAGCTCCTGCAGAGGAGGACCACCCCATCGGTGGAGAGCGGCAGCTCAGGGCAGTTCTGCAGTCATATTTATACCCACTTTTAATAGCATGCAGATTAAGGGGCAGTTAATGCAATTTCTAGGGAAGGAGTAGTAACTTTTGGGCGGTTGGGTCATTGCCATAGAAAAGGGCGGTAACACCTGGGTGTTGCCATGGCAATGGTAAACTGACATGGCACACTGGTGGGTGTGCCTTACAGAAAGTTTCTTCTGCCCTGTACTTGTTTTACCTAGTCCTCAATTTGGCTTGGTGTCTGAGCCCTGCCTCTGGAGTTGAGTCCCACCTCCTACCTCAGAGGTGCCTCGTCTGACATCCCACTAACACCAGGCCTCCCAACGAGGCCGTTGAGAGTCCCCCAGTCTCAGCTGAGCCATAGCTGACTGCTTGGTGGGAATGACCACAGATAAGACCAACAGGAACTGTCCTGCTAAGCAGAGTCCCCATGCAAAGCCAGGAGCACACTCATTTGTTGAGTTTGTTGTGCAGCAGTAGTTAACAGGGACAGAGACTTTTCACATCTTCGGTGTTAATATGCTCGCTTTCCTGTGAAGCCGCCTGCGGAGGATCTGGCTTACTGCTTCTTCACGGCTCCCAATTTCATCTTATAACAGGAAGACGTGCCTTGGAGTCTCTGTGGATCTTACCCCATTCCCAGAACTTACACAAAGCAAGGAAAAATAGGTCCACACAAAAATAGGAATAGAATTTGTGCTGATGCCTGGTTTGTTCTAGCGACAAGTTACATTCATTCTTGGATACATGATCTAATTGAAACAACCGTATCATTTGTAATTGGACTTTGCTTTGTTTGCTTCATAATTTTTAAATGTATGTCACTTTTTTGCTTCTTATGTAAGTAATTGTAAATGATTAAAATAATCAGGCCAGGCATGCTGGCTCATATCTGTAATCCCAGCACTTTGGGAGGCTGAGGCAGGCAGATTACCTGAAGTCAGGAGTTCGAGACCAGCCTGGCCAACATGGTGAAACCCCGTCTCTACTAAAAATACAAAAATTAGCCGTGGTGGCACACGGCTGTACTCCCAGCTACTCAGGAGGCTGAGGCAGGAGAATTGCTTGAGCCCGGGAGGTGGAGGTGCAGTGAGCTGAGATCGCGCCACTGCAGTCCAGCCTGGCCGACAGAGCGAGACTCTGTCTCAACAACAACAACAAAACTGTAATAATTATTATAAATAATTGGAATAGTCACTAAATCCAGAAGAAATAGCTAATGTATAGGATCTTATGGTATAGAAAGTTTAAAAAGTTAATATTCCTCTCTGTCTTTTCCCACTCTGTCTTTTTGACACACACACACACACACACACACACAGACACACACCCCGCCCCCCCAGTACATGAAGCATAAAAGGGTGAGTAACAAGTACTTTGAAGCATAAAAATGTACTGAAGTACTAAAAAAAATTCTACTGTAATTGTTCTGGGAAATATTAAAATATAAGCTCGAAGTGGGAACAAATAATGTAAAATTTCCAGTCATTAAATAATAAGTTATATTTCAAATTGATTTTTTTTACTTAAGTTCCATTGGAAACTTATAAAAGAGAGATGAAACGCCTTATTTATTATTTTATTTATTTACTATTTTGAGACAGAATCTCACTCTGTCACCCAGGCTGGAGTGCAGTAGTATGATCTCGGCTCACTGCTACCTCTGCCTCCTGGGTTCAAGTGATTCTCCTGCCTCAGCCTCCCGAGTAGCTGGGAGTACAGGCACGTGCCACTAGGCCCGGCTAATTTTTGCACTTTTAGTAGAGACGGAGTTTTTCACCATGTTGGCCAGGCTGGTCTTGAACTCCTGACCTCAAATGATCCATCTGCCTCGGCCTCCCAAAGCACTGGAATTACAGGCGTGAGGCACCATGCCTGGCCTATTTTTTAATGTTAGTATTTATAATACAACAGAATTTATAGTAATATATATGTTTTCTGAGACAAGGTCTCGCTCTGTCCCCCATGCTGGAGTGCAGTGGTGCAATCACAACTCACTGTAACCTCTGCCCCACCAGGTTCAGATGATCCTCCCACCTCAGCCTCCCGAGTAGCTGGGATTACAGGTGCATGCCATCGCGCACAGCCAATTTTGTATTTTTTGTAGACACAGGGTGTCGCTATGGTGCCCAGGCTGGTCTCCAACTCCTGGGCTGAAGCAATCCACCCACCTCGATCTCTCAAAATGTTGGTATTACAGGCATGAACCACTATGCCTGGCTTATTGTTCTTTTGCAACTCTTTAAACTTAGGTCAACACATTTTACACATCCAGTAGAAAATGTATGGGGGCAGATACTGAGTTTTCCACAATTATTTTGGAGAGCAAATAAGCAAGACTTTATATTTTATTCCAGGTTAATTTTCTGTGAGTCACAGTTACTGAAAATTCCTATTATAATGTAAAATATAATGCAATAGTGAACTCTCAAAATGAGTAAAAATGGAAGGATAATATTAATTAGTATAATTGGGTTCTTTTATACATTAGAAAAGGCCCCAAATTATTTATTGGGTTGTGTATTGGCTGTACCTGAATTTCTCCCTTGGTCTTTGATGCAGGTACTTAACCTTCTTGGGTTACTTATTAATAGTTTTAAGAAGTAGGTGTGAGTTCTTTCTCTGGTGACACATAGTCATTAAACAGGCATATACTGGAGCAGCATTCAGCTAGCTGTGTTGGAGCACAGCCTCAAACTCACAGCATTCCTCTGCTTTATAAATAAGACCATTTGCGGGAAGTGATATTTGTAGGGGATTTTGCAGAGTACACGTGGTTCACACATAGCACTAAGGGCTGACTTTGAATTAAGTGAGACCCTATAGAACAGGGTACCTGAACCACAGCAACTGGCCTTTCAGTACCTTTAGTGACTGGCACCTGCCGTGATGCCGGGGCCTTCACAGAGGCATGCCACAGTAGACAGTGCAAGGATACTGCTGAGATTGTGGCTCATTTCTTTATAGAATTCCCAGAGGAGACATATCTCACTAGCTGTGCTTGTATTTATTAAACTATTAGCCTAACTCATATAATTAACCATGTTTCTCACTTTATATTGATTACTAGAAAATTTGTCGCTAAACTTTTCCATATCTCCAGCAAATACAAAGCATTCTGAATGTTAATTCTATTCCTGGCTTCATACTTTGTTTTTCTCAGTCCAGACTTTCTTGCTTATTCGCTTTGAGCTTAAGTTTATCTTGTTGTATTGTATGTAGCTCAGAAAGTCACTTTAAATTATACTTAGAACAAGGAGCAATATAAATAAACAAAGTAGTTACCGGGAGGCAGCAAATGAGCTCATGATTATAATGTGTACTGAGTAGTGAAGAAGCTCATGAGGCTTAAGCTCCAAGGTTCCTCACTTGCATAGGCACTTTCAGAGGCCCTGTTCTTAATTTTGTATTAGTGATTTCCTAAACTTCTTTGCTTAAAGGTGAGCCACCCTCCCAAATGCATAAGCTCCAGGCTCCACAAAATAAGGAACTTGCCCTGGTCTGGTGGCATAATGACTTTTTTTTTTTTTTGAGAGTCTCACTCTGTCACCAGGCTGGAGTGCAGTGGCGTGATCTTGGCTCACTGCCAACTCCAACTCCCAAGTTCAAGTGATTCTCCTGCCTCAGCCTCCCGAGTAGCTGGGAGTACAGGCATGCGCCACCAAGCCCAGCTAATTTTTTGTATTTTTAGTAGAGATGGGGTTTCACCATGTTGGCTAGGATGGTCTCGATCTCTTGACCTCATGATCCACCCACCTCGGCCTCCCAAAGTGCTGGGATTACAGGAGTGCGCCCTCATGCCTGGCCCTGCATAATGACTTTTGATAAGAGCAGAAGTCATAGCGCAGGTAGAAACAGGAGCAGTATTTAGTGCCTGGCTGGGCAACTCAGTTATATCTTTTATAGGCAGCTACTGAGGTCTGTTCGGCCACCTTGCTTGGTGGTCAGCCTGCAGTCTCCAAATGTTGGAGCCAGGCCATGTGTGTGCTGTGACCACACAGCCTTGCATCCTTTATTCAACAGGGAAAGGGACTCCACTGGGCACTGGGTGAATGTTAATTATCAGAATGATTATCTCGAAGATGTATCATATGTATATCCAACTCATATAAAAATGAGTTATTGAGCAGGATAGAGAACATTAAGGAATTAGTTGAGTGTTGACTCATTCTGACATTCGATGGATCTAAGTGGCAGACTACAGAGACAGACCCGAAATAACTTGTGTCAAATAAGCCTTGTGGTCCTCTCCAGGTGGTAAATGATCTTGCAGGGAAAGGGGAGCCAGGGCTGTGTTCTTAAGAGCATCTTTGGATTCTGGCTCATCTGAGTTCATTTGAGGGATGTGGCCCAAAAGGGGAAACCTGAAATGGTTTTAATTGTTCACCACTAAATGGAAAGTAGGTATGAAATGGTTGTTATCCATAAATTCCTTTTTTTGAAGTGGTTTGTGACTTTAATAGCTTCTTTTTTTTGGATTTTATTCAAATCAAAATTCTGAGCCCAGTGTAGGGGCAAGATCTTATCTTTTTCCCTACGTTTTCAGAGTGATGTGGGAAATACACTGTTAAGTTGTTTGTTTTTGACTGTTTTCTTCCCCTAAGAAATAGTAATGATACAGAGAAAGGCTGTTTCATAACCCAGCCTAAGTGTCACTAGAATGGGATACATGTTAGTAATCAGATGAGGATGCTTTATCCCATGTTCGCATCATCAAATGCTGTGGTAGAGCCAGATCTTTTACTGTAATCAGAGTCGATTCAGACACGATGGCCATTTTCTCCTATTGCGACATTACGGAGGAGGATAAGACACAACATAATGGGACCTTTGGCATTCTTTAAAGTGCAAGACACACAGTATATTATGCTGATGCTGAAAACGACACCTCTACCTTGTCGCTTGTCTACTTGTGGTAACTCCAGATTTGCTGATCTATGTTCTTTGGAAAAGGATGACTTACTGCCCTTTTCATGGAAGCTGTATTTCCTAATTATGATGATCTATGGTTTTCTGTTTCTGGATTCCATTTCATCGTAGAATTATTTTATTCTCTTTTTGGCTATTATTTTCTCCTCTTCTCTGTGCTTCTTCGATTTTGCCATTATTTTAGAGCTTCCTAACTGTTCTCCTTGCCTCCAGTCACATTCTGTCCAGATTTATCTTCCACATAGCTACTTGAGTGATTTACCTCCAGCGGCTCTCGTTGCTCCCTTCCCTTACCGCTTTCTGCAGCAATGTGTTCCTCTAGCAATACTCAAATCAACATTGCTCTCGGGAAGCAGCATGAAGTCCTGTGTCTCTGATGTTAGTGTTGAATATTCTCTCCTAGCCGGTGCTTCCTCTACCTTGCTATCTTCTGCTTACTTTAAATACATAGTTTGAGGTTACCTCTTTTTTTTTTGAGACACAGTCTCACTCTGTCTCCCAGGCTGGAGTGCAGTGGTTAGACCTCGACTGACTGCAATCACCACCTCCCATGTTCAAGCGATTCTCTTGCCTTATCTCCTGAGTAGCTGGGATTACAGGTGTGTGCCACCATGCCTGGCTAATTTTTGTATTTTTAGTAGAGACGAGGTTTTACCATGTTGGCCAGGCTGGCCTTGAACTCCTGACCTCAAGTGATCTGCTCACCTTCGCCTCCCAAAGTGCTGGGATTACAGGTGCGATCCACCATCCCCAGCAGAGGTTACCTCTTCTAAGAAGCGTTCACTTAACCCATTTATGCCAGAGGTTGCAAATTTTGAATTGCAGACATGTGAAAAATCAGACCTTGGCGATGACCTTGTGCAGTAAGATATAAATAACTCCCACATGCTTGGTGTTCCAGTAATGGAGTGCTAGGCGTAAATGGGTTCACCCCTTCACACCACCTGCTCCTAGCAGGCACCTCTTTGTGTGTGCTCTCTGGACATCTTGTGCGTAACTGTATTACTGTCTATTTTTGGTAACAGTTTTATTCAGATATAATTCACATACCATACAATTTTCTCATTTAAAGTTGGCGAAGCAGTGGCTTTTAGCATCTTCAAAGAGTGAGGTACCATCACCACATCCAACTGTAGAACAATTTTATCACCCAAAGCCCCAGACTGGAAATAACCCACTGTCCATCAACTGATGAATGGGTAGATAAAAGGCAATACATCTGTGCAATGGAATATTATTTAGCCATAAAAAGGAAAAGAGTATTGCTGCTTGCAACATGGTTGAGCTGTGAAAATCCTAAGCTGTTTGAAAGAAGCCAGTCTTTTCTACATTGATTTATAATTATTGATTGCTATTCCTATCTCCTTCTTTAGAGTATGGATACCCCAATGCCAGGAGATAGCTAATGCATCTGGTATCCCCAGCATAGTATTTGGTACACAGCAGGCACTCAGTAAATATTGGTTGGTTAAAAAGACAAATGCTAAATACTTGAGGCTGGGAGTAGTGGTTCACAACCGCAATCCTAGTGCCTTTGAAGACTGAGGTGGAAGGATTGCTTGAGGCCAGGAATTTGAAGCTGCAGTGAGCTTGATTGTGCCACTGCACTCCAGCCTGAGTGACAGAGCAAGACCCTGTCCCAATCAGTCAATCAATCCTCAAGACTCAGCCATATAGAGTAGAGAAGTAAGAAATAAATGACCTTAAATCACATAAAATGGTACCATATGTTGCTTGGCTCTGGGAATTCTTTAAATAAGATAAAAAAAGAAGAAATTGAGGGAGACATTTTCTTATTGGAGGCACATTCATTCTTTACACTTATCCCTACCTTTGCAGCTCTCATTCTGTGAAGAATTGAGGCAGGTTCTTTTTCCCTTTGATAACTCTGCATCTGTAAAGAGAACCACAGCTTGAACTGTTTGCCCATTTTTCTCTAAGAGACTCTGGGGTTAATCCCCTCATTCTACTCAGCCCAGCTGACCTTATTCACCACTGGAAAGTCACGCCCCATTTACCTACATCAGGCAACATCCTGAATCTGTTTCAATCGCATTTGGCGTTTCCCACTTCCCTGACAAGCCCCTGCCTTAATTTGCTAACTCCCCTATATCTTCAACCTAGTTCTGAGATCCTAGCCCACCCTTTCCTGACCATTTCCTGTCTCTCAAGGACCCTCCCTTTCTTAGAGCGTGGGCAATTGGAGACTTGATTCCCATACCCAGTCACTGCAGGTCCTGTGTCTGCCTTCACCCATTGCAACTTGGAAGCCACTTTACCTCCTCCCTCTTTTGAACCATCTAGATCCTCTGAAGTTCATGATATCTGGCCGTCAGTGTTTTCTTCTCTCCTTTCTAGTCATTTTCCTTCATTTTTGAGAGACTCTGGCTCGTGGTTTAGGGTTTTTTCCTCCATCCCCGTGCATGTCGCCCTGCAGAGACTTTCACACCTGCATGCTTTGCCTCTCCCTTGTGCTGGCCTTTCTGGGTCTTGGCCTCCTTAGCTCAAGTCATCTTTCCCCCACTCCAAGTCAACCCTCTACTCTGATAGTCATGTCCTAACTGCAGTCGTCACCAGTAACTGTGCTAACTCCTGACTCTTGCTGATAGCATAGTTAACACATCAGATGGGTTTTGCTGTGCCAGATGCTATCCTAAGAACTTTCATATTTTAAATTATTTAACAATGATGCCAGCACTGCAAGGTATTATTATCTGTATCTTGTAGGTGGAGACATTGTTTAGAGCACTTTCTGACCCTGTAGTATCCTTCTAGCTCATACTGTCTTTACAATAGCTCCTTAGTCTACTAGACACCTCTGTTTATCCTGCCATGTCACTTTCCATAGAATAGTTTACCATGTTATAAACAAAAATAGTCATAGTCATAGTGGAAGAGTTCAGTTTTATTTGGCATTGGAAGTAAAGTTTTATAAGAAATAAATGTTAGACGATATCCCTTATTTCCGTGTCTAACCCAGACAAGCTTCTCCCTGGACCAAGCACTTTTCCCTGTATCTTAAGGAGTTATTCTTCTCTTCCTAGTTCTTTTTGTTTTTTATGCTTGCTCTAATCTGGCTCTTCCCACCAGTTTTGCTGATTATCTAATAAGTCTATGCAAGTATGTATCATATGCTTCTCTACCAGGCTGGAGCACACTTAGGGCTGAAGTCTAACACATCTCTGATGGGCAAGTCTCTTTTTGGGCTCAACTGGCTCAACTTCCATGGATCCGTTGGCCTTATATTCCCCAAATCTTTTTTTTTTTTTTTTTTTTTTCCTTTCTTACTTTGCTCTTCTCTGCCACTTCTCTGGCCAGCTGCTTTGATGCTTTGATGATTGTTACTATTTCTAGAATTTTCTCCCATTCTCTTCATAAATTCTAGCTTACCCATCCATATATTAACTGAACTGCCTAATAGGGCTTGGGTATTACATTGTATGTTGGGAAAAGAGGAGAATTTTTTTTTTTTTGAGACGGAGTCTCACTCTGTCGCCCAGGTTGGAGTGCAGTGGTGTGATCTCCGCTCACTGCAAGCTCCGCCTTCCAGGTTCACACCATTCTCCTGCCTCAGCCTCCTGAGCAGCTGGGACTGCAGGCGCCCGCCCGGCTAATTTTTCATATTTTTACTGGAGACGGGGTCCACCGTGTTAGCCAGGATGGTCTCGATCTCCTGACCTCGTGATCTGCTCGCCTTGGCCTCCCAAAGTGCTGGGATTACAGGCGTGAGCCACCGTGCCCGGCCAAAAATTTTTAACATTAAGGTGCTTACCAGGGGATTAATGTAAAGCATTGCAATAGCAGCAAAAGTAGAAGTGGCGGTGAACATTTATTGAGCATTTACTAGGTGCCAAAATGATGGTAGGTGCCTACCAAGCATTAATTCACTGATCTGTATTTTACAGATGAGAAAATTGTAGCACAGAGGGATTAGAGGGCTTGCCAAAGATCCCAAAGCTAGTCAGTGGCAAGTCAGCATCTGAATTCAATAGTCTGGCCTCTGATACCAAGCTGGCAATTGCTACTGGAAAGGGTCTTTTGGTGGAGTGAACTTCCCCAGGTCCTCAGCAAGCAATGTAAAGTTGTCTGTGTGTCAGCCCAAGGCCTTATCAACAGCCTGTGGCGCTGTGGTTGTGATCAGGCATTTTTATTTCCACCAACCTGGCATTGGAGTCTAGGGTTTTATTTTCTGTGTTTGTACTTAGTTTTGGAGTTACTGTTCTTAATCCCATGATGACTTACATGTTAAAAATGAGAGGCTGGGCGTGGTGGCTCATGCCTGTAATCTCAGCACTTTGGGAGGCCGAGGCAGGCAGATTACAAGGTCAAGAGATTGAGACCATCCTGGCCAACATGGTGAAACCCCATCTCTACTAAAAATACAAAAATTAGCCAGGCATGGTGGCATGCCTCTGTAGTCCCAGCTACTCAGGAGGCTGAGGCAGGAGAGTTGCTTGAACCTGGGAGACAGAGGTTGCAGTGGGCTGAGACTGCGCCACTGCACTCCAGCCTGGTGACAGAGCGAGACTCTGTCAAAAAAAAAAAAAAAAAAATCAGATGTTAGAATTTTTGGTAATAGGGAGCATGCAGTTATGCAAGTGAGGGATATAGAGAGGAACTGTTTGAAAGTTTTGAGACTAAGGTCAGTGCTGCAGTTTGAGTGCTACAAATGGTTGAGTAGTTGCAATAACACTGAAGGAGAAAGAACAAACCAGGCAAACTGTGACGTGTGTTTTGTTCTAGAGTGGAGTTAGTATCACTGACAAAATGAAAACAAAATGAAGCAATACAAATAAATAACCCCAATCCATCTTTTGAGGGTGTGTGGCTGGAGAGTGGGCGTCAACCCCATTGTATTGGAGCCTAATGGTGATTCAGGAGAGGCAGGGAGTTTGAGAATTGAAAAGCTAAGTGCAGATGAGCTGCAGCTAAAACTTCTGTTGCACCTTTGGCTTCCAGTCCTGTGTCAGGATGGCCAAAAGTGAAAAGTGTCCCTTTTTACTCTAGTAATGTCATTAGAGCTGTCATTTTTGGAGATGGTGAGGTGGGAGCAAACTGCCTCAACTGCTTTCCAGTGTAGCCAAAATTGGTTTCATTTATTAAAGAAAAAAAAAAGGGTTTCTGTTAGGTGGGTAGGATGTATTAGAATGCAAGAATGAATGCTTTGTAAAGGTTCTCCTGGTCTCTCCAATGAAAAGCAACCACCTTTTCCTTTGTGCAAGGCACAAAGGAAAAGGTATTTTATTCAATACGTGTTTGTTTACCCCATACCACATACACAGGGAGCACAGCCCTGCACGGACCATCTTGCAGGCAAGAGAGGCACACAGACGAGGAACCCCAACAGGAAGACCACTGTGCTAGACAGATGCATGGGAGATTAGCAGAACACAAGGTCTTCAGGATGCAAATCAGACCGAGGTATCAGGAAAGGATCTTGGAATGAATAGATGAGGCGTTACCCACACGAAATGGCAACGGGGGTGAGAAAAGAGATTCCATGTGGCAAATGGGACTTGTACAGGATTCGTAGGATACTGTCTTTAAGGAGATAGTTCTGTAAGTGAATGTCCCTAGGCACGCCCTCCCACTGTAATGTTGATGTTTGTGTAATTAATCGATCCTCCTGAACTGGGATCGAGAACACTCTCCTTCTTACTGGCCCAGAGACACTTCATGCCTGCTCACTGTCGTTGTTGCTGGAGCCGAAATCTATAGCTGAAGTTATCAGATGCAACTGATGTAAGAAGTTTGCTTGTTTAATTACTTTTTTTTAATTGGGCAAAGTTTTTACTCACTCTTGAGATGGAGGAGGGACCTCTTTTAGGGGCCTATGGACCACCCACCCTTAGCACAGACATAAAGGAAAATTTTGAGTACCTTCAAGGGAAATTCCAGGCAGCTAGCTACTCCTGAGAGGTAAATGAACTACTTGATAATCAAGAAGGTAATAGTAGCCCAAAACAAATAGCTAGGGAAGCTAGAATCATGGGATGTTTGGTTCTCTGTAGAAACTAAAGATAACATCTTTTTTTAGGGGGGGACGGAGTCTCGCTTTGTTGCCCAGGCTGGAGTGCAATGGCATGATCTTGGCTCACTGCAACCTCTGCCTCCGGGGTTCAAGTGATTCTCCTGCCTCAGCCTCCTGAGTAGCTGGGACTACAGGCACACACCACCATGTCCAGCTAATTTTTGTATTTTTAGTAGAGACGTGGTTTAACCGTGTTGGCCAGGCTGGTCTTGAACTCATGGCCTTGTAATCCGCCCGCCTCGGACTCCCGAAGTGCTGGGATTACAGGCGTGAGCCACCACGTCCGGCTGGGATAACATCTCAACATATGTTCCTGAGTGGTTTTTCAGAAACCCTGAACCCCACAAAACAGATCTGTGGGGTCATAGACCTTAGATGATGGGGAGCTGAGGACTGAACTCTGAACCATTGCTCTTTGTTCTAAATTTTTTCCTAAGGGCCTGGAGAAAGTCATACTCAGGAGCTGGGGCTAATGTTCTTTTCTGCTGACCCCAAATATTTACAGAAAGCCTTCTTTTCCTTAACCAATTGCAAATCAGAAAAATGTTTGAATCCACCTATGACCTGTAAGCCCCACTTCAAAATATTCTGTCCTTTAAGGCTAAAACCAATGTGTAACCTTCATATATTAATTTACTAATTTGCCTGTAACTTCTGCTTTCCTGAAATTTATCCCTCCCTTTAAAAACCCTTACCTGTGATTCATCTGGGAATTCTGGACTGAAGCTTTAGCTGCTAGATTCTCCTTGCTTGGCACCCTGCAGATAAACTCCTTCCTTTCTCCCACTGCAAACCTTGGTGTGGATGTCCGGTCTTACTGCACCAGGCAAGTGGATCCTGGTTTCATGTGATAACACGCTCATGCTCTGTCCATACCAAGTAACTTATCTGCTCAAATTCTGGTCCCTAAGATGGATAAAAAGTCACCACCAAATAAGCACCATCTGCTAATGCCACCTTCATCTTGGAGCATCCTAAGAGACATAAATAAATGCACCCATGGGTTGTTAGGGTTGCATTTTCATTTGAAGCTTTCTAGGCATAAGACTGTTGTTACCACGTTTAGGTAACATTTAGTGTTACTACCACACTGTGCCAGTAACTGTGTTTACATAGCCAAACACTTTCCATAAGATGAAAGACATCTTTTTTTTTTTTTTTTTGCCAAAATACAACGAAGCATTCATGAGATCATTTATACATCACTTACTAAGTACAATAAAAGAAAAGCAGGTTATAATGGCGGTGATTCCTGTTTGCATAAGGAGAGACGATGTTCCTCCTGGAGAAGAGTAGGTGCAACGAAAGCTGCTGTTCCACGGGATGAAGGATGTAATCACTCTCTTCCTGCTGCTTTGCATCCATTTCCTACCCAGGAATGTCCCCTGTGCTCTCCGTGGTGTTCTTAGGCCGCTGGTGTTTGAGCTCCATCATGTTTGAACAACAGCTTTGCGGATCAAATAATTGTTTGAAGTAGGAAGGAGACTAACAAATAGGAGCTGAACCTAGGCCCACAATGGTTTGTGCACAAGTTATGCTTATTTTTCACAAAAACCTAGAAGGCTAGATTTCGTTTGGTCCATAGGTGAGGTGAGAGAATCTCATATAATTTACATAACTTACGAAGAATTTGAAATTTCTTTCCTCTGGTGCCAAAGTCACCAATTCGTGGATTGATTTATTTTTGTCATTGGATAAATATTTATCGAGGTTGCACTAGGTGGACTCTCACTCCATGGGAGAAATGGGAAGAATAATTGCTGTCAATTATAGGGAGTTATAGGGAGGGGGCCTCTGATGGACAGAACTTAAATCAGGCTTGGGAGAGGGGAGCAGGAGGTGGGAGGGAAAGAATTCAGGAGGACAAAACACTTTATCTCAGGTGTGAAGAGCAAGCAGTGTTTTTTTCAGATGGAGAAGTCAAAGGCTGGTGTTTGAAGTGGTGGATGTCTCATGCATGGATGCATTCAGAGTATCAAGACGCAAGCCCAGGAGTGAGGGGGTGCCCAAGATTGGAACTTTCAGGAAACCACTAGGGAGTGTGGATGTCATACCTACATCCTGTTATCTTATCCTGTCCTGTCATACATAATCTAGTGTGATATTGTCATGGGCGTAATAGCCCTAAGTGTTTGGGTGAAAAAATTAGTGATTGGTTCTAGGGCAAGTTGGAAGAATCTTTGCAGAGGAGGTTCCCTTTGAGGTAGCTCTGGATAGGTGCAAGGGGTTTTTCTGTCCCAGCATAGAGCAGGGCAGTCTGGCAAAGCAGACAGAATGAGCAAGAACATGCATGAGATGGCGGGCGGGGCAAAATGCAGAGTATTCCGGTGTGACCTGATAATGCAATGCTTCTTGAGGTTATGGGTAGTTTTAAAAGCAGAGTCTGGAGTTCAAAGCAATCCCCAAATGCCAAAAGAATCCTACTGTAATGATAGAAATGTCTGACCTCCAGAGAGGCAAGACAGTGTGGATGAGGGCTTTTGTTAAAGTGTCTTCAATTATACCACCTGATCTACTATGCACTCCACCACAGTGGAGAATAGGCCCACCTGTTCTGAAATAACGCTGCAGACGTGCATTCCTATTTATGTTAGTGTCATGCGGTGCAATGTGTCAGGGAAGATACGGGTAAGCGAAATGGAAGAAAACCCAAGAAGGAATACTATTAAATTTCAACAGAGCAGCTCTTCTGTGAGTAGGCAGCGTTTTAAAAATAAATTTGAAGCCATTATTTTAAATGTGGCCACTTAATCTACTTCAGACGGCTTCAAATGTGAGGATGACAGCTACCATTAGAGCTAGGAATTTGCATTCTCTGGTGAAGAGTAACTGCAGTTTTGCTTCCCCATCCACAGTTCTGTAGTAATGTGTGTACACAACAGACCTCGGTCTTGTTGGAGTCAGGCTCTCTCACTGAGAATGAAACGGTCATGCTCCAGAAACTAGTTCTTTTTTTGGTAAAGTAGTGACTGTTCAAACCATTTACCATATCATGAAACATGAGGGCACTCATAGCAATCCTTAGGGGAATTCGTTATTACCATATTTATAGATGGTCCTTGTGACTGGGAGGAGAGCCGTGTATGTATCCTGGCTTAGGGCAGATGATTTCACAGAGGCATCCCTTGGAATTTCAGAGGAATAAAATGCATGATTAAGGTGTCCTTTACCGGAGATTGTAGAAACATAAACAATAATAATTCAAAGAGCTTGAACCAAGCCAACTGAAAGAACTGAAATGCTTTGGAGCCACCTGAAAATTAGTGCTTTTCAGCACAATCAATCAATCAAGCTCTAAATCTTCATTCAGGCCCTGCCAAGTGTAAGGTGCAGAGAAAACCTAAAGGCATAAGCAGTATGAAAGTAGTCTGTGAACCACAGAATAAAGAACCATTGAATAAAGAACACTTTTTTTCTGATTTATAACATTTTATTTAGTATGACCAATCACAAAGACGTAATAAACCATATCTAGTTGCAAGCTTAATCTTTATCAAAACTACTAAAATTATACAAATATACTTACCTTGAAAAATTCAAGATCGAGCGCCTTTATCAATGAATGGCATCTTTGAAATATTTGCCTATTAATGGTCAGATATTAAGAGTTTACTAGATTACAGGAAAAAAAGATACTTGCATATCCTTACATGCTTATATGACACTGGAGTTGAATTCCAAGATAGTTGGAGCCTCTCAGCTGGGGGAACTGTGTAAAATTTCTCCGTAATTTCTACGATTCACCATTTCTCATGTGCTCAGTAGTGAACCTGGTATAGGCGTGTCTGTGCCTGTGGACCTTGTCTGAGTTGAAGGTAATTCCAAATAAGGTCAATAAGTAAAATGTAATTATCCTGCCTTTCTCAATGAGCACTGTTACAGATGTCTGTGTGTTATGGCACTTTAGAGTCAGAGCCTGTCCACATCTGTTGCCTTTCTTACTGAAGATGAAAATATAGGGTGAAAAACTCCAAAATAACAACCACAAAGTACGTCTACGTGCAATGAAGATGAATAGAAGGGAAAGATGAAAATAATAGGAATGGGTTCAGGATGATGGCGGCTTTGGCTGGGAGGAGGCACAGGGATGGGAAGGTGGTGTGAAGCAACTGGCAGGGGGATGGTTTACCAATGACTTAACTTTTATTTTGAGTGGTGGGTATATAAATGATTGGTATATTATTTAAAATGTGAGTGAACTACGTACATACCGGAGAGTTATTTTTGATACTTATGTGTGCATGCTTTTATGCACGCACGTGTACCTAAAAGTGCGCCATCTGTGGACTAATGAGAGTGTGATCAGCTAAGGATTTTGAGTAATGCACTTCTGGACACAAAAGTCCATAGGAAAAATAGCTCAGGAAACAAAGATCATCCCAAAGACTTGGAAGCTTTGACTTCCTCTTTCCCCTTAATAAAGCACATTAACAAAACTGGGACTAAAACAACAGCAAAAAAAAAAAAATGATACGGACAACCAGGAAGGTGATTCAATGTATACATTATTGGTGTCCATGAAAAGGGAGCCACAGCAGATAGAACATAAGTAATGAACACGTAATTGGCAATAGCGCCCCTGTGTTGAAGAGAACTAGTATTTTTGCCCCTCTTCACCAAAAGAGGCTAGGTTGCACTGGAAGAATGGAAAACATACATTTATCTGCAAAAGTAAAAAGTAGTAATTCAGAACTATAGAAAGCAATGAAGCATCTGTTTGCATGATCTCTTAGATAGTTATAAGAATAGTTTATAGAAGGCATCCAGGACAGGGACCCAATTTCTATTTGTGCCACAGGCTTCCTGGGCAGCCCTGGGCATGCTGGTACATATGGGTGTCAGGAATTACACTAGTTGCTCTCTTGTCACTGTTCCCATTTTAATATTTCTATTGAAGGCTTTTTCCTTTAGAGAGGGCATTGCTGAACAAGTATATACAGTCCACAGGTGAAGCAGTACTGTATTTGAGGCAGCCGAAGAAAGACAGGCTGCTGTAAAATATGGAGTAAATAAAATGTTTTAAAAATCACAACCTCATTATAGATAATGAAACCCAATATTAAAATTATGCCCTTTTCCTAATATATTAACTAGTGCACTTAGACTTTCTTTTGGGAAGAAGGGAAAAAAAGATAGCAATGACATTTTAATTGTTTCAACCCATTATTCCCCACACTTAAAAGCTATCAAAAATAACTCTCAACAGATATTTTATTTCCTACTAAAAAAGGAGAAACGTTAAGAAATGTTCATAAATATCATTGCATGTATTTTCAAGTGGATTACAAGAAATTCAAATTTAAGTCAAAAGCATAGTAAGGCTGACATTCATGATGAAATCTCAGCCTCGTGAGGGAGGGAGACAGCTAGCTAGCATTCAACATTGTTCTGTTTCTTACTACATTTTTTTTTTGATAAAGCAATAAAAAATGCTTCTTTGGGTCAGGCGTGGTGGCTCACGCCTGTAATCCCAGCACTTTGGGAGGCCAAGGTGGATGGATCACGAGGTCAGGGGTTCAAGACCAGCCTGGCTGAGATGGTGAAACCCCATCTCTACTAAAAATATAAAAATTATCCAGGCGTGGTGGCACACACCTGTAATCCCAGCTACTTGGGAGACTGAGGCAGGAGAAACGCTTGAACCCAGGAGGTGGAGGTTGCAGTGAGCCGAGATCGCACCACTGCACTCTAGCCTGGGTGACAGAGCAAGACTCCATCTCAAAAACAAAACAAAACAAAACAAAAAAAAAGAAATGCTTCTTTGTGGAAAACAGCACTGAAAATAAACTATTCAGAAAGAGGAAAAAAAACACCTAGAATGTTATATACCATCTGTAGTTGAGTTTATGTCTCATTTGGATGTCAAAATTCTATCGTGTGAGGCTGGCTGATGTTTTGCCTCTTGGCTTCAACTCAGCCATGTACCTATAATAAACTAGGCAACATATTCAGATAACTGATATCCTTTGTTTCCAGTAATCATTCTTTATCTGGACACTTAAAAATTGCTAAGGTCTCTGAGGAGCTTTTCTTTTTCATTTTATTTTTGTCACTCTTGTGTGCGTAGTGAAGAGTTTCTCAGAGTTTTTAATCTCAGGGCCCCTCTCTTAGGTATAATATTTTCTGCATTCAAGTTGAAAACTGAGAAATTTAAAAAATATTTTGAATTCATTTTAAACATAACAAATGATAGACCTATTACTTGTTAACATAAATAACACATTCTTAGGCAAGAGAAGTCTATTTTCCAAAGGAAAAACTTCAATGAAGAGAGTGGCATCGTTTTACATTTTGCAAATCTCTTCAAGGTCTGACATCATAGAAGACAGCTAGACTTGCATATTCCCCCTGAATTCAATCTCTTAAAATATGTTTTAGTTGAAGAAAATGAAGAAAATTGAACCTCATACATGTATTTGGAAAATGAAGTGTTATTTTATTGGCCTTCTCAAATAACTGTGGATAACCAAAACACAGCAAATATAGTTGCTTAAAGATTAGTTGCAGTGTGCAATCTAAAACTACATTAATTTTTCTTCCTTTTTTTTTTTTTTTTTTGAGACGGAATCTCAAAAGACTGGAGTGCAGCGGCGCAATCTTGGGTCACCGCAACCTCTGCCTCCCAGGTTCGAGCGATTCTCGTGCCTCAGCCTCAGGAGTAGCTGGGATTACAGGTGCACCGCCACGCCCTGCTAATTTTTGTATTTTTAGTAGAGTTGGGGTTTCGCTATGTTGGCCAAGCTGGTCTCTAACTCCTGACCTCAGGTGATCGCCCGCCTCTGTCTCCCAAAGTGCTGGGATTACAGGCGTGAGCCACCGTGCTCAGATAAATATACTTTTCATACTCTCATTACTTTAAAAACCATTGATTTATATTGTACTTGGAGTGGATATTTTACCCAGTCATGATTTTGTAACTTCATGCATTCCCACTTTGAAAATATTGCTTTGCTGAATTATGCAGGTCTTACAAACATTGACACATTTCATAAGACAGTTTCGAAAAGTACATTAGTTAATGTCACCACCTACCTTATCAATAAATTTTTAAATATTGTAAAGCTGTCAAGTTCATGGCAACGTATATAAGTTTTTCAACATCCTAAGATTCACTTAAAAATAAAATCTTATTGTATTCCTCATTTTTGAGAAAATGCTTTCTAAAGACCCAATTCTGAATTACCACAGTTTGTCTGTTATTCTTTCAAGTAAAAGTGATGTTACGTGAAATAGCAGCTAGTTGAGCTGAAACCGTCACACAAGGAAAATAAATATTTCCTCAAAACCATCACCAGGCCTCCACACGCAACAGAGTGCTTCACACGTGCTTCCCATGTTGTCACACTGAATGCTTAAAAGTTGTGTGCTTGAGAATTTAGTTCATCAAAATTAAAATGTATCTATCTATCTATCTATCTATCTATCTATCTATCTATCTATCTATCTATCTATATTTTTTGAGACGGAGTCTTGCTCTGTTACCAGGCTGGAGTGCAGTGGTGCAATCTGGGCTCATTGCAACCTCTGCCTCCCGGGTTCAAGTGATTTTCCTGCCTCAGCATCCTGAGTAACTGGGATTACAGGCATGCGCCACCACGCCCAGCTAATTTTTGTATTTTTAGTAGAGACAGGGTTTCACCATGTTGGCCAGGATGGTCTCGATTTCTTGAACCCATGATCCGCCCGTCTCAGCATCCCAAAATGCTGGGATTACAGGTGTAAGCCATGGCACCCGGCCTAAAATCTGTGTTTACTTATATCTGCATCTTACAGTTTCATCAAGGATCTTCTTAAATGAAACTGACTTTTTTTCCTGCAGGTGTATAAAGAATGATGATTTTCCTTACCATGCCACTCCCCGTCCCCCAGGCTAGGTTAGGAGCCTCTCGGAATACCTGCCCATGACCCTAGACTTCATCAGATTCTCTACCAGAGCAGGAATCACACTCTATCAGCACTGTGTTTATTTGTCTGTCTTCTCCTCTAAGCTGTAAGTTGAGTGCCTGCACTCTCCCTTATTGGTCTCTATAATAACATACAAGGAATATAGTTGACATGGAATAAAATGCATATGGAATAAAAATGTGTACAAAATGAAAGCAGCAAGATCTGAAGCTGTGTGAGATTTTATGACAGCATTTAAAAAGAGCTAATCACAAAAATGTCTCCCTAGAGAAGACAGGGTCCTCTGTTTTGTCTGGAACTTGGTGATTCTGGTGGTGTGGAATGCTTCTTCCTCAGTGCTGTAGGGCTCCAATAAAGAAAAGATGGACAAATATGTATCAGGGAACTAAAAAAAAAAACCTGGAAATCGGATGGGCAAGAGTGGGGTGGGGTGGAGTGAGAAGGGATTGGAGAAGAAATGTGAATTTCAGACCAGACTGTATCAAGGAAAACTCAGTTAATAGTGGAAAGTCTCCAAAATTTTATCATTTCATATCGATAAAAGATACTATCACCAATAAACTTATATTATGCCCTTTTATGCACCAAATAGTGCCCGCATTTACAAAGCAAAAACCATTAGAAGTAAGAAGTTGCTAGAAGCACAATTGTTGCAGCACTTGAAAATTAAGTGATTTGTTAAACAGGTAAATAGAAACATAAAATTGAATACTGTCCAAGGTTTTAATTCTGTATCTATACCTCTGTATATTAAACCTTATGTGTAAATTTGAAAAACATTAAAATACGAAGGCATAGCTTACATAAAGAAAACTGCACCCATGTAAAACTCAATGCTTTTTCATGAACTGAAAAGACTTGTACAGCCAGCACCCTCATCAAAAAAATACTGTGTCCGGAATTGGTGGGTCCTTGGTCTCACTGACTTCAAGAATGAAGCCGCAGACCCTTGTGGTGAGTGTTACAGTTCTTAAAGATAGTGTGTCTGAAGTTTGTTCCTTCTGATATTCGGACATGTTCGGAATTTCTTCTTTCTGGTGGGTTCGTGGTCTCACTGGCTTCAGGAGTGAAGCTGCAGACCTTTGCGGAGAGTGTTACAGCTCTTAAGGCAGTGCGTCTGGAGTTGTTCGTTCCTCCAGTCCGGAGTTGTTCATTCCTCCCAGTGGGTTCGTGGTCTCGCTGGCCTCAGGAGTGAAGCTGCAGACCTTCGCGGTGAGTGTTACAGCTCATAAAGGCAGTGGAGACCCAAAGAGTGAACAGCAGCAAGATTTATTTCAAAGAGGGAAAGAACAAAGCTTCTACAGTGTGGAAGGGGACCCTAGCGTGTTGCCACTGCTGGCTCGGGCAGCCTGCTTTTATTCCCTTATCTGGCCCCACCCACATCCTGCTGATTGGTCCATTTTACAGAGAGCTGATTGGTCTGTTTTACAGAGAGCTGGTGATTGTTCCGTTTTGACAGGGTGCTGACTGGTGCGTTTACAATCCTTGAGCCAGACACAAAAGTTCTCCAAGTACCCACAGAGCACTGATTGGTGCATTTACAAACCTTGAGCTAGACACAGGGTGCTGGTGGTGTGTTCGCAAACCCTGAGGTAGACACAGAGTGCTGATTGGTGTATATACAATCCCTCAGCTAGACATAAAGAGTCTCCAAGTCCTCACCAGATTAGCTAGACACAGAGTGCTGATTGGTGCATTTACAATCCCTTAGCTAGACATAAAGTTTATCCAAGTCCCCACTAGACTCAGGAGCCCAGCTGGCTTCACCTAGTGGATCCTGCACGGGGCCACAGGCGGAGCTGCCTGCCAGTCCCGATCCGTGCACCTACACTCCTCAGCCCTTGGGCAGTCGATAGGACGAGGCACCGTGGAGCAGGGGGCAGCCCTACTTGGGGAGGCTCGGGCCATGCAGGAGCCCACGGCAGCTGGGGGAGGCTCGGGCATGGCAGGCTGCTGGTCCCCAGCCCTGCCCTGCGGGGAGGCAGCTGAGGCCTGGTGAGAATTTGAGCACAGCGCCGGTGGGCCGGCACTGCTGAGGGACCTGGTGCACTCTCTGCAGCTGCTGGCCCAGGTGCTAAGCCCCTCACTGCCCAGGGCCGGTGCTGCCGGCCTGCTGCTCCGAGTGGGACGCCCGCCAAGCCCACGCCCACCCGGAACTTGTGCTGGCCTGCCAGCACCGTGTGCAGCCCCAGTTCCCGTCCGCGCCTCTCCCTCCACACCTCCCTGCAGGCTGAGGGAGCCGGCTCCAGCCTCGGCCAACCCAGAGAGGGGCTCCCACAGTGCAGCGGCAGGCTGAAGGGCTCCTCAAGCACGGCCAGGGTGGGCGCCGAGGCCGAGGAGGCGCCCAGAGCAAGCGAGGGCTGCGAGGGCTGCCAGCATGCTGTCACCTCTCAATACCAGCACCCCAGAAACCCCCATTGTGCTACCACCCAGGCAGTATTGTTCTCTCTCCAGGGTGATCCCCATGCTAACTTTTTCTATGGCTTAGTGAGTTATTAGAAGTCAGACTCTTTTTGTAACCTCCCATTAGGGCAGGAAATAGAAGCCTGTGCATATGCCCTAAGCCATCTGGGTCCCCTCCCTCCCCAGATGCTAACTACTCTCCTCATTTTACTGTATTCCTTTCCTTGCATTTCTTTATTTGTACGTTATACATCTACTCAAATCTTGCTCATTAAAATAAAAAAGACTGCTATGTGTTTCAGGTGCCTTGTGATCTATCGCTTCCCTTCCACATCTTACAATTTATTTGCTGAGGAATCTGAGTCCTTACGTGAGCAGGTTTTCCCACGGTTTGGATTATGCGGATTTCAGACTCATGGCACAATTAAACTGTATTAATGTGTTTTTACACTGCTGAAAAAGATTCCCTGAGACTGGGCAATTTACAAAAGAAAGAGGTTTATTGGACTTACAGTTCCATGTGGTGGGGGAGGCCTGACGATCATGGTGCAAGGTGAAAGGCACGTCTCACGTTGGGGCAGACAAAAGAAGAGAGCTTGTGCAGGGCAACTTTTTCTTTTAAAACCATCAGATCTCATGAGACATACTCACTATCATGAGAACAGCATGAGAAAGACCCGCCCCCATGATTCAATTACCTCCCACCAGGTTCCTCCCACAACACGTGGGAACTGTTACAATTCAAGATAAGATTTGGGTGCAGACACAGCCAAACCATATCATCAACATGTACCTTTTTTCTTTATTTGCTGCAAATTGGCAGCAGGATCTTGAAGTGTGATCCAGCCCAAGTACCACCCCTTGGTTAGACTCTAAGTGGTGACACGCTGTGCTTGCCCCAGGGGCACAGAGCACTCATTTCACACTCTTTTATTGATGTCAGTTCAAGCTTGCTTTGCAAATTTCCTGAAGGTTCCTAGTGGTGGTATCCTCATCCTGTCATTCAGTTTTATTTATTCTCTAAAATGTCTGTGTAAGGAAAAGCGTTCCTTCATCTCTTTGGGTATCCCAGGGTACCTTTTTATGAATTATAATTGAATGTAGAAAAGGCAGGAAAAATGTTTGATTCTTTCCTTTTGACTAGTTTTCATGATAATGACTCCTTGTCATCCTCAGAAGGTGATCGTTTTTAAAAATATTGCCATAAACTCATGCTTTAAAATATATTTGAAGGGTTTCAATTTATGGACATTTTTTTTTGGGTAGTAAAACAAATGATTCCTTCTGTGGCCAGTGGGAGCCCTTCCTGGTGGCTCCTGAATCCTTTGCACCTGGTGGCTTCTGGCAGCTGCTTTGCCATCTGATATTTCCAGGTAAACCTGGCTTGTCTTGTACATTTCCTGCTTCAGACCTGGAATCAGCCATTTTTATAAGAAGCCTATGTTTTGTTTCATTTTTTTTCTTTTTTTTAAACGAGAAATCATATTTTAGGGCCATGATCTGGGTGTTACATATACCTTACTAGTTTTATGATCATTGATTTTAGGCCTTTTCAGGGGACAGAACTAGATTTGAAGTAGAAGACAGAGCACCTCAGTCGTTCATGCTGATATTTCCATTTCAAATTTGGGACCACACTGTTTTTCTTTTTTCTTTTCTTTTCTTTTCTTTTCTTTTCTTTTCTTTTTCCCTTCCCTTCCCTTTCTCCCTTTCTCTCTCTCCGTTTCTCTCTCTCTCCCTTTCTCTTTCTTTCTTTCTTTCTTTCTTTCTTTCTTTCTTTCTTTCTTTCTTTCTTTCTTTCTTTCTTTCTTTCCTTTCCTTTCCTTTCCTTTCCCTTTCACTTTCTTTCCTTTCCCTTTCTTTCTCTCTCTCTCCCTTTCTTTCTTTCTTTCTTTCTTTCTTTCTTTCTTTCTTTCTTTCTTTCTTTCTTTCTTTTCTTTCTTTCTTTATTCTCCTTCCCTCTCTCCCTCTCTCTTTCTTTCTCTCTTTCTTTCCTTGACAGGGTCTCACTCTGTCACCAGGCTGAAGTTCAGTGGCATAATCTCAACTCATTGTAGCCACAACCTCCTGGGTTCAAGCGATCCTCTCACTTCAGCCTCCTGAGTAGCTGGGAGCACAGGTGCATGCCACCACGCCCAGCTAATTTTTGTATTTTTTGTAGAGACGGGATTTCGCCAAGTTGGTCAGGCTGGTCTCGAACTCCTGACCTCAAGTGATCCTCCCTCCTTGGCCTCCCA
Organism: Homo sapiens; assembly: GCF_000001405.40. Classification (NCBI taxonomy): domain Eukaryota; kingdom Metazoa; phylum Chordata; class Mammalia; order Primates; family Hominidae; genus Homo; species Homo sapiens. Next base: position 6,150,278 of record NC_000008.11, on the reverse strand, counting down.
AAGTGCTGGGATTACAGGTGTGAGCCACTGTGCAAGCCAAGGGACCACACTGTTTCTATCTGACCACTTACTTATATTACATCTATATCTCATTTCTTCTCACTGACAATCCTGGTTTTCAAGGATATAGCATAAATATCAGAAAACTTTTCTTTAAAGGACAAGATAGCATGTATTTCAGGCTTGCAGGGCACATGGTCTCTGTTGTAACCACTCAACTCTGTCAGTGCACTGTGAAAGCAGCCACTGACCCTATGTAAATGAATGGGCATGGCTGTGTTCCAATAAAACTTTATTTACAAAACAGGGATAATTTGAAGACTCCTGATACAGGAGAAAAAATAATTAGAATATTCCATAATTATTTGCTTTATCCCACTTTGCAGATCTCAGAATAGCAATACTGATCCACTTACTATTGATCTCTCAGGTTGAAGTGTAATCCCCAGTGTTAGAGGTGTGGCCTGGAGGGAGGTGATTGGATTATGGGGGTGAGTTTCTCATGAATGGTTTAGCAGTGTCCCCTTGGTGCTGTCCTGCAGTAGTGAGTGAGTTGTCACGAGATCTGGCTGCTTAAAAGTGGGTGGCATCCCCCTCCCCTCTCTTGCTCCTGCTCTGGCCATGTCATGCACCTGCTCCCTCTCTGCCTTCTACCATGATTTTGAGTTTCCTGAGGCCTCCACAGTCATGCTTCCTGTACAGGCTGCCGGACAGTGACCCAGTTAAACCTCTTTGCTTTATAAATTACCCGGTCTTAGGTATTTCTTTATAGCAATGTGAGAATGGACTAATACAACTGTAAATTTTGATTTCCTGAACATACAAATATTTATATTTGCTATGCCCATTTTCCCCATCTTGTACATGCTTTTCCTATATCTGTGCTGTAGATCATATGGCCATTACAGACTATGATCTCTCCCTTTTTAGCCTCATTTAACCTTGTTCCACCAAGTAACTACATATTTAACTACTAGTTAAGTCAATATATCTCTAGTTATTTTATTTGCCCTAAGCTTGTTTTCTGGTAGATTCCTTAGGAAGTTTTCGTGGAAGCAGTAGTCTCAGAATTACTCAAGTGTACATTATACTGGAAGATCAGATTTGCTGAGTACAAAATTCTAGGCTCATTTTTTTTTCTCTTGACAACCTTAACTATGTTATTCTGCTCTTCAGGGATAAAGCATTAGTGTAGAAAATCTGATAATAAGCCAGTTTTGTTTTCTTAATATGTTAAGTGACCCTTTCACGTACATGTCCAATGGATTTTTAAAAAACAAGTTAAGTAATTTTAATAGTAAATGTCTTGGTGCTGGTTATTCTCGGGTGGTATTTGTAGGACTCAGTGTATTTAGTATGTGAGTTCAAATATTTTTTGTTTCACGAAAGTTTCTTTGAACTATAGTTTTTATTATTTGTTGTATGGCTTTTCTTTAGTTTTCTTCCTCAGGGACTCCTTTTAAACATATGTTGAATTGTTATTGCCTATCTTCAAGATTTTTCACTTTTTTCTGTAACTTTTTTTTTATCATTTTGGATTATGATTTTTTTTCACTTTTCTACTCTTAAGGTGTTCTGTGTTGTGTTATTTTTTCTTGTGTTCCTTCTAGTTTAGTCTTTATTTCTAAAATGCTTTTCTTTTATTCTAATTGTTTTTGAGTTCCGCCGTCTCATTATTGAATGTTTCTATCTATTATTCATGGGTTTAAAAAAATGCCTTTTACTGTTCTCCTAAATGTTTAAATGGTTTAGAAATAGTAAGTTACAGTTTTGATATTTTTGGTGTCTTTTTATAGTAGGGTTGTTATTCTGCTCCATATTTGTAGTTTTCTTAAAGTAATTTTGTTACTTGAGATACTTTTCTACCCAGTTTGTTTCGTGTGAAATACGTTTCCTTAATGTTCAGAACTTTGTTCAGACATCTTTTGCAACGTCAAAGAGCTTCCTCTTCAGTTTCCCCCAGTGTGAGAAGGAGTGGTGGTCTGGGCTCTGCACTCTCCTGTTCCTCTTCCCCTCCATTCTTTTATTGAAATCTTCTCCTTCCTTCATGTGTGGTTTCTTTGCCCTTCTCCATTCTGATTGCATTTCTAGCATTTTCTCCCGGGTTCGGGGGAAGGGGGAGCAGGTCAGTTTTAGGAGTTCCCAGGTCACCCTGGTGCAGCCTGCGACCCCTGGGGTCTTGCACTCACTGTCATTGAGCAGGGAAGCCCTCCTGGATTCATTCACTGGTCTCAGCTCCAACCCCTCTCCTTTCCCAAGGACACCTATGGACTACTGTTGGATTTTCTGTTCTTAGATCTTCCTTTTTGCCTTTCTTTCCCATGCAAATACTTATGATAGGCCCGTCTTGTGCTGGAGGTAATTTGTCCCCATCTACTTTTATTTTAGAGTCTGTGGAGATACCTTAGCATCTAGTTTTATTGTAAAAATTGACCATAGATTTTTTTTTTCTTTTGGTTTGGATAACTAAGTGCTCTGTCTGTTTTTATGTGTAGATTTGGGAAAATAAAACAACCAGGCTGACATCACTACGACCACCTTTTAATTCTAAGCAGATGCTTTTCTAGGGAGGATCATAATTTCTAAAAATTAAAAACAAGAAATGACCTAGACTCCTAGGTCTAGGTCAAACCTAGAAAAGGTGCCAACAAAAACGTCCTCTCTAAAGGACATGTTTCGTGTCCAGATAGCTTCACTGTTAAATTTGGTCAAAATTTTTAGGCCAATGATTCCTATGAAATGTAAACTTATAGAATTAAACAAATATTAAAAATTACCAAACTCATCCTATTTAGAAAACATCTTTATTTTTATTCTGTTTGTAAAAGATATGAATATATAAAATAAACTTTATACATTTATAAAAATAAAAAGTTATAAAGTCAATCCTGCAGAAATATGTAACAAGAAAAGCAACGATCCCCAGTATATTTGTTGGGGCTGTCATAACATGGTACCATAGGATGGGTGGCTTAAACAGCAGAAATTCATTTTCTCACAGTACTGGAGACTAGAGGTTCAATATCAAGGTGCTGGCAGGGTTGGTTCTTCTGAAGGCTATGAGGACGATACATCTCATGCCTCTTCCCCAGCTTTTGGTGGCTTTCTGGCAATCTTTGGCATCTCTTGGCTTGCAGAAGCATCACTTGATCCCTGCCTTCATCTTCATGTGGTGTTCTTTTTTGTGTGTTTGTGTGTATGTTTTTGTCCACATTTTCCTTTTTGATAAGACACTAGTTATGTTAGATTAGGAACTCATCTTCCTTGGTGAGTCCTATAAAAAAGGAAATGTGTCTTATCAAAAAGGAAACCTTAACTAATTACATCTTGAGTAACTACATCTTCAATGACCTTATTTCCAAATCATGTTCTGAAGCACTAGGGTTAGGACTTCAGTGTATGAATTTTTGTGGGACACAATTCAACCCATAGCATTCAGCAATCCATTTTTTTTCTTAACATTGTGGAACAACTAGAAATAAGGTATATTTGCAGTTTGCTAAATTGTCTTCTGAGTTTTGTTTTCTTCTCTCTTGTTAGTTTGGTGACTATGCAGCCACCGTATAGGTCTTCACACTTCTCAATATTCATGCTCGTCTTTGTCCTTAACAGAACCCCGTTCTTATTGAGGAATATAAATATGCTTGGCTTAAAGACTATTTTTTTCACCTTCCCTTGCATTTATGTGTAAACAATGGGATGTAAGACAACTTAGCTGAACATTTCTCCCTTTTACTTCTCTTTTTTGTGCTTGGAAGCAGATGTGATGGCTGAAGCTGCAATGCCTATCTTATGAACATGGGATGATTTTGAGATAAATACCACAGGCTGAAAGGAAAAACAGGAAGAATAAGCCCGTATTTCTATACCAATTTGAACTGTACTAGCCTTGGACTCCCTGTCTCTAGCTTCAGTTTATTTGGAAAAAAAAAAAAAAGTAAATCTCTTAAAGTGTTAAACCATTACAATTTGGTTTTCTTTCAGTATCAGCTAAACCTAATCCTAGTTGACACAGACATATCAAGTAATATTCTTAAACCCATATTCCTTAATTCATCGATTTTAAAAATGAAACTGAATATATTGATTTCTCCCATGAAAGATTAACAAATCAGCACATTTTCCTTATATCTCCACTTTGTAACCTGTATTCATCAGTTGGCTGCATCCACCTGCTGACAGTGTGGATTTTATTGCAGTCCACAATCATCAAATTATTTATACATTACTTCAAGAATGTTATAATAGCATGTCATGGCATTTTAACTCTATTTACCCCAACTGTTTTAACTTATCCTACGGTTTTTAAAAAATTTTAAATTTTATTTATTTATTTATTTATTTTTTGAGATGGAGTTTAGGTCTTGTCACCCAGGCTGGAGTGCAATGGCATGATCTCGGCTCACTGCAACCTCCGTTTCCTGAGTTCAAGCGATTCTCCTGCCTCAGCCTCCCAAGTAGCTGGGATTACAGGCACCTGCCCCCATGTCCCACTAATTTTTTGTGTTTTTAGTAGACACAGGGTTTCACCATGTTGGACAGGCTGGTCTCGAACTCCTGATCTCAGGTGATCTGCCCAGCTCAGCCTCCCAAAATGCTGGGATTACAGGCACGAGCCACTGTGCCCAGCCAACTTATCTTATGTTTAATTGAGTTTAACATTCACTATGATTTCTTTCATACACATGATTTCTGCATTTGTGATTTAATACTTTATTTGGCATCATTTCAGTGTCAATTTATTACAGGTGTTTGAAATCAGAAAATAAGTGAGGCTTAATCAAGATAGGAGTTTATTTCTCTCTCGCAAAAGAAGTCTGGAAGCAGGGTGGCCCGGGCTGTGACTGTGTCTTCATGAAGTAAATCCTAAAGATCTAGACTGCTGGCACTCTGGCCTCCTCGGAAGAAGGAGAGAGACAGAGGACAGGCCCCTCCCTGTAAGCCCCTCACAGCACTTCTTGGATTCCTTTAGAGAGAACTTGATCAACATGGCAACAGCTGAATGGAAGGGAATTTGGAAAGTGTCATTGTAACTCTGGATGGCTGTGTGCCTTCTTCATTTCAGAGTTTAGTCCCTGACGGAAGCAGGAGACACAACCAGCAGACTCTGCCATAGTCTTCGCATATATATCCCATGTGTCGCCTCTATCCTCAGTCCTTGGAAAGGTAGGAATGTTTTCTTTTTCCTTGCCAATAAATGATGACTCATAAAATTGACATGGAATACTTGCAAACCATTTTTTTTCGTTACCACTGTGCAAGCATATCTTCATTCTTTTGTGGCATCCAGTACTGCTGAGATACCTGAGGCTAAAATTTTCTCTAAACTGCTGGTGATTTGTTATTATGTCAAGATGCTGAAGGAGTCTTCTTTTATATTGAATTAAGCAATGAATTCTCTATTAATTTTACTGGAAGGATGGGGTATTTTCTTTTTTCTTTTTTCCCAAATCTACAGATTCCTGTTTTTTGTTTTGTTTTGTTTGTTTGTTTTTTCCTGGAAAGTTTTCTCACAGTAAAACTGGTTATTTTTTGTTGCCTCTGTTTTATTTTCTTCTTCAGGAACAATTTTGAACATTTTGATTTTCTTTTATTTGTCCTTCTTGTAATCGTTTTTCACATTTATCTGTTTGGTTTTTCACTGCTTTCTCCACAGATAAATGGTCGTTGTGATGTCTCTTATCCACAGATAAATGGTGGATGTTACGTCTCAACATCGCTGAGTTAATTTTAAACAGCATCAATGATACATTCTGTGTCAAATATGGCTTCCAAATTTTGTCACAAATTTTGTCTTTTTTTATTTCCCTTATCACCTCTGACAGTTTATTTTTTATATCGTTCGGAGTCCTATCATCTGGTTGTTTTTATTTTGAAATAATCTCCTGCTTGCTAAAATGTTGCAGGACTAGTTCAAAGAGCTTTATTTTTGAACAATTTGTAAGTTGCAGCACAATGTCCATGAGCCCAAATACTTTAGCAAATATTTCCTACAACCTGGGACACTCCTCTGCATAATCCCAATGCAACCATCAAAATCAGAAAATCAACATTAATATAGTATTACAATCTAACCTACAGACTCAATCCAAGGTTCCCGTCATTGCAATAATGTCCTTTCTAGTAGGAGGATTCAATCCGGTCCACACGTTGAATTTAGCTGTCCTACATTTTTAGTTTCTTTCTGGCTGGACGTCTTCTGTGTCTTTTCTTGTCTTTCAAGACCTTGACATTTTTGTATGTTAGAGGCCTGTTGTCTTAAAGAATGCTCCTCGATTTGGTTTTGTCTGATGATTACACTCAGATTATGCAATTTTGGTGGCAATCTCATGAAGTGACAATATGTTCCTTTCATGCATCCTACCACAAAATAGGTGGTTGCGGTTTGTCGAGTTACTGGCGAAGTTAATTAACCTTGATCACTTGGTTAAAGAGGTGCCTGCCAGATTTCCTCTACGGCACGGAGGCGTACTAAGAGTATGGACTGTCGCATTTCTCTTGAACTTTCACCCACCAATTCAGCATCATTGGGTGAATTCGTACAACGATTCACTAATTGTATTCCACTGACGGAGGAAAAAAAGCATTCTCCACTTTGCATTTATTTACTCATTTACTTACCTCAGCATAGACTCATGGATTCCTATTTCATGCGGTAGTGTCATTATTTCCTTGCTCAAATTGTCTGATGTGGCCCCTGGGATCCCCTTCATGACATGGCCAGTGGGATCCCTTTGTGCTGGTTTCTGTAGGGTCTTCTCACCCTTGTGCGGAACACTTCCTCACATCTGGAATGACAATGAGTCCCAGGCTCATCCTGAAGTTTCCCTGCCCTAGTCCCAAATCCACCATTTCCGCATTGAGTCTTTTTTGTTTGTTTTGTGTTTAGTTTTTGAATGTAGGGAATAATATTTGACAGTATACATGTAACGCTTTTGTCATTAAAATATGCATATTTCCTAAAAAGTAAAAAGGATTGATATTCAAACTGGGCAGATAACAATAAAGTGAAATATTCAGCAGGTTGAAAGCAAAATTACAACAGACTCTAGCTCAAAGCAAAATGAATCAATTCTGCTAATATTTGCATGCTGGTGTTGAACATTTCCTTACTTTCTATGTCAAATTAAAATTAGTATCCATATGGGCTTTTTAAAGTAAAGTGTTTTGCATGGAAATTGATCAACAATAAAAGGCATTTGTTGAAGCTAAAGAAAAAGTCATTAAGATAACGAAGGACTAGAACTTCATATTGTACACTGGCACAGCACTTGGTAACTGCAATACTGGACGATGCCTTCCACTCGTGTGTGTGTGTGTGTGTGTGTGTGTGAGAGAGAGAGAGAGAGAGAGAGAGAGAGACAGGGTCTCACTCTGTTGCCCAGGCTGGAGCCCAGTGGTGCAATCTCAGCTCACTGCAGCCTTGACCTCCTGGCTCAAGTGATCCTCCCTCCTCAGCCTCCCAAGTAGGTGGGACTACAGGCGCACCACCACACCCAGCTAATTTTTGTATTTTTTGTAGAGATGGGTTTTTGCCATGTTGTCCAGCCTGGACTTGAACTCCTGAGCCACTTTTAAACAAACTTAAAGAACTACCTCCAGATTCAGTATCAACATCCATAAAGAAAGCTCCAGCAACGGGAACAGCTTCTACCTCTCCCGACCTGCTGATTGGGAGACCTCCTCGTGACAACTGTCATGCCCTGGCAGCCTCTACCAGTCACCCATGTGACAAGTGATATTTAAGTGCAAGTTATACAACACCATTTGGCTAGTTTTGGCAAGACCAGAATAGAAGTGCTTGGTTTTGTCCATTTATGCTTTCCATCTTCATTAAGAGAATGTGGTCAAAAGATGGTGGTCTTGCAACACTCCATTAAGTAATGATTTGTAGAAAGTAGATATCATCCATTTCTTCTACAAACAGAGTGAGCGTAAGAGGAAATTCTTTTAGCTTTGACAACTGTTGGCCAGCAGAAGATAAAACCACTTCAGAGAACCAAAGCTTAATGTCAGGGATACTGAATAAATAATTTAATAGAGTTAAACCTGAAGTGGTGGAACACTTTCTGGACTCCATTGCCAATATCATGAGGTTAAACATCACCATTTGGGTTTAAGGTGGTGCCCAAAGGTTAGGAGCTGGTCAGTCAATTTCCCTACCCGCCCCCCCAAGGCCATTTCCTCCATGATGCCCTCCCTGATATGCATGGATACATGCCTCTTCCTTCCTCTGCTTCTTGTAGCCTCTGAACACTGCTTTACCATCATCACATCGGATTATAACTTTTTTCCTAAACATCTGTCTTCCCAGAGAGATACAAAATTCCTCACAGCTGAGGACGAAATCTGATTCATTTTTCTTTTCCTTTGTGGAGCGCAAAACTTGGCATATAGCAGCTTCACCAAAATGCAGTTTGAAGGAACTTTTCCTTTCTTAATGTTTACTTAGTACTCTTTTGTCCCTCTAAGTGTGCATTTATTTTATACTATTGATTTAGGGAGTAAGTATGTTTCTCTCCTCCAGTGAGTTGTGATCTTCTCGAGGACTGGATTTTATCCACATCTTCCTACTCTAGTACATGCTCAATACTCTTTTCACTGGATTACATTAATAACTTTATTTTTCTAAAGATTGCAGAGATAGCATTCATTTAGCTTGTGTTCTTTCATCTAGTGATTCCTTCAGATAAAAGGGGTTGTTGATTCTTGTTGGATGGGTTAGGAGAATAGATTATTGATCATGGATTTCTCTAGCAAAACCAGAGGGCAGACTTTAGGATGATTGTATCAACACCTGCATCTTATCTACATTTTAGGTTTTCTACCGACTGGCAAAGAGACACCCTTACTATGTGTTGTTGACTCATGGACTTTAGATTGAGCCCTGTTTGGGCAATGGCCCAGGGAGCTGGGAAGGATCAAGAAGGAGAGAGTCTAGCTTCTAATTAAAATTCCCCAGTTCTGTGCACCTGCAAAGCCTCAAACCCCATATCCCTTTTCCTAAGACAAACTGGGTCACACACTCCCCTCTTAGCATCCAAATACTCACAGCTATTCTTTTGTGATTTTCTTTCCTTTCAGGGCTGTTTTAAATTTTTTTTTAAAATTTATTATTATTATTATTTTATTTCCATAGGTTTTTTTGGGAACAGGTGGTGTTTGGTTACATGAGTAAGTTCTTTAGTGGTGATTTCTGAGATTTTGGTGCACCCATCACCCAAGCAGTGTACACTGTACCCAATTTGTAGTCCTTTATCCCTCACCCCCCACCCCCGCACCCTTTTCCCATGTCCCCGAAGTCCATTGTATCTTTCTTATGCCTTTGCATCTTCAGGGCTGCTTTTAAAGTTCCCTTGAGGAGATGGCACTTGTAGAGTCAGAGAACTAGAAAACTTGTTTGCCCCAGGCCTCCTGTATCCGAGGCTTATCCCCACCAGTCAAGTCCTAGTGTAACTAATAGGTTGTTTCAGATCCTAACATGAAAACTGCAAAAACAATTTTTCAATTTTTTTAGGTGTGTTCACCTGGGTAGTTAACGGTAATCAGTAGCTGCAAGTGTGTGTTCCCCAAGGGCCAGGTGCCTTCGCTCTCTGGGTGTATATTCACTGATAGAGATACCTATATTTTAGTTTATAGCTGTATGAAATTTTATATACATACATATATATGCATGTTCTCATTTAATAATTGAAACGCCCCTGTGAGGTAAGCACTGTCACCCCTGTTTTATAGTGAGAAGATGGAGGCCTGGAGTGATTAAGTAACTAGCCTAAGAATATTCAACTAGTAAATGGGTTAGCCAGGACTGGAATGTAAGTATTTCTGATTCCAAAGCCGTTGCGTTTCCACGTTTCTATATTAGCATCTGGGGATATTGCTGATACTCAAAGCATAGAGTTTGGGTCTTTGGCTGTGTCTTCAGGATGGGGCAGACAGGGGCAGGAGGTTACAAGCTGAGAGTCACTGAACCTGTCCCGACTCAGGGAAAGCGCCCCTGCCTCGGGGGTCAACCTTTCCGAAGACTGGGGGCACTGAGGGGTGCAAAACCGCCTGGCATTCCTGGGCTGCCTTTGCCAGGGCCACTCCCCGAGGGCTTTGAGGGATCTTTGAACGTTGTGCCCATCGCTGCTGCCGCTAGGGGGCCCAGGAGGGCCGCGGTTTGGAGCTGCTCTGTTTACACAAAGGGAATAGGGTCCCAGTGGGTGTTGCCGTTCGTCCATGACAGCCCACTGGATCAGGTCCCACAGTGCAAGCAATAACGTTTTGGGGGAAAAGTGAAGCTGCTTGGCTTTCCTAAGTACAAATCTCTGAAAAAAGAAATACTTCCTTCTTTATATTTGAGTTTCTCAAAGCTGAGATGGAGTCTTACATCAATTACAGTGATTTTAACTCTAACTGGCCTCTTGAAAGGAAGTACAACGTCCAGAGGAGAGAGTTGCAGACATTTGCAAGCCCACATCCCATTGTAAATGCTGTAATCATGCCGTCAAACCCAAGTCAGAAGGAAGATTTTTAAAGATTAGCTCATTTGGTCCCATTTATTGAGCATTTACACTCACTGTACCGGGTACTTAATATATGTTATCTCATGTTATCTCACTCATTTGTCATCCCAAAGCTAAAAAGCGGTCTTAGCCCCACTTTACAGATGAGGAAACTGAGGCTCAGACAGGACAGTCATCCTGTCCCGGGGTGGGGCCGGATTTGCTTATGGTCTGTGAACAGTGATACTGCAGGTCTACAGATCACGCTTTGAGTAGCAATCCTCTGACTTTACAGAAGGGGAAACTGAGACCAGAGAGGGAGTTCCCTCTTCTCCAGGTCATTCATGCTTGACTGCTGTGTCTAGACTGTGGAATGCATTTGACCTTGGCCAGAGCAGGTCCAGGCTGTGGGCACAGGGCCTTGGGTTTTGCCTCAGACTCAGCCCCATTCTGCCCTCTTGGAAGACTCAATGATTGTCTCTGCAGTTGGACCAAGTGCCTGACCATCAGGCACCATCCTTTCCATTAGGCACACACGAGATTCACGTTCAGAATTATGTTGATGTAGTGTAGTGTATGTTGATGATGTGTACTGAGAAATATATGGTGAACTAGAGCAAGGGCCGGACTCAGGGCTCACTGTAGACCACTGCTGGAAGGCCAGGGCATGACCTCAGTTAAGAAAGAGTCTATCAAAATGTAGCTGATAATGACTTTATTATTTCCCTCTGCAAAGTAGACCATTGTGTTGGGGTAAGTGACAGTTGTGCCCTTGTCAATAAGATCATTGCAGAGGCCTGTCCCCATTACAGGGTGGTACGGAGCAGATGGTAATGCTGGGTGTGTGGTGGAAGCAGTCACTAAGGCTGCCCATTTGGCTGGAGTCACCTGGTCGGGATGGAATGCCCTCCACCCAGTTTTGTGACGCCTCCGCACAAACTAAAGAAACTCATCCAAAAGGGTTAGTGTAGCCTGAGTGTCTCCCCACAATGGAAAGGAATTATAGAGACTTCACCCAGGGAGCAGGGCAATGCCAGAATGTCACCTGGTAGGGCACAAACCCAGGAGACCCCTTCTAACAAGAAGACACATCAGGATTCTGGGTGCTCATCAGACTGCAGTGCAGAGGTGGACTCTCTGAAGTCCTCACCAGAGAGGACAGCTCCAAGCTCCCTCATTGACTTGTGTGAAGTCTGCAGCTTCCGGCAGCCATGAGCCTGCCATTCTCTATGGCTACCACTCCACTTGCAGTATGGCAATGAGAGAAAGATGACTTGTAGTCATTAAATGAAAGAAAATCTTTATTACCATTATTATTACTCTCCCTGAGGAAAATTAGATCAGGTCTCTGGTGAATTCTGATTGGCTGGGTGCACTGGCTGCCCTGTTTGCTTCTCTGTTCTCACGGATTCTCTGCAACTTGGCAGGTGATTCCCTATTACTTTTCTGAAATGCAGGTTGAAATGCACTGTAGGGTAAATTTGGTTCCCCTGTCAGCTAATTAACTCTTAAAATAGACCCACCAGCTTTCATTTTCAGGAAAATAATTACTTGTTGAAATAACACACCTATTTCTAATCCAGTGGCTTATTATTTTAGCTAACTGGAAAAAAAAATACAAAAGAAAAGCAGAAAAGCCCATATCTAGAACAGGACAATAGCGGAAGTGCATAGGAGGCAGCAATGTGGGGCTCAAGAGGTGACAGGTGAGTAGGGGCACCTGGAAGAGAGTGTTTTGGGTGCAGAAAACAATGTGCTGACGACAACGGGCCAATGCAGCTTCGATTCCTTTCTTCAAGTTGGTTTTCAGAGGGCACCAAGGTCCACAATGATCCGTTTCTCAGGGTGGTTTCCAGGAGTTTGTGTTTAAATAAACACCTTGCATGACCTTTGCAAAGAAAGTTTGAGAACTGCTACCTGCTACTTGCAATTAAAACCTGTCTTCTTGAAATGGTGGCATGTTAAGATGGGAGAGGCCACACAGATAATTTTATAGCCCAAGAATCCAAGGTCCGGGGAGGTTGAGTGATCAGAGCTCCAGGTTGCTCCTTCTTGTTTGTCAGGCCCATTGCACACATTCAGGTTTACGTTCCTGTTCTGCGTACTCTGTTCTGGTCTCAGAACCACAGAATCCAGAGAGGTAGAAGAGGCGGCATGAATGAACTGCAGACTTGCTGTTGATTCTGTGTGTGTGTGTGAGTGTGTACACACACATATATATACACAGAACTGTTTTACCAGCTCTGAATATTCAACTGATTTAAGCCACTCCTCGCTAGTGTTCCAAACTCAGGTTCAAGTTTTTCCAATAGTATATGATTCAATCATTGAAAAGAAGTGAAATGTACATTTAACATTCTGGTGATCAATGGATGTATTTTTCTACGTAGAAATGTATTTCCATTGTGACCCCCTCACTTATTATTTTTAATTGTTGCATAGTAGATAGCCACACTTTCAGGGGTCCATGTGATAATATATTCATATAATTTGTAAGAATCAAATTGGTGTACTTGGGATATCTGTCATTTTCAATATTTGTCCTTTTTTAATGCTAGAAGCGCTTGAATTATTCTCTTCTAGCTATTTTGAAACGTACAATAGATTATTGAGAACTCTAATTACCCTACTGATCTATTGGACACTGGTTCTTACTCCTTCTATCAAACCATATATGTGAACCTATTAATCAACTTCTTAGAAGCTCATTTTGACGTAGCTTGTGGGACATACATTTTGGTAACAACGATTGTTAACAGGGCACATGCTATGTGCTGGCCACCGCATAACCGCTTTACACTCATCATTTCTTTTAGTTCACAACAAAAATAAGGCTGAGGCTGGTAGTATTTTAATCTCCCTGTGCAGATGAGAAAATAAATGTTGAGACAATAAGTTTCCCACCCAAGTTGACACACTGACAGGCAGAAGAGTTGGAGATTTAAGTCTTGATGAGTCAGTCCTTAGAGCTCGAGTTTTTAAGCCCACTCTGACAAAGCAAGCCCACCCATTGTTCCCTCCACATGTAATGACATCACAGAATACAGACTTCATGGCATCACGTTGTGAGTTCTGTGTGGAGCATTTTAAGAGGAATCTGTCTGCGTACCCTAAGTGATGGAAAAGCCGCTTGTAGATTCATGGGAGTCCTGACGGGTGGCTGCACTTAGGTGAGAAATGAGTTAAATGCAATCACCCTACCAGTTGTGGGGGTCGGGGGGTGCGGGTGGTGGTGGTGGGGGGGCGCGGGGGGAGGGCGGCAAGCTCCAGGCTGGCCATGACTCACCTACATAGAGACAAGCACACACTTACAAGCCAAGAAGCGAGTTTGGCAAGTTTGGCCGAGAGCAACAAAGGGATGGAATGCTTCCAGAAGGAGCTCTCTGAAGTGCCTGAAGGGCAAGACTGAGAGTGACTGAGGGAGAGCTGCATTCAGAGCAGCTAGTGTTCAGTCTTGGAAGATGCCACGGGGTCTTTCTTTTAAATCTCTGCAGTTTCAGAAAGCAGGCTACACCTGGCACTTGTGATAGCCAGAGCAAAGGAAGCTGGTGGAGAAAGAAATGTGTCTGTAACACAGAGTTCCAAAAACAGCATTCTGCCAGCTCTCAATCCTGCCCTTTCCTGATTGTGACTTGAGAGAGAACGAAGTTGCCCTGGAGTCAGAGAAGGCGCCTTCTCTGAAAGAATGTCTCCCCCAGCTTGGCAGAGACAACGGTTGCTTTGAAACACAATCGCACCATCTCTATATTGTGATTTTTTAATTTTAGAAATGATTTACAGCCTCATTCTTCTCAGAATTTGAAAGTAGAATTCTATGAAAGCCAAAAAATTTGAATACAAGAAAACTCATTATTCCCTCTACAAATCCACTCCACCTTGTTCCTTTTCTCAGAGAATCACTGTGGCACCTACCCATTTGTCCAAGTCCGAGACCTGGGCTCTCCCACGCTCAATGCACGACATCCACTCACTTCCCGTCTTGGTGGTTCTGCCCTCAGGAGTCTGAGGCCTGTTCCCTCTTCTCTCTTCCATCTGCCACCATCTGGTTTGTATCCTCCTTGTTTTCCACCACACTTTCTACTTAGACTACCTTCTTTGTCAGAGGAATGGCCACTTGCATGAGACTTGTGAGACATATTAACTCAAATTCAAATTTTAGACGTTATGCATATACAGCGGAACCCCCCCACGAACATCCCGATAACTAACACACATGTCTGACTTGCACCGTGGCTCCTGACTTCAATTCCTTGGTTTAGGGGCAGTCAACAGTGGAGGGGAAAGCCGGGAAACGCTGCGTTTAGGCTGGATCCTGATGCCTGAGCAGGGGTTTCCTAGAGGGAGGAAAGGCGTAGTGATCCAGTACCTCTTTCATAAACTTAGTGTTAAATAGTGGACAGACTTAACCAAAGGAGGGGGAGAGAAGAGAAGAAAGAAATGAAGATGACATGCCACTGAGGCGCGTGCCATCAGACTGTGGAAGAGACTCTCGGTCCAAATGCATGTTTCCTGAACTTCAGCCTGCCTCCAGAGAAAACCCACAGGATTTTAAAAAGAGAGGGGCGAAACTGCCGGGCAACTTTATGAGCTTTATGGGTATGCTAACAAAGAAATGCTCCTCCAAAACACCCAGCGCCTGGCTGGTAGGAGCACTGCTGGGATCAGTCATTCATGCCTTATTTATTACACACCTTGTTGTGTGAAGCAGCTCCATTTGGGGCCATCTAGTCCTGTTTTAAAGCCACTCTTGATTTAAAGCCAAACCATTTCATTGAAAGAGCTTCTATTCTAACGAAGACATACTGGTTATGTGTGTCTTGAATCTTTCAAAGGAAGAGTGATGCAATACCGGGGGTCTGCTGTTTTAGCAGAGGCAGTGTTTCTCATGGAGATCTTCCTCACAGCAGCCCCTTCTATCAGGCACTGCATTTGCATTTTAGAACAATTTTCCCCCCTGATTACCAGCTTGAACTGAGTGAGGAAAAGGGAGGATGAAAGAATGCAACCGAATGCCCCTGCCAAACCCAGCCACCTGTTAATGAAGCTCAGCTCCTCCCCTCTTCCCTTCTCATTTCATGGAAATGGAGAGTGCAGGACTGAGATTTATGCATTGGGAATGAAGCAGGAGGGTTTTTCCAAGCGCTGGCCAGAACGCTGAAATCAAACCTGTTTCAGTGAAAAGTGCATTGTTGCTCTTGTTTAAGAGGCATTCACAGGCAATAAGCAAATCACCTCAGGATGAATACATTTGGTTCCTGATTCTGAATCTGTGGAAAGATTGTTAAAATATAAAGCAATATACACCAGTTACTGACCCACTGGGAAATTCTGTAGCTCCATAAAGCACGTTAAAACATTGTAGTTATTTCAGTAAGTCTGTGTTTGCAGGCTGAGATGCTACGGAATCGGGCAGGGAAGGAGAATGCCTTGCAATTAGATGAATTTGCCAAGAGATTTTAAGTGGCATGAAATGCCTGGTATCAGCCTCTGGGAATCAGCGTAACATTCTTCCCTGTTGGAGTTTATTCCACTAGGATGTTATCATCGGTGCCCTAGCAGGACTCCCAGAACCCTTGGGAAGTATTTTTGGATGCAACATTACTGGAGGTCATTTTAACAGAAAAGTGAAAGCTTTTCTTTGCTGGGGCCAATCCAAACATAAACAGTTCAGGCAATTTTGGTTTTCTTTAGAACTTCAAAGGCCTTTGCTACTCTTGGGACAGTTCCCCTGGGCATGGAAATATGCGAGTGACATAGTCGTGATGCAAGAGGCAGCGTGTGACTGCGTTGCATTACGTGGGTAGCTTTCAAAATAGGCTCATGCAGGTTAAAATGTGAGCATATTTAGATGGCTTTTCCAAAGTGATCACTTAAGGCCCTTAAAAAACTCAGACAGTAGCATGCTGTTGGGTGTCTGATTTATATCTGGTGGTGGACTTCTGGATTGGAACCAGAAATCATTGTAAGTGCAGTTTGTTAGTGTTCTATTTATTCATTTATTTATTTTCTCTCTCTTTTTCTTTGTGGCCTGGACTCTTCTGGGCCCACGAATGCTGGGAATTCTAGGATCTTACATCATGGGAGGTAGTCTTAAAAGTGAAGCCCCTCAAGGGGCTTGCGGAGTTTTAAAGTTGGGACACAAGGGTGGGAAGGTCTGGGTAAGAAGGAGGCAGGTGTGGGCAACAGCAGCAGAGGGCTCAGTGTTGGTCCGATGCCCACTTTCTGGGACGTGGGACACACGGCTCTCCCTCCAGACCTCCTTCACCTCCCTTCAATACCCCCTCCAAAGCATTTACTTTTTAAAATTTGTTTTTCATTTAGGGACTGGGTCTCGCTGTGTCGCACAGGCTGGAGTGCAGTGGTGCCATCACAGGTCAGCGCAGCCTTGAATTCCTGGGCTCAAGCTATCCTCCCACCTCAGCCTCCTGAGTAGCTGGGACTAGGTGCATACCACCATGCCCAGCCTGAGAAACACTTCCTTTTTTTTTTTTTTTTTTGAGATGGAGTCTGGCTTTGTTTTTAGAAGCACTTACTTTTATGTGGCCCCGTGATTGGCCATGTAATAAAGAGACTCACAGCAATGCCTGTGCCTGGACTACGCATGACGAGTTCACAATTTAGGACACACACGGGATATAAACACGTGACTTCCCACCTGGAGAAAAGCGCAGCGTGAGCCCTGCACTGACTGTCAAGCGAGTCTTGAAGTACCATGTGCCTGCCTGCCATGGGTTGTCGAGTGGGAATATTTGGGATTAATATTTCTTTTCTCTTTTGTTTTAAACACCCCTAATGAGCCCCAGAGTTCCACTTATTCGGTCAGATAGGAACACTGCAGCCTGTCTGGGGAAGGATGTTGGACTAACAAAAATCCCCAAAGAAGGTGAACTATAAATCTAAATACCAGCAGAACCTTTCAAAGCAGGAAGAGAATCCTAGGAAGTCACCCTCTTATGTTCTCATGAGACACTGTAAAGCAGTCCTATCGCTCTCCCTTGACTGAGACTGAGGTCACACAGCCACATTAGTCAAAAATGCATGTACCCGGAAAGTCTTTACCAATCCTGGTAGACCACAGGACAGCTATGCTGAAGATGTGTGAGATTAGCTCAACTCGACAGAAAACAAAACCTGCTGTGGAAGAGTATCGGGAAAGAAACCGATCGGCTCTTTTGTTGCTTTGTTCGTTTTGAGGTGAATTAGGTTTAAAATGATTTGTGGGTAGGATTCTGCAGAGAAGTAAACTTGAGCTCAAAACACAGAGCTGCTTGTTTTCCACTTAAAGGACAGAGCTGGGATTCCTTGGGCATAGCTAGATGAGTGAGAATCAAAGTCATATATGAAGAGAAAATTCACAGGGTCTGTGTTGCTTGAGCAAAATGACTGGACCATGAGAAGGCAATCAGAGAATGATGAGGCAGTCTACATATTCTGAAGAGCTGGCCAAGTCCAAGGAAATAAAAGTGGCTCCCATGTCAAAGTCATTGTGCCAGAGAGGAGTGTTCCTGGGATTTCATAGAGCAAGAGTCTTTGTGGGATCTTATTAAATGTTTTCCCAAAAGAGTATGAGGAATTGAAGGAAAGGGGAATCTACAATTTTTCAGGGCATTCTCAGAGGTCTGTGATGTGAAAGGAAAGAGGCTGGGCTAGGGCTAACGACAGTGAGTGAGTCCATCCTGGGCAGGATTGTTGTCTGGGCATAAAGACTGTTGGTGAAAGCATCAGACCAGGGGAAGTGAACGGTTAAAGACACACTGATACAATATGAGAGATAGGGGCTTTTCATGCTCAACTTTCTCCATTTATTCTTTAAATAATGGAGTTTCCCCAAATTCATTTGGTGCCATTTCAGGGGCTCATTTTATATATTCTTCCTAGTTGTCCTTGTTCCCTCTCTTTTAGTTGTGCTCCATGACTGCAAAATCCTGCTGGCAAGATGCACTGCCCCTCTCAGGAGGTATGGAGGTTCTCAGAATTCTCACTGCATTGATGGGGGGATATGAAATGTTTTTCTGCTTCTCTGAGCCTGTGGTTAAAGCAGGGGTCCCCAGTGCCTGAGCCATGGACCAGTACCTGTTTGTGGCCTGTTAGGAACTGGGCTGCACAGGAGGAGATGAGTGGCAGGGGAGCCAGCAAAGCTTCATGTGTATTTACAGCCACTCCCCATCGTTCGCATTACCACCTGAGCTCCGCCTCCTGTCAGATCAGTGTTGGCACTAGATTCTCATGGGAGTGCAAACCCTATTGTGAACTGTGCATGTGAGGGATCTAGGTTGCGTGCTCCTTATGATAATCTAATGCCTGATGATCTGTCACTGTCTCCCATCACCCCCAGATAGGACCATCTAGTTGCAGGAAAACAAGCTCAAGTCTCGTATTGATTCTACATTATGGTGAGTTGTTTAATTATTTCATTATATATTATCACGTAATAATAATAGAAATAAAATGCACGATAAATGTAATGCACTTGAATCATCCATAAAACACACCCCCGTCCTCATCCGTGGAAAAATTGTCTTCCGCAAAACTGGTCCATGGTGCCGAGAAGGTTGGGGACTGTCGGGCTAGAGAACAAATGACCTCAGTTACATGTTAGTGTCATGATTGATGTCCTTCCCTAAGGGGCCAATCAGTTTGCTTCCTCAACTCTTTCTTCTCAAAGTGCCTGTGGCATCTGGGTTTTCTCCTTTTCCTTGAATACCTTCCATCTCTGTTTTCCAGAGGAAACTCTGCTTCACTTCCTGCTGGCTGCCTGACATCTACTTCCATGCTTTCAGTTATTCACTCAACAAACATTCATTGAGCGCGTACTGTGTGTCAAAGAGGCTCCTAGGCACTAGAGCACAGCATGAATAAAAGATACACATCTCTCAAATATAACTCGGTTTAGTGCATTTTTAAATTCTATTTCCCAGGGCTGTGGTCCTTTCCAGATTATCTCTTTTCAGACAGATTTTACTGGATTTGACTCTACTTGTTACAAATATTCCCATTTGCTTTTTTCTATTTAAACATAATGTATCATATAAGTTATATATTATGCAATATGTTGTGTATATAATATATAGTGAAACATCATGTACAAAGAAGTGTATAGAAAATATGTTGTTTATAAATTATAAAGTAAAAAGGTATGTAATTGTCTAGGTCAAGAAATAGAGCATTTTCAACAACCAGAGGGCTCCTAAATGTTTTTTCCTAATAATAACACCTTATTCCCTCCCCTAGAGATAATCACCAATTATCACTGAGATTATCAGAGATAATGTTAAACACTTCCTTTTATGCTTAATAGTTTTCCTCTCAATTCTGTATCCCTAAACAATTTAGTTGTATCTTTTTTTAAAGCAATCTTTTTATAGGTAGAATATACAGTTTGACTTATTGTGACTTTGGCTTCTTTCTTGCAATATTATGCTTTGAGTATTTAGCTGTTTTGTTGCATGAACTTGTAGTTTGTCCATGTTCATTACTGTGGAGCAGGTGTCTTCAAACTTCAAGGTGTGTCAGAGTCCCCTGGAGGACTTGTTAAATCACAGGAGCAGGTGTCTTCAAACTTCAAGGTGTGTCAGAGTCCCCTGGAGGACTTGTTAAATCACAGATTGCTGGCCCCCAGCCAGACATTATGAATTAGTAGGTTTGGGACAGGGCCCAAGAGTTTGTATTTCTAACAAGTTTTCAGGTGCTATTGATACTGTTGTTAGGGGCACCCCATTTTAAGAACCACAGCTGTATATTGCTCTATTATATGCATACACCACAATTTAATGATTCATTCCTTTGGTTTGGGGCTGTTGTATAAAATGCAGGTATGAACATAATTGGATCTGTCTCTTGCTTCTTATGTCACCTGCATTCTTGTGTTATAACTTTGCTGGGTATAGAATTCTAGAGTGACAGGTATTGAGATTCCTTAGCAGCTTGAAGGTAGCATTGCATTGTCTTTTTCTGACTTCCATTTCTCTTGTTGAAAAGTCAGCTGTCAGATTCTTGCTCCTCCAAAATTTCTCTAGTCACTTTTGAAGTTTTTCTTTAGTGTTGCTAACATGTCTACCACTGAATTTGTCATTTTTCTATTTATAAGCTTATTCTTCCTCGTCTGAAAAAACCTATTTCATCGGGTTATTTAAATTAGACACTTGAAAGACATTTTATATTTCTACCTTGTTCTTATCTCCCCACTCCCACCCGTCACAAAATTATCAGGTTCTATTGTTACTATTAATAGTAGCTTCTAATATTTAGTGAGGACTTACATTGCATCAGACACTGCTAAGCCCTTTACTTTTATTAGCTTATTAATCTATCCCTAAATAGCTCCCGAATCCAGCATTAGTTTATTAATTTTACTGCCATAACCCATTCAACCTCTTGTCATTATTTTTTCTGGGTCATTTCATCATACAACTAACCAGTTCCCCTCTCTTATCTAATGAGATGTCATCATGAGCTCAATAAAATGCAGACTGATTCTATTGTTCTGGCTTAACACCTTTTAAAAAAATTTGAATTTAATTTTTTTATATATTTTTTGAATTGATTTTTTCTTCACAAATAAAAATTGTACATATTTATTGTGTACAATATGATGTTTTGAAATATTCATATATTGTGGAATGGCTAAACTGAGCTAATTAACACGTGCCTTATCTCACATACTTATTTTTTGTGGTGAAAAGACCCAGAACCTTTTGGTGGCTCCTTACTGTATGCAGAGTAAGGCTTACGAAGACACAGGCTGCTTTTCCCTGGGCCCTGTCTACTCCAGTGCCATCTCCTGCCCACGTCCTCTGCATGCCATGAGGGCCTGGTTCCGTTACTATGGCCTTGTAAACCCTGCTCAGGACTGTTTTACATGTGCTCCTTCTTAATTCCCAGAATGATCCATTTATTAGTCCATTTTCACACAGCTATAAAGAACTATGCGAGACTGGGTAATTTATAAAGAGGTTTAATTGGCTTACAATTCTGCATGGCTGGGGAGGCCTGGGGAAAGGTGAAGGAGAAGCAAGCATGTTTTTTACAAGGTGGCGGGAGAGAGCGAGTGAGTGGGAGAAAACGGTTGCATAATTTTAAAACATCAGATCTTATGAGAACTCACTATCATGAGAACAGCATGGGGGAAACTGCCCCCACGGTCCAATCCCCTCCCACCAGATCCCTCCCTCAACACATGGGGATTACAATTCAAGATGAGAGTTGGGTGGGAACACAGAGCTAAACCATATCAACCAATCTTCTGAATTCCTATCTCCCTTTAAAGTGGAATCTAAATATAAATTCTTGAACTCTTCTGTGTTAGATTAGACTATTCCTTGACAAATATTCACACCTTCCCTCTACCTTCCCCTCTGCCCTCACATCCCTGCCAGGGGTGCACTTCCTACCCGGTAAATGTTGAGTGTGGCCACGTGACTTGCTGTGGCCAATTGAATGTGGGAAAAAGTGACTGTGGATTTGGAGCCTCGGAATAAGGGATGTGGTGTGTTTCCACTCATTCCTTCGAGAGATTTGTGCTGGCATGAAAACATGCAGCTGCTGGTCCCAGAAGAATGAGAGACATCTCAGGCAAGCCTAAACAAAACTTGTAGTTTAGAACAAAGCTTGGTCAAACTCAGCCAAGTTGAGCTGATACCAGCCTACCCATAGTTGGATGAGTGAGAAGTAAAGGCGCGTGTTATTATGTCTTGGTGATAGTTGGCATCTGGGGACTGCTGCGACTTTCGTGTGCTTTTCTCCCAAGCAAATGGGTGAGGTTCCCTCTCCTTTGTACTTCCTTAGCCTCCCATGCTTATGTCTCTCTCTGAGTGCCAATTGTATGATATTGTATTTTCATCACTGTATTATTGATCTATGTTTTATGCCTCTCAGTCTTCTCTAAATTCCTTGGGGGTAGATAATATATCATGTTTATGTTGCTATGTCAGTGCTTAAAATTGCATTGCATATAATGGAGGTTTAAAACTGTTTAATAAAAGAAAGTGAATGGAAACTTACATTTCTAGCAGTACTGCTAATTAGATAACCTGACTGATCCTCCCACTCAAAACAACTAAAATTGATGGCTAAAATATGGGAGAAAATGTGTGTTCTAGCAGGGAAATGAGCCCCAGAAGTCAAAAACAAAGAGAAAATTGAGAACGCAGAGAGATCATAAGAGCAATGAAGTCAACTTTTGCAATTGCTAAACCCAGATGACTGAGTTTTTCCTTTCATAGATAGGAGTGAACTATGACATGGGGCCTGGGACAAGAACCAAAGCCTTGGGTCCACTCAAGGGAGAGTCTAAAAAGGGGCCACTGATCAGCACTAACATCACACGAGCCTCCACCTAAATGTAACAGTGAGCAGGAACTTTGTGTCTCAAATCTTGATATTCAGTGGAAGTGAAGAGTTCTGCCTTGATGAACTCATAACTATAAACTAGCTCTTACATGTTTAGACAGCCCCAAGTCATGCCACATCACTAGACCTCAATTTGCTCTTGGTTTACTTTTAGGTTGATATACCTCCTGGTGTATGGCAAAAATAAATTCAGAAATCTCTGTAGAAGAGCCTATTTCCAACTCTGGCCTCAATGAATTCCCAAAGATAAATTGGCAAGACACATGAGGTCATGGTAACATTTTTCTTAAAAAAAAAAATGCAGGCTACTGGTTGGGCATGGTGGCTCATACCTGTAATCTCAGCATTTTGGGAGGCCAAGGCAGGCAGATCACGAGGTCAAGAAATTGAGACCATCTTGGCCAACATGGTGAAACGCTGTGGTAAAATTTTTGTATTTGTAAAAATACAAAAATTAGCTGGGCGTGATAGTGCGCACCTATAGTCTCAGCTACTCAGGAGGCTGAGGCAGGAGAATCACTTGAATCTGGGAGGCAGAGGTTGCAGCGAGCCGAGATCGTGCCATTGGACTCCAGCCTGGTGACAGAGTGAGACTCCGTCTCACAAAAAAAAAAAAAAAAAAAAAAAAAGGCCACTGTAAGTGACAGCAGAAAAAACAGACAGCAGAATCAGACGCATTGGACTTCAGATAATGCACTTATTGAAGATAATATAAATGATTATGTTTAATATTTTTAAAGAAATAAAAGAGGTGTTGAAACATTTAATGAAGGTGAGAAGAAGAACTGACTTGGGTTGAGGGATTGGTGCCACTGAGAATCCGGATAATCACTCTGTCATTGATTGGTTATTTGACTAAATCAATACATTTATTTATTTATTTAGAGATGGGGTCTTTCTTTGCTCCTCAGGCTGGAGTGCAGTGGCTCTTCATAGGTTCCTTCATAGTGCACTGTGGCCTCCAACTCCTGAGATTTGGAGGTAAAAGTGTTCAATTGATTCTCCTGCCTCAGCCTCCTGAGTAGGTGGGACTACAGGTGCCTGCCACCATGGCTAATAATATTTACTAAGATTCTAAAATATGCCAGACAGGAAGGTAAGGAGGTTGGATAAATGGTGGAACTGGGAGATAATATAGGCGATATTGGGGTGCTCACATTGGATAGCTTTTTTAAAAAAAAATGCATTAGATTGGCTATGGTGAGAAATGCTGGAAGAGGAGGTATCAGATGCTTTAAAAGGAACAGAAAATGATGAAGAGTCCAAGATGAATTTCACTTGATTGTTGAACACTGAGCACTCCTGAAGCCTTGCACATCTGGACGCTGAGTTGAAGGACTCCTGTGTCAATCAGCAGTAGTGAGTGAATTGGTCAATACATTCCACAGTTTTCTTCTCCGTACAATTACGAGTTTGGATGGGTCACAAGAAAGGTTTCTCATGAGATTTGGAGGTAAAAGTGAAGTCTGGGTCTTATACTTTTACATGGAAGGATCTGTGAAGGGCATGAAGCTCTGTTGCAGCCCAAGCCCATGGTGCTCAGCTCCTGGCTCACCTTGGGATGGGACAGCAGCCACTCTGGTCCTGAGCATCTCCTCCTCCAGGGCCTTTGCCTCCTGTACCAGGTGCTTTTTTAGTTCCACGAGGAAGGAGCAGCTTCTGCGGCAGGCCACTGGCCTCCTCTGTTGAAGGCTCAAGCAGGTTCCCGTCGTTCTCCGGGGCTCCAGCTTGTCCTGAATTTCTCAGTGTGTCCTTGCTCCTCAACTTTATGTCCACTTCTCCTTTCTGCCAGCCTGTCCTGATGACTTTAGGCTCCTGCCCCAGACAGAAAAAGGTAGCCTCCTCACACAGGCTGTTTAATGAGCTCTTATGGTTGCTTGAGCTCCAATCTCTATGACAAATCCTCAGTCAAAATCCCCCCATAGTGGTTCTGTTTCTTCCATCAAACCCCGAATGATAGAAGGAGCATGAGTCAGCCTAGCCTCTGACCTTTCCCAACCATTCAGTGTTTAGACACAGACAACATTGGATTTCCTGTGGCCACATCATGAGCTCAGGCCCTTCTTATTTGTTGGCAGAGCAAAGGAAGTAGCAGAGTGAGGCTGTGATATATTCTAGTCCAGCACTTCTTAAATGTTTTGGTCTCAGAACACCTTTACACTCTTAAAATGTATTCAGGATCTCAATGAGATTTTGTTTAAGTGGGTCGTATCTGTTGGAATTTATTGCAAAAATTAAGACTTATTTAATTAAAAATTATAAAACAGATTATTCATTTAAAAATAATAAGCCCATTACATGTTAATATAAAAGTACATTTTTACGGAAATAACTGTTTTCTAAAACAAAAACAAGTGGGGTAAGGACAGTAGCTTGTTTTAAATTTTTTGCAACTCTGTTTAACATCTGGCTTCATGGAAACCAGCTGGATTTTTATATCCGCTTCTGCATTCAAACTTTTGTTAACATTCTGTGTCCGGTAGGCTCTGGAAGACTCCATTGCATATTTGTGAGAGATTAACAGTGAAAAGGAAAATGGCATCTTAGTAATATTGTGAAAATAGGTTTGTCTTTGCAGACTGCTTGAAATTTTGGGATTCCCCATGGGTTCCCAAACCACACTGGGGGACTGTTGGGTTAGTCTAAGGGCTGAGTTTAAGGGTGAATTGTTAGGGGGTTATGAGTACTGGTCACGGTTTCAGGAGAAAAGTGAAGATGCCTCAGTGGCTGGCTGGCCATTTCAGGACCTTGGATAGAGAAGAGAAAGGTGAGCACAAGGAAAGGCTTTTCATGCTCTCGCTGTTGTAGTTGGGGATGTCATGAGTCTTCCTTTGTACCTGTCAGTTAGTTGTGGAGTAGACTGTTTTGCTCTTTCTAAGACTTAGTCTCGAGCAATGAAAAGCCAAGAAAATTTTAAGAGATGACAAAGACCTTTTGTAGAAGATTCAGTAGTTCTATGGTTCTGTAGAAAATAGTGGGTATGAATCGGGGTGATGTGGGTGATGGCTTCAACATCGATTACCACAGTTACAGCCAGAGTTACAATGCCCTGAAGACCATTTTGTTAGCCGTAAAGAAGTTCCTGTCTTTGTGGGTCATGAGATACTGATGTAGACTGGATTAATCGCCTTCCCTTTTATCCACACACAGAGGCACTGTATATCCTCATTCCCTCCCACATGTTGGCAGAGAAAATCTGGAAACGCACTTGGCCTTTCTCTCAAATGCCTGTGAGTGTGCACCCATGAGTACTGCAAGCACAGAGCAATTTTCCTGCTGTGAATCCTCCTCTTTGCTTCCTAAGAACACAGCCTTCAGCTCCACAGCAGGAGGTGCCTTCTTTAGGCAACATTTTTACGATGAAGCATTGTACCCTGTCCAGGGCCTGATAGACAAAAACTTGAATGCAGTCAGGGCTGAGCTGCTTTCTCCTGTCTGAGTGGAGAGTGGAAGAAAGATTCAGCACTTGTTCATCCACTCCAACCAGGTACGTTCTGTTTCCTAGTTCTTTTTAATCAGATGATGAGTGGGACTGAACTGTTTCCCAGAAAAAAAGCTGAAATCTGAGCTCTAGCAGCTCCCGGCCTGCCTTTGCTGACACGTTGAAATCTAACAGTGGCAAGGAAAGCAGACCTGAAACACCATCATCCCATTGTTTCTGCAGCTGCATTTTCTTTCACTCCATCATATCCACATTCAAACCAAAGAACCTAAGATTTTCATTTTAAGAAAGGCATTATATCATGTATCGAAAGCTTCCATGATCCCCGGCTTTTCTTCTAGTGAAAATACAAAGGTGAAGGCGTATAATGAAAAGGAATCTATACATTTTTTTCGGATGCAAGCATTCATATTTTCCATGTGGAAGTGAGCCAATGGACTAGATCACCTGTAGAAGATTCTTTTATAGTTTATTAATGCACATACCTTTAATGTTTGTAATATTGGGCACTGTGTTGGTTAATATTAAGTGTCAACTTGATTGGATTGAAGGATGCAAAGTATTTGTTTCTGGGTGTGTCTGTGAGGGTGTTGCTGGAGGAGAATGACATTTGAGTCAGTGGACTGGGAGAGGCAAACCCACCCTTAATCGGTATGGGCACCATCCCCTTGCTGCCAGCGTGGCTAGAAAAAGCAGGCAGAAGAAGGTGGAAGAAGCAGGCTTGCTGAGTCTTCCAGTCTTCTTCTTTCTGCCACGCTGGGTGCTTCTGGCCTCGGACATCAGACTCCAAGTTCTTCGGCTTTTTGACTCTTGGACTCACACCAGTGGTTTGCCAAGGTCTCTCAGGGCCCTCAGGCCTTCAGCCACAGACTGAAGGCTGCCCTGTTGGCTTCCCTACTTTTGAGGTTTTGAAACTCAAACTGATCCACTACTGAATTCCTTGCTCCTCAACTTGCAGACAGCCTATCGTGAGACTTTACCTTTTAATTGTGTTGAGTCAATTCTCCATAATCAACTCCTCTTCATATATACATATATCCTGTTAGTTCTGTCCCTGTAGAGAACCCTGACTCATACAGGCACTCAGTGTGAATGACAATGCTGTCTGATTCTTTTTGATTTATTTATAAGCCTTCCATATCCAGGAAAGCTTGCAAATCCAATCATATATTTGTCTACATGTATGTGGGGTGTACTGTATGTGTGAGCATGTTTGTGTATTTCTATATATTTACATGTTCTGGTTGTGTGAATTTCATTTTCATGAGTTGATCAACATTGGAAGGGAAAAAACGACTTTTACCAGACTCTGAAATTGCATCATGAATAAAGTTCTATTTGTTCTGCCTTAATCTACATTGTTTTGTATCTTTCTCTGCTTATTGTGCGTTGCCTTGTTTTTTTAACAAATGCATTTTTTTCATATTTTGGTCTCTACCTGCAAGGGTAATAATGTGTCTTTTACATCCTTACCAGAATTCTTTATTTTTTCAGTGGGATCCTCTGACTCACTATTAACAACCTAAAAGTATGAGTCTAGAAGACATACTTGAGCAGAAAATTTAACATTATTTAATTTACATGATTGAGGCAATTTACTGACTCAGGCAATGACAGAGATGATATAAACAGTCATTTGCTCTTCAGAGACCGAAAAACCTTTCTTTTCTGCCAAAACATTGCTATTAGAACTTTGTTGAATGTCAGAGATAATTTGGACATTAGCTCATGAACTTTTCTTAACTATGTATATTAATATTCTAGGCTTTTAGTATGTAGTCTCTAAAATTGTCTTTTACGGTTTAACAAGTTAATGTTGTTGAAAGTTTTATGGCATTCTAAATTTTCTGAATTGATATGAAAATAAAATTCACATTAACTACTAATTTTAGTTGTATTTATCATTGATTACAAATTCTTTAACATTAGCACAATATTTTTGAAAGTTAAATAAAGAAATTTAGAATATAAATTTAGATTGAAACAAGGGAGGCAGTACCTCTTGAATTTATATTTGAGAGCTCATCTCTAAGTATGCACTTAATAGTTACAGATGTTGAAAGCCAGAGATTTTAAAAAAGGTTAGCATGTTAACACCATATTTTATTTGGGAAAAATACTACTCCTTATTATTTCCATCAGTCATCATTTTTTTGTTACGAGCAACCCAATCAACTCTGGCAGGTTTAAGAACTATAAAATGATGGTATTTTAAAAAAGAATGTTGGATAGGTTACATGATTGCCAGGAAGGTTAAAGAATCAGGCACATACCCCAAACCTTGTCATAAAATTGCTCTGAAGAATACATCACTGTTCACCCCGCTTAGTGTCAAGCTCTAGTCCTGATATTGGAGTCATCCACAGTGCTGCTGGGGTTCCCACTGGCTCAGGAGCTGGACCTTGCTGCAGCCACACTGTGGCCAGAGCATCTCTTGGTCTAGTTCAGGTGGACCAGGTGCATCTGGGAGGCAGCCTCGCTGTGCAAGGGCATGCACGCTAGCTTCCAGGGAAAGAGTGAGGCTGGCATTGCCTGTGCCCTTTTCTGTCTAGGGAGGAGGGAGTTTTCTACCTCCCACCAATATTTCTTAGGCAGGGAATTCCCCAAACCCAGGAGTAGGGCTCACACATTCTAGGTGGCCAAAAAAGAGTGCACAACATGACTTTCCAAGGTGTTTTCACAATCATGGCTAAGTAAAATCTCAAAGTGACCTGTTAAGGCAGGGAGTTCCCCCTTAAAGGGAATTCATCTGAAAAATGAGGAAATGGAGTCACTGAAAGACCCAGTTCCACATCTTGCTTGTCAGTGACAAATTTAGGAAAAGCAAGTCTTCAAAATGGGGTAGATGACTGTTCCACAGAGGCAGCAGATTTTCTACACTGACCTTAATTGGTGGAGTGTAACTCATGACACCCTCCTGCACTCCTGAAGTCCAATGGACTCTGATGCAGTCCCATTACTGGACTCACACTGACTTGTTTCAGGGCTGAGGGATCCTAGACAGTCATCTCAGACCATTCTCAGTGATCTCATCTTAAAAACAAATCCTGCATTTCCTTTTTGGAAAGGGCTATGGATGTACTGTTTAAATTTTACGTATATTCTTTAGGCAGTGTCTGTTTTATAAATGTGATGTTTTCTTTGGCCGTTTTGTGGTGAAGGATAATCATGGAAAAGAGGAGATGTATTGGCAGAAACTCCCCAGTCTTGTTTGGTGACGCAATTAAAAGTGACAATACGGCCCCCGTATCCTTGAAGGATTCGTTCCGAGACCCCCAGTCTGAAACGTCAGACAGTACTGAACCCTATATATACTGTTCTTTCCTATATATACACACCTATCGCAAAGTTTAATTTATAAATTAGGCACAATAAGAGATTAACAACAATAATAAAATGGAACAATTATGAAAATATGCCGCAAAAACGTATGTAAATGTTTACTTCTGGAATTTCCCATTTAATATTTTTGAACCATGCTTGACGATGGTTAACTAACATTTTGGAAAGCAAAACCATGGACAAGGGGGACTACTGTATACACCTGGGCCTCCGTATCTGCAGGTGTTGGTTCCAGGACCCTCAATGATACCAAAATCTGTGGATGCTCAAGCCCCGTATGTAAAATGGCATAATATTTGCATATAACCTACCCACATCTTCCCATATATAGCCATGTGCTACATAATCACATTTTGGTCAACGACAGACTGCATATACAATGGCGTTTCCATAAGATTATAATGGAGCTGAAAAATTCCTACTACCTACGGATGTTGTGGTTATCTTAATGTCATAGCACGATGCATTACTCGCTGTTTGTGAGGACACCAATGTAAACAAACCTACTGCACTGCACTGCCACCTGTGTAAAAGTCTAGCACTTACAATGGTGTCCAGTACATAAGATGTGAGCAGGCTAATAAAGGACTATGTTACTGGTTTATGCATTTATTGTACTATACTTTTTATTCTTATTACTTTAGAGTATTCTCCTTCTACTTATAAAAAATATTAACTGTGAAATAGCCTTGAGGAGGTCCTGCAGGAGGTGTCCAGAAGAAGGCATTGTTATCCTAGGGAGTGACAGCTCCATGCATGTCACTGCCACTGAAAATCTTCTAGTGGGACAAGAGGTGGAAGTTGAAGACACTGATGTTGATGATTCTGAGCCTGTACAGACCTGGGCAAATGTGTGTATGTCTTAGTTTTTAGCAAAAAACTTAAAAAAATTAAAAAATATTAGAAATTTTAAAAATAGAAAAACTCTTGTAGAATGATGACATAAAAAATATATCTTTTTTGGATGGCTGTAAACATGTTTGTATTTTAAGTTAAGTGTTATTAGAAAAGAGTCAAAAGTTAGAAAATTTAAAAGCCTATAAAGGAAAAACATTACAGTAAGCTAAGGTTAATTTATTATTGATAAAGAAAATGATTGTATAAATTCAGTGTAGGCCAAATGCGCAGTTTCTATAAAGCCCACAGTAGCGTATAGTCATGTCCTTGGCCTTCATATTCACTCATCACTCACTCATCAACCACCCAGAGCAACTTACCGTTGTTAATGTTAAGTGCCCTAAAAGGTTACCATTTTAATCTTTTATACTGTATTTTTACTGTACTTTTTCTATGTTTAGAGATGAGAGATGTTCAGATACACGAATAATTAACATCGTGTTACAGTAATATGCTATTCAAGTTTGTAGCCTAGGAGCCGTAGGCTATCTCATATAGCCTAGGTGTTAGTAGGCTACGCAATCTAGGTTTGTTTAAGCACACTCTGTGATGTTTTCACAATGACAAACTCACCTAGCAACAGATTTCTCGGAACATTGTCAGTAAGCAATGTATGACTATACTTTAAATCATCTTTAGATTACTTATGGTATCTAATACTATGTAAATGCTATGTAAATACTTATACTATATTTTTTGTTTGTATCATTTTTCAGTATTGTACTGTTTTTTTTCCCCCTAATACTTTGATGCACGGTTGGATACAGAGGGCTGACTGTATTTATTACAGAAATTTGAATATATAGATAATTAGAAAGAAGGAAAATTATGCCATAAAAGGACTATTGTTAATAATTTGGGATATTAATGTTCAGTCTTTATTTGAATGCAAACTTTTTTTTCAGCCATCAGTCAATAAATGAGAGGTATTTATTGGAACAATGGACCTACTCCAGAGCTGTGGAAATTATACCCATTTTTAATTCTTACTGAATTTTTATTTTTTTAATTTTTATTTTACTTTAAGTTCTGGGATACATGTTCAGAATGTGCAAGTTTGTTACATAGGTGTAAATGTGCCATGGTGGTTTCCTGCACCTATCAACCCATAATCTAGGTTTTAAGCCCTGCATAAATTAAGTATTTGTCCTAATGCTCTCCCTCCCCTTGCCCCCCACCCCCCGACAGGCCCTGGTGTGTGATGTTCCCTCTCCCTGTGTCCATGTGTTCTCATTGTTCAACTCCCATTTATGAGTGAGAACATGCGGTGTTTGGTTTTCTGTTCCTGTGTTAGTTTGGTGAGAATGATGGTTTCCAGCTTCATCCATGTCACTGCAAAGGACATGAACTCATTCTTTTTTTATGACTGCATAGTATTCCATGGTGTATATGTGCCATATTTTCTTTATCCAGTCTATCACTGATGGGCATTTGGGTTGGCTCCAAGTCTTTGCTATTGTGAACAGGGCTGCAATAAACATATGTGTGTATATGTCTTTATAGCAGAATGATTTATAATCCTTTGGGTATATACCCAGTAATGGGATGGCTGGGTCAAATGGTATTTCTGGTTCTAGATTGTTGAGGAATCGCCACACTGTCTTTCACAATGGTTGAACTAATTTACAGTCCCACCAACAGTGTAAAAAGTGTTCCTATTTCCTCCACATCGTCTCTAGTATCTGTTGTTTCCTGACTTTTTAATGATCGCCGTTCTAACTGGCATGAGATAGTATCTCATTGTGGTTTTGATTTGCGTTTCTCTAATGACCAGTGATGATGAGCTTTTTTTCATATATTTGTTGGCTGCATATATACTGTCTTTTGAGAAGAGTCTGTTCATATCCTTCACCCACTTTTTGATGGGGTTGTTTTTTTTTTTCTTGTAAATTTGTTTAAGTTCCTTGTAGATTCTGGATATTAGCCCTTTGTCAGATGTATAGATTTGCAAAAATTTTCTCCCATTCTGTAGGTTGCCTGTTTACTCTGATGATAGTTTCTTTTGCTGTGCTCTTTAGCTTAATGAGATCCCATTTGTCAATTTTGGCTTTCCTTGCAATTGCTTTTGGTGTGTTAGTCATGAAGTCTTTGCCCATGCCTATGTCCTGAATGGTATTGCTAGGTTTTCTTCTAGGTTTTTTATGGTTTTATGTTTTATGTTTAAGTCTTTAATCCACCTTGAGATTATTTTTGTATGAGGTGTAAGGGAAGGGTTCAATTTCCATTTTCTGCGTGTGGCTAGCCGGTTTTCCCAGCACCATTTATTAAATAGGGAATCCTTTCCCCATTGCTTGTTTTTTAATACAAACTTTTTAATGGTAACTGTCAAACTGTGCACACAAATCTCTCTTTAGAGTTGACATAAACAGGAATTTTCCATTTTTTTATAATCTTCATGGGTATTATTTTAATGCCTAAATGCAGTTCTGCCAATGGAATATAATGATTCCATTATTGTTGAATATCCATTTTTTCCAGTATTCCACAATTAAAAATAATGTTACTGTAAATATCTTTATGCATAACCTATTTTCCCATTAGAGTTATTTTTCAGAAGTAGAAGAACTGGATTTGATGTTTCAAAAAGCAACCAGCAGCACAGAGCTCCCGTTTCAGTGCCTTACAAACACTGGTTGCTATCACAGTTTCCCAAAGTTGGTAGCTTGAAGGATGGGGCTCTTTAATTTTGTACATTTGCTGTTCTGTTATTACTAGTCAGGCTGGCATTTCTCAGTGTTTGTTAATCAGTTCCACAGTGTGTGAAGTGCACGTGTCTAGTGGTTAGAAGCTGGGTCCTCTCTCTCTTTTTTCCCCTCGGAGCGGGGCTCGATGGCTGGCAGTTGTGGAACACTCAGTCATACTGCATGAATGAATGACAAGTGTTTATTGTCTCTTCATGCATTGTTTCTATTTCTCTGTTGGGGGCTTAGTACTTTTACTACATGTAAATTTAATTATAAAGATTTAAGACTTTATATAGGTAGGCTGGTTGCAAGTACTTTTGAAAGACTGGGAGGTGTTAAAGGAAATGTTCCTGATAACCATACATTGCCCCACAGCCTGTTTCCATGGAAACTGAAGCCTTAAATGAGAGAACCATGCACCTAGATACAAAGTAGATAATAAACATAATTCTCCTCTCTTGGAAACCTATCATCTAAAACTTTAAAGTCTGAAAACACTGCTTTGATAGAAACTGTTTTATAATTGTAAGGGTCTTAAAATTTGAGATTGTTAATTATGGATGTAGAGAACCATGCGGTTAAAAGAGACCTTCTAGTGTGGGTGCACAGACTCCTTCAGAACTCACCAATGGCCCAGCTTTTAAAGAACTCAAGAGGGAACCTTGTCCTCCCCAGCCTTGGCAGCCTGCGTCGGAATGCTCTCCTTGGTAGCAATTAGTGGCACAATGAAAAGATTTACAACTCCTCCACAGTCACTTTTTTCCAGAAAGACTAGAATAATTTGAATGTCTCCTGAGGCAGTTGGTTTCTTTTCTTCCTTAACCCTTACACATTTAGAGACATTTATGCACTCAAATAGAAGTCTTGGGTTTTTTTACTGTACTAAACAACTTTTCATTAGTTTTGCAGATGTTTTATGAAGACCCTTAAGACTCCAGCAAAATCCATATTTACATAAATTAGCTCACCATTCACCTGTAAGCAGCTCCATTATTGTAGGGGCCTGGATAGAAGTTTAGGTAGCAAAAGGTCAGGAGTCTGTGCCTGGAATTTGTTGAGCATCAGGAGAACCCAGGCAGCCACCCTTAACCGCCAGCCCTGGGCCCTGCAATCCATCTAATCCAGAAGCGACTGCAAATGATAGCATTCAGTTCCTTCCTCACTTTTCTGTCGGCTTCTGTGGGCATGTTTTTTTTTAGGATGCCCTAGGGCATTACAAATGACTCTTAACACAATAGGAGAAGTCACGGGTACAAACAGCACAGCCCTGGCTACTGTCTCTCAGATGCTTAAACCAGCCTGATAGAGATGAATGGGGCTGTTTCAACCCAGGTCCTATTATTTTCCAATGTTCTAGGGCTGATCCAAGAGGTTCAGGCTGAAACAACTGATTCTCAGCCACATGACAAGAGTGTAAACCAATCACTCCTGGGGTTTGGCCAAGCAATCCTAATGCCATATTCCTTCCGGGTTGTATAGGGTGGTAGACTGCAAAGGCAGGGATTGACTCTGGCAATGGTTGCACTGTTACCAACATTCACTCTTCCCCTCTGTGAGCATGGACTGCAGATGCTGTGTTTTACATTTCTGTGAGACCGGCTTCTCATTTGGAAATTAGGTGTATTTAACATTCCTTATTAGGCTGTTGGGAAGATCAAAGTACTTAATGAATTACCTTATATATATATATAATATATAATCTATAAAATATACAATATATAATATATAAAAATATATTATACAGTGTATAATATATATTACATATATTATATATTATATATTAAACATATATTATATGTTAAGTACCATATATTATATACTTAAGCTATGTAATATATAAATATATGTTATATATAACATATTTATATAAATATATATTTATATAATATATTCATATAAAATATATTTATATAACATATAAATATACAATAAATATATAAGTGTATAAAATATATAATATATAAAATATGTAATATATACACATAAAAATTATATATACTATAAAATATATATTATAATATAAATATATTTATATATATTTATATATTAGATATCTTAAGTATATTATATATGGTACTTAATTTTATATATAGTTTAAGATACATAAAATTATATAGAATATATTTATGTAATTATACAATATATAAATATATTATATATTATATAATTCTATAATATATAAATGTATATATAATATATAATTATATGATATATAAATGTATATATAATATATTATATAATTATATGATATATAAATGTATATATAATATATAATTATATGATATATAAATGTATATATAATATATAATTATATGATATATTATATAAAAGTATATATAATATATTATATAAAAGTATATATAATATATTATATAATTATATGATATATAAATGTATATATAATATATTATAAAATTATATAATATATTTATATAAATGTATATATAATATATAATTATATAATATATTATTTATATATTTATATAAATATATTATTTATGTAATATATAATATATTATATAATTATATAATATATTATATAATTATATAATATATTATATAATTATATTATATAATCTATAATTATATAATATATATTATATAATCTATAATATATTTATATAATGATATATTATATAATCTATAATATATTTATATATATATTTAGATAATATATAAATATATGATATACTTAGATAATATATAAATATTTATATATTATCTAAATATTTAGATAATATATAAAGATATTATATTTATATATTATATTACATTATTTAGATATTATCTAAATATATCATATATTTAGATATTATCTAAATATATTATATAATTATATATTATCTAAATATATGATATATTTAGATATTATCTAAATATATATTCATATAATATCTAAATATCTAGTATATATTATATAAATATATATTATATAATATGTAAATATATATTCATATAACATAAATATATATTTCTATTATATATTAATATATATTTATATGTTATATAAATATATATTTATATATTTATATATTATATAAATATATATTTATATATTTATATATTATATAAATATATATTTATATATTTATATAATATGTAAATATATGATATAGTTTTATAAATGTATATATACTATATATTATATAAATATATAGTATTGATATTATATACAGTATATAAATTATATATAAAAATTTATAATTATTATATATAGGATATATATAGTATATATACTATGTATACTATATATAGTATATATACTATATATAGTGTACATATAGTATATATAGTATATAGTGTATATACTATATGTACACTATATATGAGATATAGTGTACATATAGTATAGTATATAGTGTATATACTCTATGTACACTATATATAGGATATAGTGTCTATAGAGTATATATACTGTATAGAGTGTCTATAGAGTATATATACTGTATAGAGTGTCTATAGAGTATATACACTGTATAGAGTGTCTATACAGTATATACACTGTATAGAGTGTCTATACAGTATATACACTGTATAGAGTGTCTATACAGTATATACACTGTATAGAGTGTCTATACAGTATATACACTGTATAGAGTGTCTATAGTGTATATACACTGTATAGAGTGTCTATAGTGTATATACACTGTATATAGTACATAGTGTATATATAGTATATACGTATATACTATATACGTATATAGTATATACGTATATACTATATATACACTCTATATACATGTATATGTATATAGTATATATATACTATATACATACTATATACGTATAGTATATATGTATATACTATATATAGTAGACAGTATATATATATATATACTATATATACACTATATATAGTGTAGGTATAGTATATATATACTATATATAGTATATATTATATAGTATATATTTATATATATAAATTATATATATAAAAATATATAATTAGTCTATATTATATATACACTATATATATTATATATACTATATATGCTGTATATAGTATATATAAATTATATATAAAAATCTATAATTAGTATATGTAATAGTATATATATAGTATACTATATGTATACTACATAGTATACTATACATGTATAGTATATATAGTATACTATATGTGTACTATATAGTATACTATTCATGTATAGTATATATAGTATACTATATGTATACTATATAGTATACTATACATGTATAGTATATATAGTATACTATATGTATACTTATAGTGTACTATACATGTATAGTATATATAGTATACTATATAGTATACATATAGTATACTATATGTATACTTATAGTATACTATACATATATAGTATATATAGTATACATATAGTATACATATAGTATACTATACATATATAGTATATATAGTATACTATACATATATAGTATATATAGTATACTATATGTATACTATATAGTATACTATACATATATAGTATATTATATATATGCCATATAGTATAGTATACATATATAGTATTTATAGTATACTATATGGTATACTATATAGTATACTATACATATATAGTATATATAGTATGCTATATGGTGTACTGATAGTATACTATACATATATAGTATATGTATATATACTATCTATATATACTCTATAGTATATATACACCATATATATGCTATATATATTATTAGTATATATTATATATAAGATATATACTATATATAATTAGTATATAGAATATATACTGTATATATAATTAGTATATAGAATATATATACTATATATAATTAGTATATAGAATATATATACTATATATAATTAGTATATAGAATATATATACTACATATAATTAGTATATAGA
Source organism: Homo sapiens (assembly GCF_000001405.40). Classification (NCBI taxonomy): domain Eukaryota; kingdom Metazoa; phylum Chordata; class Mammalia; order Primates; family Hominidae; genus Homo; species Homo sapiens. The sequence continues at coordinate 6,112,246 of NC_000008.11, read as the reverse complement.
ATATATATACTACATATAATTAGTATATAGAATATATATACTAATATATATAGTTAGTATATAGAATATATATACTATATATAATTAGTATATATAATATATATTATATATAGTATATATAGCATATATATTATATATTTAGTATATATATAATTTGTACATAAAAATATATCTATAAAATTATATATTATATAAAATTGTATATATAAAAATATATATAGTATATATAATTAGCACATAAAAATTATATATATAAATTATATATAAAAATGTATATACTATATATGAAAATATATAGTATATATATAAATTATATTTATTTATATAATATATACTATATACCATTATAAATACTATATATTATGTATTTTATATAATATATAGTATATATATTGGTATATACTATATATTAAATATTTTGTATATAGTATATATTATATGTTAGGTAACTTGTTAAGTACCTAATATATGTTGTATATAATATATATATGTGTATATTTTTTTTTTTGAGAAAGGGTCTGGCTCTGTCTCTCTGGCTCTGTTAGCCTCCTGAGTAGCTGGACAACAGGCATGTGCCACCATGCCTGGCTAATTTTTTAATTTTTTTGTAGAGACAAGGTCTTACTCTATTGCCCAGGCTGATCTTGAAATCTTGGGCTCAAATGATCCTCCTGCTTTGGACTGCCAAAGTGCTGGGACGACAGGCATGGGCCACTGCACCCAGCTGCCTAACAATTTCTTGGGACTAAGTAAGTGCTGAAAAAATAAAACTCCATCCCTTTCCCTATAAGTAGCTCAGCAATATTTAGGCTACTTTTGTACCAGATCAAAAGTGCTTTCATGGTGAGATTTCAGCCAACCAGGTTGTAAGATTTGTTTTGGGAAACAAAATCTAGGCTCTTTGAATTGTATATTGTAGATAGCTGCCCATTCACCTATTCAGAAAGCAGGCTTTAGTAGTAAGTTTCCTGTGCAAATTTAAGGTCCAAATTGATCTTGTATTTCTGGACATCAAGAAGAATTGGCACCAACTTCATTGCAATAATCATTGAAATATTTTAAAAGTGTTAAGAAAATCATATTAAAAATCAGCTCAACATTTCTCATTGTATTAATATTATTTTTTCCCGATATTGCCTGCTAGGAACTGGATTATTGTTCTCTTTTTAACTTCTGCATGTAGAACGCCTGCTCTCACAATATAAATTCCTTTTGTGGCAGAGAAAATTAGTGTGTTAATAAGAATTTGTATCTGGACTTGCTCATCAAAGCTTGTAAACCCTTTTTGGTTGCACACACTCCTTTGTAAATCCCAGGATTCCTGCGTGAGTTTGTGGTCTGTTTGAAGCCAAACATCTAAGATTCAGTGTTAGACTAGGTCTCAGGTTAAACCCAATGGGAGCATTTAATTCTCAAATAAAGCTAGAAGAAAATGCTAAAAGAACAATGAAAGTATTTTATTGTTTATTTTGCTTGGGAACATCTCTCTGGAGAGCAAGTAGTATTTTTGTACCTCATACCCTTTTTCTTTGTCATTTGTCATCTTGATTGCTTTAACTTTATCGTGTTAAATATTTATTATTTAATACAAGAAAGTAATAATGGAAATGGTCTTACTTTTCCAAACCGTGTTCCCTCTCCAGGGTAATTACTTTTGATGAGTGCTGGAGGGTACGATCTTCCCAGGAACGGCTTTGCTGGCTGGAGAGGGAATTGTCAAGATGGTTCTTGCCTTTCCATTTTGTATTCCCAGAGCTCTTCTGGAAATAGTATATTGTAGGTGAAGGCAAAATGAAATTTCAAATCACAAATTCTTTCATGAGGAGATTAGCCTATACATAGACACAAGGAGGACATGGGGAAGGTTTGTCACCTTCAGTGGCAGCATGATAAAATGCTCATTTATTTAGCCAGCTAAATTTAGCCACAAGCCATTACAACATTTCCAGTAAGGCGAAGTGTATGGTGTAGCTGGTGTACCATGCACTTAAACTTACCAGTTATAACGTACACTATGCCTTATTGGCAATGCTGTATGGCTTGGTACACTTGGTAGTGTTGGTTAGTTGGTAGTATTGGAAGTGTACGGTAAAGCATGGTGTTACCCAGGCTGGAGTATGTAGGAGGATCAGCTTCCATGATATACACTGGAGGGCATGGGTAATGCTGTTTAATACAATATGCAAAGCCACAGAGTGTGTGCCATCAACTGCAAACTTGATATGTTTGGGGTTAACCACTGGGGAGACTCAGGAATGGGAGGGGTATGTTTTCTAGAGGGAGTGTGGTGTCAGATAATAAGTGATGGGTCCAGGATTAGAATGCAGTTTCACTTAAATATGGTTGGATTCTCCAATTTGATTTCTTCACCTAGAAAATGTGACTGACAGCGGAAAATGCTTTGTAGGATTGGTGGGAAGATGAGCAAACACAATGCTTGTGCCCTGAGAGAAAGTCCCTCGTCCTGGTAGCTGCCCTGCAACCTCAAATATTGTTTCATTTTTAAGCATTTGTGGAGTACAATTTTAAAATACTATGACAGTATTAAATTATTTTGATACTAAAAAAACAGCCTTCATCATGTATCCATCTGTTTTTACCTTTTGTGGATGATGCCAGGTTTTGAGGGATCCATTTTCATTTGCTGTCTCTTAACCCCCTAGGTAGGTATAGTTGCTGCCTTACCCGGTAAGCTCAGCATCATCCTGCTTTGCACCACCCCTGCCCCAGCTGAGGTGAACTTTCCCATGATTTTAAGGGAACCCAGGGTATTAGGCGAGTGAGCAGTCTCTCCTCCTCCTCCAGGGTACTCAGAGGCTCTTGATACAGGGCTTAGGGTTGGATATCTTCAGTGGTATTTACCATAAGCCCCATGAAAATGGTGACACCTATCGTTGGAGGCCGCCCGTTCAATTTTATGAACAGGATAAGGCTCCTGTTCCAAGCTTAGTGTCTGGTGTGCAGGAGAGCAGGTTGCAAAGTGTTCCGAATTTGGGGTCTGGATCCAAGCTCCTTGTGTACGTAAATTTGAAGATGTTTTCTGGTTCTGCCCTCACAGTCAGCCCACAGACTGTCTTTGCAACCCCACAGGAAAAGATCACAGTCCTTCATGGCTGTGTCATTTTACACTCTAGCTTCTTTATCAAAGTTGCCTGCATTTATTTTTCCATCTGGTAAACTTTGATTTATCCTTCAAGATCCAAATTAAAAAACAAAACTTTTCAGCTGTAAAGTCTTTCCTGATTTTCCCTGCCAGGGTTAATTACTTTCTCGTCTTCCTTTTCACGGATGGACAGTACTCTGATGTCTGGGACGGTATCCGTTTTTAGAAAGCTTCTGAAGCTTCAGCGTGCATATGAGCTACCTAGGGAACTTGTCAAAATGCGTCTTCTGAGTCTGTGGGTCTAGGAGGGGGTCTGAGAGTCTGTAGTTTTTAATAAGCTTCCAGGTGATGCTGATGCTGCTTGTCTGAGAACCACACTTCAAGTAGCAAAGCTGTTTTATAGATGAATCCTAAGGTTTGGTGTAGAGTTTGTGCTCAGTCCAATTTGGCTGATTGTTGAATGAATGATACTTGATGCCCTTCATCTGTGGCTTTCTTAATGGGAAACTTGATTATCTAAAAAAAACATACAAATGAGATACATTGAGGTCATATTTAACACTTGCCTAATCAACTATATTTATTTGCTTAGACTGAGAACCTCCACATCTCTTTAACTTTTGGTAATAATAATAGCAAACATTTCCTAGGAGTTCGCATGCTATTTACTAAGCTCCCCTCTAAGCAGGATACATGCATTCACTCATTTCACCCTCAGAATAGCCCTAGGAGGTTGTAGATTTGTCAAAATAATGCTGTAACAACAACAACAACAACAAAAACCCCAAAAGGTATCATGACTCAAGCACAACAGAGTTCATTTCTTGTTCACATACAACTTTCATCAGGTGTTCCGATGGGAAGGTGACTCTCCTCCAAACAGTGACCCAGGGACCCAGGCTCCTTCTGTCTGTGATCCTGCCATCTTCACAAATGTGGCTTCCAAGTCACCGTGCTTGTGTGCATTATGTGGAAAAGAATTAGCGTGAGGATTGAAGGAGTGGTACACATCTTTTTATTCATTTTTCTTTGGCTATTACTCAAGCGTGTGGCAACAACTAACTAAAAGGGAGGTTTGAAAATGTTGTTCAACTGTATGCCTAGGGAAAAAAGGAGCTGTTTGGTAAATATAATCCAAGTGTGGCTAACCTAGGTATCTGAATGTGGTTAGTATTTCCCTAGTGCTATCCAAGGTCTCAATAGTAATGGTTTATGCTCTGAGGCAAAATGGGAACTCATCAGCAGTGGCTAGTTGGGAGAAAAAAGGACTGGCTACATTTATGCAAGAAAAAAGTGATCTGGCTGCAGAACTACTTAACTTTCCTCCAAAGCAGGAGGGTGGAATGGGAGGGCAGTAGTGCAGTCTAATGTGACCAAGTCAGGACTGGGGGTCAGCTCAAAGGATAGAAACGGAAATTGTAGCAGGGACATTTGTAGTCAGACAGAACAACAGTGTTTGGGGAGATTTGTCTCTAAGAACTGGGAAGACTCTGAGAACCCAAAACTCAGCTTGTGGGGAGGCCTAGAGTCACGGGCCCATTCCATGTCCTGCCCACTGGCAGGCTCTGTGAGGAAGCAGAGTTCAAACGTTGACATAAAGCGAGTGGGGTGTGGAAAGGTAGAGATGAATGAGCCCTGAAGGACAGGGCTTACTGAGAGGAAAGAGTTATTATGAGCACAGCACTGAAAACAAGCAGCTTTTTCGTAAGTACAATATAGTTCCTTTATGAGACTTCTTATTTTCTTCTTTTCTTTTCTTTTCTTTTATTATTATTATACTTTAAGCTTTAGGGTACATGTACACAATGTGCAGAGGTTAGTTACATATGTATACATGTGCCATGCTGGTGTGCTGCACCCATTAACTCGTCATTTAGCATTAGGTATATCTCCTAATGCTATCCCTCCCCACTCCCTCCACCCACAACAGTCTCCAGAGTGTGATGTTCCCCTTCCTGTGTCTATGTGTTCTCATTGTTCAATTCCCACCTATGAGTGAAAACATGCGGTGTTTGGTTTTTTGTCCTTGCGATAGTTTACGGAGAATGATTTCCAATTTCATCCATGTCCCTACAAAGGACATGAACTCATCATTTTTTATGGCTGCATAGTATTCCATGGTGTATATGTGCCACATTTTCTTAATCCATTCTATCATTGTTGGACTTTTGGATTTGTTCCAAGCCTTTGCTATTGTGAATAGTGCCGCAATAAATATACGTGTGCATGTGAGACTTCTTATTTTCAAATATTAACTCAATGTGGATCAAGGCCTTAGAAATAAAGGCAAAGGGGTGTAAGAGAAACAAGACTAAAACATTTAGGGAAAAAACCTTACAGAATCTAAAAGTATTTTTTTCATAGAAAAAAGTTTTATAATTGATAGAATATCCTTTATACTTTCAAGTTCCAGTATAAAAAAGGATTGTCCCTTATCCATTTCATTTCAGTGTAGGAGTTTACTGGGCTGGAGGACTTGCTGTCATTAAAGTACCACAGTACCGTAGTAACTGCTGCTTCTATTCAAGTCTGTGATAAGAGTTTTGAAATTTGGAACTCAATACCAAAAACTTTCTTAGTATTGGTAGGAGCTCTTGATAGAGAAATCTTGTACAAGAATCCACTAAAGTATAAGTTAAATGGCAATGAGGGGATGGAAGAAAGAAGGAAGGAGGGTTAAGGCTTCAAAAGAAGGAAATATGCTACTTCTCTGCCTGTCCTGCTGAGAAATGGAACGTGACATACCCACAGGTGCTTCATTCAATTCATCACATCTTTAAGGAGAAATAATCAGTCATCTCTGTTAAGAGCAGGACTCTTGGACCAGACTACCTGGGTTTGAATCCAGGCTCTGACACTTAACAACTGTATGACTTGGGTAAGTTATTTACTCTCCAGTGCCAACATTTACTAATCTATAAAATGGGGATATTAATATATTTAGCCATGGCAAAGACTGGAGTGCTGTTCCCAAACAATCACCCTTTTTCCTGGGCATACTGCTAGACCACATTTTACTTCTCCTTTAGATAGTAACAGCTAATAAATACATAGGTCAATCAATCAGTACATGAATAAATAAATGAGTAAATAAATGAATGAATAGAATGTGTACCACTTTCCTATTTCCACATGTGAATTCCTTTTCCACCCTTATAATACACGCAAGCATAGTGACTTGGAAGCCACATTTTGAAGATGACAGGACCACAAGATGGGAGGAGTCTGGGTCCCCGAGTCACTGCTTGGAGGAGAGTCACCTTCCAATAGGAACACTGATGAAAGTTATATGTGAGCAAGGCTGGGTGCGGTGGCTAACACCTGTAATCTCAGCACTTTGGGAGGCTGAGGCAGGTGGATCGCCTGAGGTCAGGAGTTTGGGACCAGCCTGGCCAACATGGTAAAACTTCATCTGTACTAAAAATACAAAAATTATCTGTGT